>NC_000008.11:25011617-25314648 GCF_000001405.40 Homo sapiens | reverse complement strand
GGTTAGATAGATAGGTGGACGGTTGGATGGGTAGGTGGATGGGTAGGTGGATGGGTGGGTGGATGGATGATAGATGGGTGGGTGGGTGGGTGGATGGATGGATGGATGAATGGATGGAGGTGCTATTTTCTTAGATAAAACACAAGAGAGGTGCCTCAGGCCTAGATGCACAGAATTATGAGGTCCAAATGGGGATGCTGAGTAAGAATTAGCCAATTAAAGCAAGGAGGGGCTGAGTGTTGTGGCTCATGCCTGTAATCTCAGCACTTTGGGAGGCAGAGGCAAGAGGACTGCTTGAGCCCAGGAGTTCAAGATTAGCCTGGGCAACATAATGAAACTTGATCTCTACAAAAAAAAAAAAAAAATTAAATTAGCCAGATGTGGTGGCTCATGCTTGTAGTCCTGGCTACCTGGGAGGCTGAGGTGGGAGGACTGCTTGAGCCTCGGAGATCGAGGCTTACAGTGAGCTATCATCACACAACTATACTCCAGCCTGCGCTACAGAGCAAGACCTTGCCTCAAAAAAAAAAAAAAAAAAAAGAGGGGAGTCCTGAGGCAGGAAATAGCTGGCTATAGGGTCCTAGAATTCATTAAAGAGGTCTTGGTCCTGGAGCTACAGATTTGAAGGTGACAGGCAGATGAAAGCCAAGTGAGTGGATGATACCCCTAGGGAGAAAACACAGGTGAGACAGAAAGAGGGCTGTTCTGGGCAGAACTGTGTCCTCCCCAAATTCATATGCTGAAGCCACAACCCCTAGTAACGCAGAATATGACTGTATTTGGAGATAGGGCCTTTAAAAGAGTAAGTAAGGTAAAATGAGGTCATATAGGTGGGCCCTAATCCAATATGACTGGTGTCCTCATACAAAGAGATTAAGACACAGACATGCACAGAGGGACAACCAAGTGAAGACGAAGGGAGAAGATGGCCATCTGCAAGCCAAGGAGACAGGCCTCACAAGAAGCCATCCCTGCTGTCACCTTGGTGTTGAATTTCCAGTCCCTGTCCTTTGTTGTGAGAAAATAAACGTTGTTGACGCCACCCAGTCCGTGGTATTTTGCTATGGCAGCCCAAGCACACTCACACAGGGTCTCAGGACCAAATAACAAGGAACTTCAACATTTAGAGGTGAAGCAGAATATGAGAAGGTGGCAAAGGGGTTCTAGCAGAAGCCCCAGGGAAATGGAGAAGCAGAGAAAAGTGAGGGGTCACCAATGAGAAGGGAAGGAAATATTTCAACAATGTCAGATGCTGCTGAGAGGTCAGAGTTGATCGCTAGGCTAGAAAACTCCCATCAGATGTAGCGATACCATGATCATGGGTGACTCTCATGAGAGCTACTCTTGAGAGGCTGGAGTGGGGCTGGCAGAGGTGAGAACAGAGAAAGAGCGTGGACAGAATCACTCCTGCGATGCTGAAGACGAGAGTCAAAGCTCCTTGCTAGAGGGCAAGGGGGTACAGGGAAGAGTTTAGGAGGCAACTGGAACGAGTTCACGTGGTGATGGGACAACAGGAAGGAGTTCTGAGCCCAGGGAGTTGGGTCTAGACCTGAATTTCTCAGACCTGACTCACCACCAGATCACCTTGGGAGCTCTGAATCGGTCTCTAGAAATCTGGGAATCTGTATTTTCAAGGAGATCTTCAAGGAGATCTTGATTAGCTGATCCACATACTAGCACTGGAAACGATTGTTCTAGATGAATTTTTTTCTCTTTTTTGAGATGGAGTCTTACTCTGTTGCCCAGGCTGGAGTGCAGCGGCATGATCTCACCTCACTACAAACTCTGCCTTCCAGGTTCAAGTGATGCTCCCGCTTCAGCCTTTCAAGTAGCTGGGATTACAGGCATGCGCCACCACTCCCAGCTAATTTTTTTTTTTTTTTTTTTGAGACGGAGTCTTGTTCTGTCGCCATGCTGGAGCGCGGTGGTGCAATCTCAGCTCACTGCAACCACCGCCTCCCGGGTTCAAGCAATTCTCCTGCCTCAGCCTCCTGAGTAACTGGGACTACAGGTACACGTCAACTCGCCCAGCTGATTTTTGTATTTTGAATAGAGATGGGGTTTCACCATGTTGGCCAGGCTGGTCTTGAACTCCTGACCTCAAGTGATCCACCCACCTCAGCTTCCCAAAGTGCTGGGATTACCGATGTGAGCCATCTGGCCTGGCCGTATTCTAGATGAATTTTAAAACCAATGTAGCCCTTGGCATCCTATGAACCAATCCTATTGACTTAAAAAACAAAACAAAACTAAATGTTCTTTTACAAGCCAGATTTAAAAGGTAAACTCACCTTATTCAAAGGCCTCAGGAGAAGCCAACCCTGCTGTCACCTTGATCAAAGAATAAACTTCTCTACTTTATTTTTTCAGATTTGTGTCTTGTTGTAGTAGTAAAACAACCTTCAGGTAGAGAATATTACTACTAATTTTTTTTTTCCTTAACAAGAAGACAAAACATTTTCCCAGAATGTTGATGAATGTATATCAGGGTAAAATAGCTATGTAATGGACAAAATAAGCAAAAAACTATCTTCTTTTATGAGAAAAGGAAAAAAGAGTGATCTCCATTTTATAACATTTTTATTCATTCCTTCCACAAATACTCATTTAAGACCCACTACATGTAGACAATGTGGGCAGCAACAAGTTATCACTGCCCCTTAATTTCTCAAAGGAGAAATAAGATTTTGTATTACTTTAAAATAACCTAATTTTTTTTTTTTTTTGGAGGCAGAGTCTTGCTCTGTTGCCCAGGCTGGGTTGCAGTGGTGCGATCATAGCTCACTGAAACCTCTGCCTCTCAGGCTCAAGCGATTCTCCTGCCTCAGCCTCCTGAGTAGCTGGGACTACAGGCACCAGCCACCACGCCCAGCTAATTTTTGTATTTTTGATAGAGACAGGGTTTCACCACGTTGGTCAGGCTGGACTCGAAGTCCTGACCTCATGTGATCTGCCTGCCTCAGCCTCCTAAAGTTCTGGGATTACAGACGTGAGCCACCATGCCTGGCCTAAAATAACCTGAATTTTTGTGCAATAGGTAAGTTGGTTTTCTAGAATTTTTCTAACATGGTATGGTTGTTTTTCTTTTTTCTTTTTTTTTTTTTTGAGACAGAGTTTTGCTCTTGTTGCCCAGGCTGGAGTGCAGTGGTGCGATCTCGGCCCACTGCAACCTCCACCTTCCGGTTTTCAGCGATTCTCCTGCCTCAGCCTCCCGAGTAGCTGGGACTACAGGCA
The DNA here is from genome assembly GCF_000001405.40 of Homo sapiens. NCBI lineage: Eukaryota > Metazoa > Chordata > Mammalia > Primates > Hominidae > Homo > Homo sapiens. The sequence continues at coordinate 25,311,414 of NC_000008.11, read as the reverse complement.
CGTGCCACCACACCCAGCTAATTTTTTGTATTTTTAGTAGAGATGGGGTTTCACCATCTTTGCCAGGATGGTCTCGATCTCTTGACCTCATGATCCGCCCACCTCAGCCTCCCAAAGTGCTGATTTTACAGGCGTGAGCCACCCTGCTCGGCCAAGCCATGGTTGTTTTTCTAGAATTTCTATTAATATCAATTAGTTTATAGCAATATGTATAAAATTCAAGGGACCAATTCCCTTTTCTTAGTATGGAGATTAAAATTAAATGGGCGAAGTCAGCAAATTCCAGAGAACACACACATATGCAGATCACTAGAAAGAAGATGAAACAGGAAAATGCTGACATTCTTGTCACAACAAGAACAGGGAGAGCCAGAGCGCTTTTGGAGCTTCAGAGAATGGAGAGAGCAAGGCGCCCACATGCTGGGGATGTCATAACAAGAAAGGGACACACAAATGAGGCCAATTAGTCTCCTGAACAGAGCACCCTGTGCTATTTGAGAGAGTCTGCGTAAAAGAGAGAGTAAGAAAATTTGAGTTATGTTTAAAAGCATTATCTTGGGCTTGCACACCGTATATCAGTGTACTGTACTTGCACACTGTATATCCAACTTCCAGGAATTTTCTCGGGGAGATAGTCTTAAACGTGGAAAAGACTTCATGGTAAGGATAGTCAGAGCAGAGGTTTTTATATTTGTAATAATGACAAATTAGGAAGCACCTAAGTGTTTAAGTATTGCAGGTGTCTCTGTTTGTGTCCCAGGTGTCTCAGGACCAATGAATGTAAATAACCAAGTCTTCTGGATCCAAGTTGCCTCCACCGTCCAATAAGAAATAATCGCTGAACAGGAGGAAGCAAACAGGTGAGCCATGCAAAGTGCTTACCTGGCAGTATGATTTCAGGAAAGCCCATCTTCCGGGCTATTGCTGTTGATCTATCAACCAAGTGTGAAAAATTCTTCTGAACCTGGGTGAGGTCACCGGGCAAGAGCTTCAAGGATACCCAAAGGCCTTAAAAGAAATAAAAGATAAACGTTTAGTTCTTTGTATGATGTATAAAACACATGCGTAACTGGTGAGAAGAACATTTGAGTTGTATAGTCACAACCTTACTGTAAAGATGTAAATTCTCCCCCAGTTGACTTATAATTTTAATGACACTTCCATTAAAATCACAACAGGACCTCTTTGAGAATTTGACAGAGATGTGAACAGATGCTAACTTTGGGGGAAAAAAGGGGTAAAGATAGACCCTACCAGATACCAGAATATATAGTAAAGCTACAACCATCTGTGATCCTAGGGGTAAAAAAGATATATACATGAAACAATGAAACACTATAGTATATAGCAATTTAATATATGGCAAAAGAGGCATAACAAATCATGAAAAAAATCCAATAATTACATGAATATGCTGGGATTATTTTCTTGCTACTTAAGAAAATTTAATTTCCCATCTTGTATTTTCATTAAATTCCCAATAATGAATTACATAGAAAAAGAAGGCAGAATGTTAAAAGAAAAAAGAAGTGTATAGCTATTAAACCTCTGAGAACAAACCATTTTTCTGTCTTTCTTTCTTTTTTTTTTATTTTAGACAGAGTCTCACTTTGTTGCCCAGACTGGAATGCAGTGGCATCACCTCGGCTCACTGAAACTTTTGCCTCCCGAGTTCAAGCAATTCTCATGCCTTAGCCTTCCCAGTAGCTGGGATTACAGGTGTGCACCAACACACTCTATCAACAGAACATGATATGGAGATACTAAAAACTACAATTTTTACATTATTTTGTATTAATACATATTCATCTGTATTACTTTGGTTTCCTTCCTCTCAATTTTAAAAAATGTGATGGGATAAACTTATTCAGAATAGAGCATAATTATTATCTAGGGTCGACATTGGGAATGAAGGGTAGGCAAAAACATGGAGGCCAGGGGCGGTGGCTCATACCTAAAGTTCCAGGGATTTGGGAGGCCAAGGTGGGAGGATCACTTAAGGCCAGAAGTTGAGACCAGCCTGGGCAATATAGTGAGACTCCATCTCTACAAAAAATTTAAAAGTTAGCTGAGCATGGTGGTACATGTCTGTAGTCCCAGCTACTTGGAAGGCTGAGGTAGGAGGATGCTTGAGCCCAGGAAGTGGAGGCTACAGTGAGCCAAGACCATGCAATTGCACTCCAGCCTGGGTGACAACATGAGACAGTCTCAAAAATAAATAAATAAATAAATGAATAAAGAGTAAAGACTCATGGGATAAAAATTTGTTCCAAAGAATTTACAAAACACAACTGTGATCAAATCACCGCTGGGTGCATCTCAATGCAGTTCAGTATTAAAAGCCTGTGGTTGGAAGCTGAGGGGGATGGTCCCCAGCAGAGGCTGTTTTGTATCAGAGAAAGATAATAAAGGGCAGGAGTCCAAGGACCCAGCTGTGAATGTCCCCCACCCTCAGCAGAGTCCCTCCCAGCTCTGGCACTGGACTGTACCTTGCCCTTTGTGATTCACTTCCTTTGCTGCAATCACTTTATTCAAGACTGAAGTGAGTGGCTCATTCTCCCCAATCACGTGTGATGTTATCAAAGGCGACATGATGAGCTGCCTCTGGCGGATGTAGGTTTCCATCGCAATTCTTGGGAAAGAGAAATAAGAGGTAAGGTGGGAGGGGGAGAAAGGAAGTCTCTGCAGCACAACCTCAGATAATGGTGAGTCATATAGGAATAATTTGGAGATATCAACACTAAGTACCCCTATCTTTCTATCTTTCCTTTATTTTTCCATTTTGTGTCATCTTAAATACTAAATTCACCTTGGAAATGACTTGAGGCAAAGAGGGAGGAAAAAAACCCAAGAGTACACAAAACTGGTGACCAACGGTTAGCAACTAAAATCAGAGGCAACACTCCATGCTCTTTCAGAGGCAGAAGAGGCTGCTGCAATAGAATTGAAGACAGAGCACCCACGGAAGGGGCAGGAGCCCCCAGGTCTACTTCTGCTTGATAGTGAGCTCTGCAAGAGGCTCCCTTTGGGCCTCAGTTTCTCCATCTGTAAGAGATGGGCTGGGATCGCATGCCTGTTAAGGCTCCTGTCTAGTGTCAACCCCCTATATATAAGCACAGTGTATATGCCTGGTGTCTGGTAGATGTTCTCAGATTTCCATGTGATGACAAGCTAGATCTTGGCATAGGTGCTGCCAAACAAGCTCCACTTGAGTGACCTTATCAGGCTGCGGCTTGTAAAGGGCGATCAAAGAACCAAATACAGCCTCCATTCTACTGAAGGCAGAAGCACTATAAGCAACTGCACATCGGCCTGGTGCAGTACAATAGTCTCCTGTCTCCTCTGTCCACTGCATGTAGGCCAGTTTTCTCTGCAGGGTTCCCTGTACCCTGACAATAAAACACACTGCAATATGTGACTGGCAAATGGGATTGCTATAGTCTTGAGTTCCTGTTTTTTACAAATGATTCTCTCTAAATGGACTTGCAGAATATACATACAACACTCTCCTACTGGAAAACACTGTAAAGTTTTTGAAGTAGATTATAGTAGCGCTTGCCATAAATCTTAGGCATTCAATGCCAGAGGCTGCAGTCTGCATCATGAATACTCCACTGCGGCTGTTGGCTGCACAGTGAGCAGTAATGAAATTAAGGCAGGGTTCGTCAGGGACTCAAGGCACGGATTATACAGTGGGGACAATCTCAGGACTAAGTACTGTGATATGGTTGCTGGAGGAAAGCTGGTTCAGAAATTAAGCAGGAGGCACATCACCACCAGCAAATATACAGATGGCTGTTTCAGACACCTTTCATATCCATGAAGGTCACTCCTATTATGTACATATAATCTTAAATACAAATATAACACATTCATAGTACTATAATATATATGGTACATTTATATTTATTCAATATACAGTCATATTCCTAACAATGTTTCTGTCAATGACAGACTGCCTAGATGACCATGGTCCCATAAGATTATAACGGAGCTGGCCAGGCATGATGGCTCACACCTGTAATCCCAGCACTTTGGGAGGCCGAGGCAGGTGGATCACCTGAGGTCAGGAGTTTGACACAAGCCTGACCAACATGGTGAAACCCCGTCTCTACTAAAAATAGAAAAATTAGCTGGGTGTAATGGCATGCACCTGTAATCTCAGCTACTCAGGAGGCTGAGGCAGGAGAATTGCTTGAACCCAGGAGGTGAGGTTGCAGTGAGCGGAGATCACGCCACTGCATTCCAGCCTGGGCAACAAGAGCAAATCTCCGTCTCAAAAAAAAAAAAAAGATTATTAATGGAGCTGAAACATTTCTATTGCCTAGTGATATTATAGCTGTTTTAACATCTCAGCCCAACTCATTACCTTTTCTATGTTTAAATATGTTTAAAGACACAAATAGCACTGTGTTACAACTGCCTGCAGTATTCAGTACAGTAGCTTGCTGGACAGGTTTACAGTCTAGGAGCAATAGGCTATACCATACAGCGTAGGTGTGTAGTAGTCTATATATTCCGGGTTTGTGTAAGTACACTCTATGTTGTCTACACAATGACAAGAGAGCCTAGTGACATGTTTCTCAGAACGTATCACTGCCATTAAGTGATGCATGATTGTATTTTATTTAGCATATTTATAAATGTAATTAACAAATTAACATTGTATTACATTCAACATATTTATTTATTTATTTTATTTTATTTATTTATTTTTTTTTCAGACGGAGTCTCGCTCTGTCGCCGAGGCTGGAGTGCAGTGGCGTGATCTTGGCTCACTGCAAGCTCCACCTTCCAGGTTCATGCCATTCTCCTGCCTCAGCCTCCCGAGTAGCTGGGACTACAGGCGCCCGCCACTGTGCCCAGATAATTTTTTGTATTTTTAGTAGAGACAGGGTTTCACCGTGGTCTCGATCTCCTGACCTTGTGATCTGCCCGCCTTGGCCTCCCAAAGTGCTGGGATTACAGGCGTAAGCCTATGCGCCCGGACCTAAATTCAACATGTTTATTAAATATACTTAAACATATTTATATATTATACAATACATATTTATATAGGTATGTGCATGCAGTGTTTTATATTATGCACAAAACAAGAGCAGCATTCATGGAGATGAAAGTTATCACATAATTAACTTTAGCACTGTGCTACATAAAATATTTGTCTCGTCTTGGAAGGTCAATATATAGGTGGTAGCATACAAGGTAAGTGCATTTTATTTTTTAACTATTTTATTTTATCTATTTTTACCTTATATTTTATTTTATCTGAGACAGCGTATGGCTCTGTCACCCAGGATGGAGTGCAATGGCCATATTTTAAAAAAATAATTCATAGCAGCCTCTGGATAAAAGAGACAAGTACTACTTAGCATGGGCTATTTGCACTATTATGTTTAGAAACTGGTCCGAAGGTGTGGACTTAACATTGAAAGATTAAAATTGTTATATTTTATATATTACATATAATACATATTTTTTGTATAAAAAACAGACAACAGGAAAACAAAAACAGGAGCAAAATCACCAAGAGTTACATCAACAGAAATAATCACTGTTAATCATGGAGTACATTTTTTGAAATATCTAAATTTTAAGACTTCTAATGCATTGTAACAATTCATATTCTCTATAAGTAATGTATGTCTCCTTATATCTACCCAAACACTAAAGTGTGGTCAAGATAAAAAATAAACCTTGATGTTTCGATTTGCATTTCACTCATCCTCAATAAATGTACAACACCATTTCTGTATGTGTGTGTATTCCCTTCATGTCCTTATTAATTTCTATTAATTCTTTATATATTACAAATATTCATCCTTTCTCAAACACAGTGCAAAGACTGTATCGATTTTTTTCTATGTATTAAGTTCTTTACAGTTTTTGGGTGGTTAAACCTATCAATTTTTCTTTTTTTGGCTGAATCTTTAAAACGGCCTCCCTCCCATGACTACCACATAAAACTTCTATTTTCCCGTTAATATTTTAAGATTCTAGCTCTTACAGTTGTATGTTTAATCATCTAAAATTTACACTGGCATAAGTTGTGAGACTGGAATCTAACTTCGGGATCTTAAATGGCTAGCTAACTTTCTCCAAAAACCTTTTTTTTTTTTTTTTGCATAATGTATCTTTCTCCACTAATTTGTGATATCATTTGTAAAAAGTGATATATTAACTCAAATATATGACTCTGGCTGGTTTGTGGAATTCTCAGTTTGTTCTACTTGTCTGCAGTGGCAGCTGCAAGTGAGCTGAGATGATGCCCTCTGACTGGCACGATGGCCCCTGGTGGGACTTGGTCCCGGCAATGCTCTTGGCCTCCACTAGGCCTCCACTGCCTGTGCAGGTGCTGGAGCAGGTCATGACGTTCACACCTGCACTTCTTCAGAGTGACACGGCTTGAATCTGCTCCCAACAGCTCCTCAATGGCCTACCCATGGCTCCAGCTCCTGCAGCTCAATATGGAGGGCCTCAGTAAAGCTCTGCAAGGATCCTTTCACATGCTCCCAGGCTGGCTTTCCCCCAACATGCAGGAACACTGGCCCATGGGTGGGTCAGCCCTTCACTCTCTCATCTCCTAAACCCTCGCTACAGACAGTGTGGCCCTCAGACCAGCTACATCAGCATCACCTGGGAGCTTGTCAGAGGCAGAACTCCCCTGCAGCCTAACAAGTTCCCCTGATTCATATGCATGATGCAGTCTGAGAAGCCCTATGCTAGCCCACGTGATTCCGTGTCATCCATGATGCCTGTTTCATGCAATAGACTGCACATATATTTTGGCATTGCTGACACAAGGACGGCACCCTCTCTGCATTCCAGAGCAGACAGATATGTGCCCTTTTATATTCCTTTGATGCTTTCTATAGAATCAGGAAAGTTCAGTTTACCCTCTTCAATGGGAGTCCAACATCAAGGACTTTGAATAAAGTCTTCTGTTCAGCTCCTATCTGACAATCTTGCAGCTTAGAATCTTTCCTTCTCTGAGAAAATGGTTTCTAACACCTGTTTCTGTGTTAAAAGACAATTGAATGGCTAATCCAGGTCTCAAGTCACCTGGGACACATGCCAAAGTACTTACTGCTGAAAGGGAATAAAATGCTGCTTTTCTTCATCATCCACCTTCCCATGTATGATATCAGTAATATCCATCACTAGGAAAAAGATAAACTTCATTAAAGAAACTAATTGCTTCATGCCTCAGTAAGTTACTATGGAAAAGGACAGTATCAGCAAACATCAAACACTGCAGGAAGAAAGGTACTAAGCAGGGACTTTTTTAAAATTTCTTTGCCAATGGTGATTCCCAGTGTACCTAGCCCAGCAAAAAAGTGACTCATGAGGTGCTAAGGAAGGGGTCTGGGTTTTACTGGATCAATTTTGCAGACTACCCACTTTAAAAACTCTACAAGATCGAGTTGCTAAATTCTTTTGCTTTTTATTAAAAGACAGTCTTGCTCCTTTGCCCAGGTTGGAGTGCAGTGGCACAATCTTGGCTCATTGCAACCTCCACCTCCCCTGTTCAAGCAATTCTCCTGCCTCAGCCTCCCAAGTAGCTGGGACTACTACAGCACATGCCACCACGCTTGGCTAACTTTTGTATTTTTTTAGTATAGACAGAGTTTCACCATGTTGGCCAGGCTGGTCTTGAACTCCTGACCTCAGATGATCTGCCTGCCTCGGCCTCCCAAAGTGCTGGGATTACAGGGATGAGCCATCGTGCCCCGCCCGAGTTGCTAAATTCTTGAGAAATTTAACATCAGGTTACTTTTTAGTAAGTATGGAACCAAAGGTCCAGGAGCAGAATTATAACATTTCCTTGATCGCTTTCAATCTATGAGCAACCAAAATGTCAATGTAAGGCCCAAAATGTATTTCCTCAATTGAACAAACTACAGAGGAAGATGCTGGGCGTTTAAGCAGGTTCTGGGGTTTGATGTAAGCCAAGGAGGATCTCTGAAAGCATTTAGAAACAAACACAACATTGTCTTCGAAGAGTAAATTTCCTAGACCGGCAAACCACTTCCCAGCGAGTATTTTATTCCACTAAAATCAATACGCAGACCCAGACAGGGAGGATTCCAATAGTCACAACTTAGGTTCTATTGTGTATAAGACACAGTGTTGGGCACTAAGGGGGAAAGAAAGGAGCGTGGGCCAGGTGAGGACACAGAACCCATGCAAAGAAAACGGGCAGTGCCAGGCAGTAAATGCTGCGTGTCTGATACTGACAATGACAACGTGATCCATCTCTTACTATCTCTGTGCCTTCTTCCACCTTTCTTCCTCCTTTCCTCCTTCTCTTCCTCTATTTTCAAAATTGTGGTAAAACACACATAACATAAAATGTACCATCTTGCCCATTTTAAAGTATTCCGTTCAGTGGCATTACGTGTATTCACATTGTTGTGCAACCATCATCACCTTCCATCTCTAGAACTTTCTCATCTTCCCAAATGGAAACTCCGTACCCATTAAACACTAACTCCCCATTCCCCCTCTCCAGCCCCTGACACTCACCACTCTATACTGTCTCTGAGAATTTGACTACTCTAGGTGCCTCATATAGGTGGGATCATACAATATTTGTCCTTTTGTGTCTCACTTATTTACTTAGTGTAAAGTCCTCAAGGTTCATCCACGCAGTGTGTAGCATGAGTCAAAATTCCCGTCCTGTTTAAGGCGAGTATTATTCCATTGTGCGTACACACCACAGTTTCTTAGTCCATTTATGCACTGATGGGCACCTAGGTTACTTCCATCTTTTGCCTATTGTGAATAATACTGCTACAAACATGGATGCACAAATATCTCCTCCAGACCTTGCTTTTGATTGTTTTGAAGCAGGGCAGCTGGATCATTTGCTAGTTCCATGTTTAATTTTTTGAGAAATCGCCATGCTATTTTCCACAGCACTGCACTATTTCACATTTGTCTCTGGGTCTCTCTTGTACCTGCCACTCCAAAAGGTCTTCGGAGTCCACAGGTGTGCTTCTTGCCTTCCTTCAGCTCCATATGGCCCACGCGGACAATCTGGCACACAAGGCTGACGCGGGGCCGGATGAGGTCCATGCTGCTAAGGTCCTAAAGGGGCAGAGAAAGTGTGAGAGGAGGTGGGGCTGGACCACTGTGTCACCTGTGTCTCTTTTTTCTTTACCCTCTACAACAAAATCCTGTTCCGACCTTATTTCTCAATGCTGAAGTATTAGAACGACTCTCTTCTCCCCCATCTCCATCCAAGAGCTATTATGGCATCAGAAAACATGACTTTGTGCTTGTAAACAAGTGCTTTTTTGTTCCCCAGTTCCTACTTCAAATTTACAAATCAGATCACAGCCCGTTGGAAGTCTCCAGTTCATCAGCTTAAGCAGGGTATTGAAAAATCAGGGCCCTCATCATTGCGATTGTATATCTTTGGACGTATCTCAGCACAGGATGCATTTCAACATCAAATGAAGTAAAAACTTGTGTAACACTGACATTTATTGGGTATCCACACAAGTCTGTGACATTTCATTTCCTCTTCAAAACAAGCCCATGAGGCAACTATGAGACAGGCACTGCTTTATGGGACTATTCACCTGATTTATGAGAGGTCTCTATTGAGAGCTTATCAGTGTATACTGAATCATGACAGATGTGTCAATGAAATACCTATTTCTCTTGCAGCTAGGGTTCTACACTTGTTTGTATTTTTTTTTTTTTTGACAAGGTCTCCCTATGTTATCCAGGCTGGCCTTGGCCTTGAACGTCTAGGCTCAAGGGATCCAGCCTCCTTGGCCTCCCAAAGTGCTGGGATTACAGACATGAGCCACCGCGCCCAGCCATTATTTGTTTTCTTAAGGATGGGTGAGTAAACCCAGGAATGAGCTGATATCTCTCATTCAGTTCGACTTCAGAAAAAAAACTAATCACATCTCAAATTGGTTATATGAAACAGCTGCCCAAGCTCTCTTTACTGAAGCAAGAATCACTTTTAACATAATCATTCCAAATCCAGCCCCTGTAATTTAGTTAACTCAGGTCTCCAAGATATACATCAATGATAACGTCCACCCTGCATTTCTACTCTAGGTCTGCAAGGCTTCTGTTAATGGAAAAATAAAGACTCCAGGTGACTAGTTACATATATTGTGGCACATTGATAGAGTAGCCCCCCCTTGTCTGTGATGAATATGCTCTGAGACCCCTGGTGGATACCTGAAACCAAAGACAGTACCGAACTCTATATGTGCTGTTTTTTCCTATACATAAGTATTTATAAAGTTTTACCTTTTCACTTAAAGGGAGCACGCTTCTCTTTGGCATATCCGAATTGCCAGCATCACTCCTCTTGTACTTTAAGGTCATTTTTCCTTTTTTAAATTCTTTAGTAGAGACAGGGTTTTACCATGTTGCACAGACTGGTCTCGAACTCCTGAGCTCAAGTGATCCTCCCACCTTGGCCTCCCAAAGTCCTGGGATTACAGGCGTGAGCCCCTGTGCCTGGATTGATTATTGTTTATTATGTGTCTTACCAATCAGGACAAAAGCTGCTTTTTTTTCCCCGATTTTTCACGGATGTATCTCAAGTGTCTAAATCAGTGCCTGGCATTGAAGTACATGTTGAATAAATGGGTGGGTTATTCCTGCTAGGCAGATTGATGATTTTTCCTTTCATCTTTTCATTTTGTATGTTTTCCACATATTCATTATGTGAATATGCTCATATCACAAACAAAGAGAATGATTAAACAGAAGGGAGGACTTACTGTAAACACTGCTTGGAGGTTATTGAGCTTCTCTATTTCCTTGGGCATCCCGTTACTGCCCCAACGAATTAGATAGTTCTCACTGGCAAAGGAAAAAAAAATTGCTCTTAATGAGAGGCTAACTGGGGTTGGAGATGAGGCTACCCTCAGTATAGACTTACAAGGGAAGGAGGAAAGGCCAGAAATGCTCAGTGAAATTCAACAGGCCGGTGTGAAAACAGCTGAGTTGGGAACTGGGACCACACAGATGGCCACTGCTGGGTGTCCTGGCATTAGAGAAGCGTCCCTGCTGTGGCTCCGCAAGACATGCCCCACACAGATGCAGGAAACCCACTGCTCCTGGTGGGCACAGACATGGTAGAGCTTATGGGATGCTACGGTCTGGGTTGTCCTTCCATCTCAAAATCTTTGAATAAAAGTTTCAGCTTTGCTAAATTAATAATTTAATTTTAGGCAGGGCGCAGTGGCTCACGCCTGTAATCCCAGCACTTTGGGAGGTCAAGGCGGGCGGATCGCCTGAGGTCAGGAGTTCAAGACCAGGCTGGCCAACATGGTAAAACTCCATCTCTACTAAAAATACAAAAATTGGTTGGGCATGGTGGCAGGTGCCTGTAATCCCAGCTACTTGGGAGGCTGAGGCAGGAGAATCGCTTGGACCCAGGATGCGGGCCTGTACGACAAGAGCTAAACTCTGTCTCAAAAAATAAACAATAAATAAAAGATAAAAAAAGAATTTAATTTTATAACAGTCATTCCAAATCTATCCCCTGTAATCCACATTGACATTAAAAAATTTTTTTTAAAGAAACAAATTGTCAGCAATTACTTTTAACTATCTTCTCAAAAATAAATTCTCCATTTTCTTAGCTGCTAAACAGTAGTACCACTGTAGGGCTGAACAATGCCCATCACACTCCTTAGAGTCTTAAAAAAAATGTTTTTTAATAGACATTATTTTCTTAGAGCAGTTTTGGCTTTGCAGCAAAGTTGAGCTGAAAATAGAGTCCCATAACATATTCTCTCCCCTCAGACACAACCTCCTTTGCTACCAACATTCCCCCGACCATAGTAGTAACATTAGTTAAAACTGATGAAGCTACATTGACACATCATGTACCCAAAGCCCACAGTTTACATAAGGGTTCCCTCCTGGCATCGAACGTCCTGTGCATTTAGACAAATTCATAATGACATGCATCCACCACTATAGCATCATACAGAATACTGCCGTTGCTCTAAAAATCCTCTGTGCTCTGCCTATTCATCCCTTTCTCACCCTCCCACACACTGTTTTGAATTCTTTGTTCCCATCTCCAAGCCCTAATGAGTTTTATGTGATCTCTAAATCCCAGAGAGTATACAAACTGGCCTCATTGTTCTAGTAGTGACATATGAAGGCTTCATAGACCATATGATTTTACATTCTACTGCTTAGAAATCTTCCATGCTTCCCTATTTTCTCTTCTCAAATCTGGCAAAGAGCTGCCCGGGTAGGGGTCAGGGGAAGGCTGGGTATCTTTGTTAGGTCAGCAGCAGGGGATGTGGGTCTCTGCTACCTGATAAAAGTGGACTGGTCTGGGTCGTAGAGGGCCATAAACAACTCTGCATCTTCCCCGATGTTGCAGACAAAGTTCTTGAAGTTCACATAGAGGCCATAGGTGTGGATGGTACTGAAGATGGACTGGCCCCGCAAATCGAGGTTCTGCAGGATTGACTGAACAAAGAGGGAACAGAGAAAAACATCTTGATTTTGGCAAATGGGAAATGTTGGCAAAAATAAATAAATAAATAAATAAGCCTGCAAATGGCAGACAAAGCCTGGGCACAGTGGCTCATTCCTGTAATCCCAGTGCTACTAGAGGCCCAGGAATTTGAGAACAGCCTGGGCAACACAGCAAGCCTCTGTCTCTACAAAAAAATTTTTTTTTAATTAGCTGTGCCTGTAGTCCCAGCTACCTGGGAACAGAGGAGGCTGCAGTGAGTGAGTTATGATGGAGTCACTGAACTCCAGCCTGGGCAACAAAGTGAGACCCTGTCTCAATCAATCAGTTGATTAATCAATAAATAACAAAAAACAAAACACAGATAACACCCGAGAGGAAGTGCATTTGCTAAGAAAAAGTGTATGTAAGTGGACAAATGCAGTGAGCAAAATATAATCATTATATTTTCAGTGATCAAGACTGTCCTGTTCAGGGCCTTGAATCCCAGACATTCAAACAAATGCTGTCTAAAGGTGATAATTCCAGGGTTTTGGTAGCTCCAAGAGGTGCTTGTCTTACACAATAGCTTCTGAATGAAGCTCAAAAGCACAAACATCATGATCCATTATCCTGGATAAAGAAATAACTCTCATTAAAAACAAAATATTCCACTAGAAAGGCTTTACCTTCAGGTGTGGTTTGCCATTGGATTCAGAACACAAATATTATCATGACCATGCTAAAGAAGTAAACACTACAAACCAACAAACCAAAGAAAATTGACACAAATCTTTACTCATTAGAACAGAAAGACTGGAAAAAAAACATATTAAAATGTCAATATGTTTGGGTCTGAGAAATCAAAATATGAGTAAGTTTTTTTTTTTTTTTTTTTTAAGAGGCAGGGTCTTGCTTTGTTGCCCAGGCTGGAGTGCAGTGGTATGATCATAGTTCACTACAGCCTTAAATTCCCAGTCTCAAGTGATCCTCCTGCCTCAGCCTCCTGGGTAGCTGGGACTACAGTCATGCACTACCACGTCCAGCTAATTTTTTAAAAAATTTTTTGTAGAAATGGGGTCTCACTATGTCACTATTTGCCCAGTTGGTCTTGAACTCCTGGCCTCAAATGATCCGCCCACCTCAGCCTCCCAAAGGGCTAGGATTATAGGCATGAGGCACCATGCATGGATTCTAATTTTTCTTTAATGTCCAATTATTACCTTTGAAGTCTTTCAAACACTTTATTTTTAAATATTATTTATTTTAGCCTGGGTGCAGTGGATCATGCCTATAATCCCAGCACTTCAGGAGGCCGAGGAGGGTGGATCACCTGAGGTCAGGAGTTTGAGACCGGCCTGACCAATATGGTGAAACTCCATCTCTACTAAAAATACAAAAATTGGCCAGGCTTGGTGGCTCACGCCTGTAATCCCAGCACTTTGGGAGGCCAAGGCAGGTGGATCACAGGAGGTCAGGAGTTCAAGACTAGCCTGGCCAACATGGTGAAAGTCTCTACTAAAAATACAAAAATTAGCCAGGCGTGGTGGTGGGCGCCTGTAATCCCAGCTACTCGGAAGGCTGAGGCAGGAGAACAGCTTGAACCCAGGAGGCAGAGGTTGCAGTGAGCTGAGATCTGGCCACTCCAGGGCAACAGAGCAAGACTCCATCTAAAAAAAAAAAAAAATTACAAAAATTAGCCGGGTGTGGTGGTGGGTGCCTGTAATCCCAGCTACTCGGGAGGCTGAGGCAGGAGAATTGCTTGAACCCGGGAAGCAGAGGTTGCAGTGAGCTGAGACTGCACCACTGCACTCCAGCCTGGGCAACAGAGCAAGACTCCGTCTCAAAAATAAACATATAAATAAAAAATAAAAATAAATACTATTTATTTTGAAATTGCAATATATGCAATGAATGCAAGAGATTACACATTTAAGAAGTCTCCCTCCCACCCCGTTTTCCTTCCCAGATGCATCCATTAATAATTATTTCTTGTCTATTATTTCAGAGTTAGTCTATGTATATGCAAGCATAGATTTATATACATTTTTTGAAACACAAATAATAGCATTTCATATATACCATTATGGATCCTGATCTTTTCACTTAATACGTATCTTTGCGATCTTTCCATATCAGAACATATATATATATATACCTGCCTCATCCTTTCTGCTATGTTTCACTTTTAAAATGAGGACGAAAACTACAGAAGTAGTTTTGTTCTCAATGATTTCCCTTTCTTTCATTAAAAACCAAGGCAAAAATGGAACCTCAGTGGGCAGAATTTCACATTTGAGGAACTGTACCTTCTCTTCTTGGATCTTTTCCTCAATCCTTTTGGAGGCCACCTCATGGGCCTTGAAGAGGGCAATGGTGCTGGTTTCGTCAGGGTCTAGGATGTTCCCATTGTCATCTCGCACCACCAGATCTAACCCCAGCATTCTGGAGAGAAAGGAGTAGTCAGCTGGTTCTCCTCACCAGGGGCAGACTTTTTACTGAGGAGTCCTTGTCAAGGAGCCCAGAGGATCCATAGTTAGAAAGGGAGATGCTGGACAAGCCCAGGGAAGCACACCTCATTGACTTTTCTCATTTCAGTTTCTGCCACCTTTCAACACTGTTAGAAAACTCATGAGATGATATTAGCCAAAGTCGTAGAAGGATATGCAAATATGGTCCATAGACCCTGAAGAGAAAAGTAAAATTGGCACTGATTCTGACTAAATTCCTCTGGCCAATGCTTCTTGCCTGTAATCTTCTGTTATTATGAAGAGGAACTATGAAGTAAATAGAGCAAACAAAATTAAGATTCAACCTGTGTTTAATAAACACCTCCTTTGCCAGGCGTCGTGGTTCACGTCTGTAATCCTAGCACTTTGGGAGGCTGAGGTGGGCGGATTACTTGAGACCAGGAGGTCAAGACCAGCCTGGGCAACATGTTGAAACCCTGTCTCTGCTAAAAATACAAAAATTAGCCAGGTGTAGTAGCACACGCCTGTAGTCTCAACTACTTGGGGGGCTGAGGTGTGAGGATGGCTTGAGCCCAGGAAGTTGAGGCTGCAATGAGTCAGGATTGCACCACTGCACTCTAGCCTGCATGAGAAAGCAAGACCCTGTCTGAAACAATAAATAAATAAATAAATACATACACACATACCTCCTATATACACTTCACAAACATTGATTGATTATAATGCCATGAGGTAGGGTGGAGGTAAATGTTATTATTTCCATTTTATGAGTAAAGGAACAGACCAAGTGGGCGTGGTCTCACTGTTTATTACATTGCTATGAAGGACCAATGAACAATTATTTGAGGGCTTGCCTTGATTTCCTTAACTTAAGATGGTCATAAAGGAGACGAGTGAAGTAAGTCCTGGCTTGCTGCTATCTCATGCCCAGAGCATGGGCTCTGGTGTCATTTAGACCAGGATTTGAATCTTGGCTTGAATACTTGCTAACATTATGACCCTGGAGAATTTACTTAATTCTGCACAACTTTGGTTTCTTCATTTGTATACATTCCTTACCCTTCAAGGTTGTTGTGAGAATTTATTTATTTTTATTTTTTTTAGAGACAGCCTTAAACTCCTGGGCTCAAGCAGTCCCTGTCTCAGCCTTCCAAGTAGCTGGGACTACAGGCTTATATTACCATGCTCAGCTAATTAAAAAAAAAAAAATTGTAGAGATGGGGTCTTGCTATGTTGCCCAGGCTAGTCTTGAACTCCTGGCTTCAAGTGAGCCTCCCACTTCGGTCTCCCAAAGTGCTGGGATTATAGGCATAAGCCATTGCACCTGGCCCTGTTGTGAGAATTTAATAAGATAATGCATGTACAGTACCTAATACTATATGTAGCATACAGTAAACTCTCAGCTTAAGCATAAATGTTAGCTCTTGATATGGTTTGGATCTATGTTCCCACCCAAATCTCACATTCACCCCAATGTTGGAAGTGGGGCCTGGTGGGAGGTGATTGGATCATGGGGGTGGATCCTTCATAAATGGTTTAACACCATCCCTTTGGTGCTGTTCTCGTGATAGAGTTCTCACGAGATCTGGTTGTTTAAAAGTCTGTAGCCCCTCCCACCTCTCTCTCTCTTACTCCTGCTCTGGCCATGTAAGACGTGCTTGCTTCCCCTTCTGCCATGATTGTGTTTCCTGAGGCCTCCCCAGAGGCAGAAGCTGGTATGCTGCCTGTACAGCCAACAGACCATGAGTCAATTAAACCACTTTTCTTATAAATTACCCAGTCTCAGGTATTTCTTTATAGCAGTGTGAGAATGGACTAACACAGCTCTTATCGCAGCAACTAGTAGAAGCAAACACCTGGCTGTGTGTGAAGTTGTAGCTCTGCATATGCTTGGGAATACTAACGGCCATATCGTGGGTGCAATCCCTCCCCTCAAGGCTTTTGTGCCCAAAGTGCACACAGAAGTAGAAAAAATTTTGCTTAGGCTCAAGAAGTTGAGGACTGTGGTGGAAATAGGATACTGCTATCCGAATACCCAGCATGCATTCCCGGTACCAAAGAGCAAGACCGCTCAGGGATAACACTGCAATGTGCCAAGTCTTTGGGAAGAAAGCAAAAATGCCTCCTCTCCCTCCTCCCTGTTTTACAGCATCTCTATCAAGTGATTTGATCTGGCAGGTTCCTTTCCATGGCGGCCAGACCCACAGGCCACCCAGACTCATGAACAATGGCCATGCTGGCTGCTCGGAGACTGGATCAGGAAGGCACTGACACAGCAGCTCCATTTCCTGAGCGACTTCCAAGAGCTGGAACGGGAAAGAAGTCATGTTCTGCCGTTTGTGGGGTGTGAACATCCTGTGCCAGAGATCACGGGACCTCCAGGCCAATGTCATGGCAAGACACCAAATGACAGAGGTGTCCTATGTGCAATGGAGTTTCCTTATCCTACCCAATTGGCCTTTTATTAATTAATTAATTAATTTGAGAGGGATTCTCACTCTATCACCCAGGCTGGAGTGCAGTGGCATGATCTTGGCTCACCGCAACCTCCACCTCCTGAGTTCCAGCGATTCTTGTGCCTCAGCCTCCCAAGTAGCTGGGATTACAGGCATATGCCACCATGCCCAGCTAATTTTTATATTTTTAGTAGAGATGGGGTTTCATCATGTTGGCCAGGTTGGTCTCGAACTCCTGACCTCTGGTGATCTGCCCACCTCAGCCTCCCAAACTGCTGGGATTAAAGGCATGAGCAACCTCACCTGGCCTAATTGGCCTTTTAATAAGTCCTCTGACACCACAAGCCTGGCAGTGCAGCCACTGTAGGTATGGTCTTCTGGGTGGTCAAGTAATAGGGAAGGGCACTATTAATTCTTAACCCTAAGAAGGCAGCATTAGACATGGAGTCAAAAGTCTTGGGTTCAAATTTAACCTTTCCCATTTATTATCTATGTGACTGGGAAATAAATCACTTAAGCTCACTTGGTCTGTTTCTTTATCCATAAGATGTAAATAATAACAGCTACCTCAACCCTATGTTTTAAGATTATAATCAAGTAATGTATATGAAATGTACATAGAAGGTGTTTCCTAAATACTGCTTGAATCTGAATCCTGCATGGCATGTTCACTTCGGCTACTTCAGAATATAGTTGTCAGAGTCTATGACATTTAAATAAGTGGCATAATGATCTATATTTTAATAGGTCTCTGAGGGATATCCAAGAATTCCGACACTAGAAAAGCAAGGTAGAGGAGGAGGAAAAAAATCACATATGCACAAGTTGAAGAAATTTAGAAAATGAAACTAATTCCAAAAGAATCACCAATAACAGCTAACCGAGGAACCACTTTTGCCTTTTAAAAAAGTGCTGGTCAGGAGGCAAAAACCCCAGGCCACCACCAATTTGGATATAGGACTGAATTTCTCATTTTCCTAAAGGCAGTGATATCTGGAGCCTGGATATGTGCCTGAGTTAATCAGAAGATTAATGAAGTGATTAACTCTGTAGAGGTGATTGTAGCCATAATCAACAGGCTACAAACATGTTTTACTACTCCTGCAAGTCTGCTTTTCACACACCATAGACAATGGTCCCGGTTAGGGGGAGATGAAGAGAAATAAAGAGAATGAGTCTGGTATTGATTTGGAATCCACTGTTAGAATAAAAATAGATACAGTCCCAAGTATCTGAAAATGTCAACTTCAGAGGCTTGGTCATTTTCAGGGATTTTAGTTTAGTTTAGTTTGTGAGACAGGGTCTCACTCTGTTGCCCAGGCTGGAGTGCAGGCATGCAATCATGGCTCACTGCAGCCTTGAACCTCCAGGTTCAAGTGATCCTCCCGAGTAGGTGGGATGACAGGTGTGCACCACCACACCCAGCTAATTTCCAAATATTTATTGTAGAGATGGGGCCTCGCTATGTTGTCTGGGCTGGTTCCAAACTACTGGGCTCAAGTGATCCTCGAGCCTCATCCTCACAAAGTACTGGGATTACAAGTGTGAGCCACTGTGCCCAGCCAGGTTTTTTGTTTTTGTTTTCTTTATTTGGAGTGGAGCAGCCTCAGTCCAAGACCCATCTTTCCTGATCATCTGTCACCTCCATGGGATCAGAGATCCAACACAGAGCCTGGCCATGGAGGGAACTGTGACATTTTTTTCAACAAAATTAAATGTCTTCAAAGACAAAATGAGAGCAGTAAGCATTATTCTTTGGCAACTCTAAGATCAAAGGTCGCTGCAAACAGTGTCATTAGCGTGAACATGCCCACTGTTCGCCAAGTTTTCAGTGAAAAGCCATCCCTGGTTTACCTACCTGTTCCCATGATCAATTTTGGCTGTGACTTTCTTCTTGAGCTCTGCCAGTTCATCCTTGGGGAGCGTCCCAGACAGGATCTGGGACCGCCACTCGATCAGGCTGTACGTCATCTGCTGCAGCTGGCGGAAGAGGGTGAGCTTGTTGTTCTAAGATGAGAAAATATGATGAAGAAAAGATTCTTAGAAAAAGGTGTGACAGAGGATGGGAACATCCTTTTTTTATTTGTTTGTTTTTAACGGGAATGTCAGACAGATGAGAGGGAACATCTTTTGGCCGATTCTTTTTTTTTTTTTTTTTGTGATGGAGTCTTGCTCTGTCACCCAGGCTGGAGTGCAGTAGCACTATCTTGGCTCACTACAACCTCTGCCTCCTGGGTTCAAGTAGAGACAGGGTCTCACCATGGATCTACCCGCCTCGGCCTCCCAAAGTGCTGGGATTATAAGCTTGAGCCACCACGCCTGGCCTGGTTGATTTTTTTTTTTTTTTTGAGACGGAGTCTTGCTCTGTTGCCCAGGCTGGAGTGCAGTGGCACAAACTCGGCTAACTGTAACCTCCACCTCCCAGGTTGAAGTGATTCTCCTGCCTCAGCCTCCTGAATAGCTGGGACTACAGGAGCATGCCACCACACCCAGCTAATTTTTGCATTTTTAGTAGAGATGGGGTTTCATCACGTTGGCCAGGCTGGTCTCGAACTCCTGACCTCAAGTGATCTGCCCGCCTTGGCCTCCCAAAGTGCTGGGATTAGAGGCATGAGCCACTGCGCCTAGCCTGATTCTTTATAAGGTGTTATTTAATCAATCGTGTCATAGAGTAAGCTGCATGCATCCAGGGATTTTAAGAAAATATATTAATAGGAATGGCTTTCTCCCGAGCCATTTCTACACCCTCCCCTCTTGCAACTGTGGAAACTGGTGATTGTAGGGTAAACAGTGGGTCATACTCACAAACATATCAAATCATCCATGTACCCTAAAACTCTAGCCATGCCCCTCCTGGGTTTAAAGCCCTCCAGTGAGTCTCAATGTCCTCCAGACACATATCTTGATCCTTCCATATCTTGACTCTTCCACACATTCCCAGCTGCATTTCATACCAGTCTCCACCCCAACAATCTATGTTCCCTTCCATGCAAAGTCACATCCATTTCTCTCCAAGGCTCCAGATCCTCTCAATATGTTATTTCTTCTTTTGTCCTCTTCCTCCAAATCTACCCCACCCCTATCCTTTTCTGACTCACACTACACCCTCTGCCAACTGGTAATTCTGATTTCTTCAGTCTCAACTTAGATGTCTCTACCTTGAAACTTCAACTTCATGTTAGCGGTCCCACCCACAGTGCCCAGAATTTGTTCCCATGATAGCATGGAGAACCCTGGGTTACACTGGCTCATCTGCCTCCCTGCTTAGCTGGTAGGCCTTTATAGGACAGAGAGTTTGTTCATTTGTGTGTCCCTAGAATATAGCTGGTATAAGTAGGCACTCTAGCAAATGTACTAAATGAGTGAATTATGAATGGAGAAATAATTATAATTTCAGAGATAAGAAATACTAGAAAATATAATTTTAAATATTATTTTAAAGTCCCCATTTCCCCAATTGTTAGACCATCCACATATTAAACTGTTAATCTTGGTTTCACTAGTAACTTACTGTAACCAAACTAAATTACCTTACAACTAACTAATCATTTGTTTTTCAATCATTTTAAGAATCAAATACTTGACACCTAAGCCATCACAAACTTCTAAATCAAGCTTGTCCAACCTGTGGCCCTGGATGGCTTTGAATGCAGCCCAATGCAACTTCATAAACGTTCTTAAAACATTATCATATTTTTTTTGCAATTTTTGTTTTTTAGCTCATCAGCTATCATTCATGTTAGTGTATCTCATATGTGGACAATTCTTCTTCCAATGTGGCCTAGGGAAGCCAAAAGATTGGACACCCCTGACCTAAATGATTGATGTCTTCATTTTAATTTTTTTTAAGTTAATGAGCATCCACTATGTGCTGGTAATAAAGTTTCTGCCCTCAAGGATCTAACATTCCAGAGAAGGTAAGACAGCAATAAGAAAGTAAATATATACGCCATATATTATATCATAATATATATACACACATGAGATAATTTCTGATGATGAAAAGTATAAGAAGAATAAATAGGACAATATGATCTTGCGTATATAGGGGAAGGATGTTACTTTAGGTACTGCGTTCAGAGAAAAGTCTTCTGTGTATCACTTTTGAAATGTTAGTTAAATAAAACCCCACAGAATTCCACTGAATCCACATATACTATGAATCTATTTCCTTCTTTCTTTTTTTTGGAAACGGAGTTTTGCTCTTGTTGCCCAGGCTAGAGTGCAATGGCGTGATCTCAGCTCACGACAACCTCCCCATCCCGCGTTCAAGTGATTCTCCTGCCTCAGCCTCCCAAGTAGCTGGGATTACAGGCATGCGCCACCACGCCCAGCTAATTTTGTATTTTTGGTAGAGATGGGGTTTCTCCATGTTGGTCAGGCTGGTCTCAAACTCCCGACCTCAGATGATCCGCCTGCCTCAGTCTCCCAAAGTGCTGGGATTATAGGCGTGAGCCACCACGCCCAGCCCCATTTCTTTCTTCTTTATAGTTGAAAGTCATGATATAGTTATATAACCATATACTTCTGAAATTATAAGAAAACATTCTTCTTATCTGCTGTAAAAACAACTCACACTGGCTGGGCGTGGTGGCTCACATCTGTAATCCCAGCACTTTGGGAGGCCGAGGCAAGAGGATCACTTGAGTCTCAGAGTTTGAGACCAGCCTGGGCAACATAGCGAGACCTTGTTTCTGTAAAATAAACAAACAAACAAACAAACAAAAAACCCCCCAAAAAACAATGCACACACAGAGAGAGATGTTGACAGCACACAATATTCTCTAGTGATGTCCTTCTATGACGATCCTAAGGACACAGATTCCTGGACCAGGTGTAGACTAGAAACAGGGCTGAAAACATCCAAAATACTCCTTAACAAAGAATAAATGAGGAGGAAAGAGGCCTTGGTGTAAAGTAGGGGGCAATGAACAAAACTGAGATTAGCAGAGTGTGTTGAAACCCTAACACAAGTTCAAAGTTCTGTGGCAACACAAAGGAAAGAGATGAACAACCCATTTATCTGTGATTGCAATATGCTCTGTTAACACCACTGATCTTAAAAAAACACAGAAGGCAAAGCCTGTTTAAAATTTTGAAACTACCTACATTTACTGCTTTTAGCATTTTCTGAATTGCCTCTTCCTCATCCCCCAGTCCTTAGCAAAACATAAAAATGAGGGCTTTTAAGATACTATTTTTAATAAGCAAAGGTAAAAACCCTGCTTTTTTCCTTCAATCTTATATAAAATGTTTCCATTTCATTTTCTTCAAAATTGGAAAAAGAAGTGAGAAATTAAGCCTGTCAGTTTTTGCTTTTCAAAACTGCTAAGCAGAAAGAGACTCTTGTTTTCTTTCTTGCAACGCATTTGTCCACTTTTAGCTATTCAAAGTGTTTTCTAATGTTAAGATATTGCTTCTCATAATATGGTAAAGAAAGGGTTCAAAGGCTCCGGGGATCCTCTGTGTGACACAGTGCTTTGTTTGGGGTACATGTGCACAAGTTCTTAGTCTCAGTTACATTAGACACTATCCGTGGCAATTTAATTATTGCCCGTCCATACCAGCCTTGTCTGCCAACTTTGTCCCCCAAGGAAGGATGAAGACAGTCATTCTTCTCTGATATACTGTGCCAAGTGAATTCTGAATAGACAAGCTATAACACACCAAAGGAAACAATTTCCCCATTCACTTCAAGGAGATGGACTTTGTTGCTACATTCCTAAGAGCGTTCTAAGCAAGATGTTTCACATAATAGTTGGTCCCTGACACTTCATGGGTTTTGGGGGAAGCATATGAGGACAGGTGAAGAGAAAACCAAACACTCACCAAAAGAGCACGGGCTGGCCGGGCGCAGTGGCTCACGCCTGTAATCCCAGCACTTTGGGAGGCCGAGGCAGGTGGATCACCTGAGGTCAGGAGTTCGAGACCAGCCTGACCAACACGGTGAAACCCCGTCTCTACTAAAAATACAAAAATTAGCTGGGTGTGGTGGCGGGTACCTATAATCCCAGCTACTCAAGAGGCTGAGGCAGGAGAATTGCTTGAACCCAGGAGGCAGAGGTTGCTGCAAGCCGAGATCACACCATTGCACTCTAGTCTGGGTGACAAGAAAGAAACTCCATCTCAAAAAAAAAAAAAAAAGAGCATATGCTAAGCTCCTCTGAGGCTCTATTTTCTCTCTCCAGTTGCTCTCCTTCCAGCTCTTTCTTTCCTGAATCCCATACTGCCCAGGCCCGCCTGTTGTAGAAGCCTTCTCGGTTATCTCTCGTCATCACTCACTTCAGCCTTTTCTGCATTATCCGCCACTGTCACATCATCCAAGAATTTCTGTGACCCTCTCCACAAAAGAGCACAATCCTGGAACACAATAGGGACTCAAAAACAAACTTTGACAGCTTAAATTTAAAATAACACTCTGTAATACTCTGCTTTCAATGTGAATGAAGAATGTGTCCACAAAATAAAACAATCTAAATTTTTTTCAAGATAGCAAAGATATTCCTGCATTTGCTTAAAATTTCTCCCTCTTCTACTTGGAGATACGGAGATACCTGAAGCCTCACTTTTTGTAGTTTTAGTCCAAATATTTATAACTTTTTTTTTTAATGGAGTCTCGCTCTGTCACCCAAGCTGGAGTGCAGTAGTGCAATCTTGGCTCACAGCAACCTCCACCTCCTGGGTTCAAACAATTCTCCTGCCTCAGCCTCCCAAGTAGCTGGGATCACAGGCACACACCACACAATGAGATAATTTTCTTATTTTTAGTAGAGACAGTGTTTTGCCATACTGGCCAGGCTGGCCTCGAACTTCTGACCTTAGGTGATCCTCCCACCTCGGCCTCCCGATGTTTATAACTTTTTTTTCTTTTTTTAGAATGTCTAGAGATAAACACAAAGTCACAAGAAAAAATAGCTTTGCCTTCAATACTCACAGGAAAGCAGGAGTATTATAGAAATTTGAGGGGCCATTTAGATGATGGCCCAGCTGCAATGGGTATTAGAAAACCTGGACTCTATTCTTCATTTTCCCAAAGAATGCAGACCACAGGGATGGGTAGAATGGTTCATGCCTATAATCTTAGCACTTTGGGAGGCTGGGGTAGGAAGACTGCTTGAGCCTAGGAGTTTGAGACCTGCATGGGCTAAAGACTCTGTCTCTACAAAATGGTAAGACTCTGTCTCTACAAAAAATAAAAAATTAGCCAGATGTGGTGGTGCACGCCTGTGGTCCCAGCTACCAAGGAGGCTGAGGTGGGAGGATTGCTTGAGCCTGGGAGTTTGAGGCACCAGTGAACTGTGACTGCACCACTGCCCTCCTGCCTGGGTGGCAGAACGAGACCCTATCTCTGAAAACAAAAAAAAAACAAAAAAGAGAAAAACAATGCAGACCACAGTCAAAAACCCTTTCTCTGGTCTTCTACCATTCCATGTATAAAAGAATCAATATTCACTCTGTTCACCAACCTTTCCTCTTCCATGCAGATTTTATGACTTAGGGGGAAACAGGCTTGGCTGAAAGTATGGGTACTTGGCTTCTATCTCGAATTCTATCATTAACTTGCTATGTGGCTTCGGGCATATTCCCTCTAGGGTAAACTCACATGTAAAATAAAGAGACTGGAACTAAAATCCATTCCCAAGGATAAGCGTCTTTGAGTCTATGACTGAGACATTAAACTCAATTACTCCTCCCAGGCAGCTTCCTGATTAACTGCATCTGACTCTGATCATCTCACTTGCTTGCACACTCAGTTGGCGTTGAATCAAATTTTCCCGGTGTCGAGCTCATTGCAATCAATCTCATGCCTTTTCCACGTAGCTGTAACACCTGGGTCCAGATGGGGTGTTTGGGTCCTTCTGTGTTCTTGAGCTACACTGACTCCAGGGACCCCGGGAAGAAGAGAATTCCCACTGCCCCAAACACGCTTCCTATCCATTCT
This sequence comes from Homo sapiens, assembly GCF_000001405.40. NCBI lineage: Eukaryota > Metazoa > Chordata > Mammalia > Primates > Hominidae > Homo > Homo sapiens. The sequence goes on along the minus strand of NC_000008.11, from coordinate 25,286,088 downwards.
AGTGCCTTTTCTCTGTGTCAGATAAAAGTGCAGTCTGACCAGCAAAGGTCTGATTTTTAAAGAAACCATTCAAGTTAAAGGCCATTTTTTGCCTCCTGAAGGAAAAGAAATCCTGACAGCCAGGCAACCAGGTCAGAGGAAATCAAAACTGGAAAAATACCCAAAGCACCACCCATGTCTGGTGCCCATCAGTCAGTCCCACGCCACATCTTGGCTCTCTTGTTAGAGCCACACTGAAGCAGGGCTTGCAACTCCCAGATAAAATGCCCTGACAAGAGGACAAAGTTTGCTATGGGAATTTTCTGTTCTTGGTAATAAGGAATAAGATGCTGGTTTCAAACCATGAGACCAGCTTAATTGTACTTCAGAGATTACGTTCCAGCAGCCAGTAATAACCACCGGTTCAAAGAGATTAGAATCCAGCAGCTTTAAACTGCCTGGATATGCGATGATGGGAAGAAAGGGCCATTCAGTATGTTCTGCAAGTTCCCCTACCCCCTCTTCCCAGTTATAGGCACTTTTTCTGCTCCTGATTTTTCCAGAACTATAGACTGCCACAGGGTTCTTTATTGCTGGCAAATTTTAAGTGAGGGGAGATCAGTCCTTTGTACAAACTACATGTTAGCAATTAAATTCACTTGATTGGCTGGGCATAGTGGCTCACACCTGTATCCCAGCACTTTGGGAGGCCAAGGCGAGCAGATCACCTGAGATCAGGAGTTTGAGACCAGCCTGGCCAACATGGTGAAACCCCTTCTCTACTGAAAATACAAAAATTAGCCAGGCGTGGTGATGCGCACCTGTAATCCCAGCTACTCCGGAGACTGAGGCATGAGAATCGCTTGAACCCTGGAGGCAGAGGTTGCAGTGCGCCAAGATCTCACTACTGCACTCCAGCCTGGGCGAGAATAATGAAACTACATCTCAAAAAAAAAAATAATAATAAATTCACTTGATTCAACACTATGCCTTCAATACCTTCTATCACCAAAAAAGATCTTCTATCTCTTTTCCATAAGGAGTAGGATTAGATCCAGTCTTCCAAAGTTACACGAACAAAACAGCCCGATTGACCACAATTCACTGAACCCTTTCTCCCATGGGAAGATGAGGAATAGCACGAAACTAAATCTTAGGGTGAGATGGTGCACAGCATGTTTATGGCATCCAAACACCTTAGAATTTACAGGACAGTCCTGTATTTGAAAACTCTTGCCCTACTGTGTCCACGAATACACTGCAATTCTTCAGTTTCAAGACCAGATTTTTAGTTGAAAAAGTATGATCCTTTGACTTGAGATGTAGAATTGTTTATATTCAAAAAGTATAACTGAGTTGTTATCGACAAGATAAAAGTTAGACATTACACGAATCCGACCGTGTCTAAGTCACTGCATGGGCATCCGCCCATCTAGCACGGGGATCTGCCCTGATTCCACCTCAGCCGTGTGGAAGCAGGAAGAGGTGTTGACAGAAAGGAAAAGAGGCCAAAGATCAGCTCGCTGGAGCTGCTTTCCAAGGCTGGGAAGAATAGTGGATAGAAAATCTGAAACCCATCGACCTAGTTAAGTTACTACGGGGCTGGAGGGAGGCTAGACATTATCTGCCCACCCCTTCTGCCCGAAGCTGGAAGATGGGGAATAACCACAGTAGGTGGGCAACTGCACCCTTACATGACCTCAAGGCAAACGTCACTAAATCTTCTAGTGTGATCCAGCTCTTCTCTTACACTTCTCATTATCAATCAGCTCTTTCTAGGAGCAGAGTTGTGAGGGGTTAGTCAGGGGCTGTCATGTATTGACCACAGTGTGACAGGTACTACCCTGGGGTTTTATACAGACTATCCCGCTGAATCCTTACAATAAATTTGCAAGGCATATAGCACATAAAATCCCCACTTAAGAGAAGAAAAGAAAACTTAAGGAGATCAAGGGACTTGTCTTAGGCAGCAGGATCAGCTAGTAGCCTTCTGCATCCAAGTTCTTTCTGTTTTGGTTTATTTTCAGTAACTATTACTGGGTTTGTCATTTTTTTCTGAATATAATAGTACATACCCAGTAAGGGAGAAGCCAGAACTTAAGAACTAGGCAGTCTGTCTGACTCCAATGTCCAAGGTCTTGGTACGTCACCAGGAGGTCTCCTTGATCACAATGTTCCCTCCTTTCCTGAACAACCAATGAAAACACACCCAGTGACTAGTTCCAACTGAGGCACAGCAGTATAGGGAAAGACCATCAGAAACTGCCATACATTTGCAGTTTCTCTGTATTTTGGAATGACCCGGGCCTCCTGGACTTGAATTTAAACCAAGCAGGTTCTCTATGTATGGTGAGAAATTTAGCTTGGCTGCTGAGTGCTCAAGGCCACTTTGCCTAAGATAATTGTTCCAAAGGAAGCGACCTTGGATAAGGGGCCATACAGAAGGGAGCTTCAGAGTCTTGGGCAGGCAGTCGGGTAAGAGAGAAGCTATGCCAAGGCTTCCCAGAGGGAGGGTGTCCAGATGGCTACTGCTTCCAGCTAAGATAACATCAAAAGCACATGCTCCCATTGGCGGAGTCCTTGTGGTCTGTCAGCAGCACAGATCACAGCCACTCTCTCTTTCCATACTCTCAGAGTTCTACGCGGTCAACACGGCAGCTTTTACATCAACTTTTGCAGAGGAACAACATCCAGCAGACTTGAAGTGTTCAAGTGACTTGCCCAAGGCCACAGAACTGGTCAGAACAGGACCCGCACAGGATACTCAGCTTCCCAATTCCTGGGCCAGTGTCTGTCTCCTAAAACCCGCTTCCTCTCCTGAGCATAAGGCCAACACCCACTGGGGAAGATAATCCAACAGAAAACAATAATAATATACCTAAGGAACAGAGAGACCACGGGGGGAGTCATCTGTTCTCTCCATTTTGGATAAGTGGGTTCACCTCTGTTCTGTGTACATACTCCCCTCCCCTTTAAGACATATTTATGATTATTCTACATGGTTACCGTATAACTGCTAAAAATAAATCACAGCTAGGCAAATATTTTTCTTTTCTAGAATAATCACCAGCGTCTACATGGCTGGGGTTAATCTGGTTAGTGGACTGCATTTTCCCCTCATATGAGACTGTGGATCCACAACGTACATTTCTGGTGAACTGAGACTGAAAAGAAAAGAACAAGGAAATGTACTATAGAAATGTGGGATTTCTAAGACATCACAGGTATCTTTTTTTTTTTTTTTTTTTTTTTTTTTTTTTGAGAAAGGGTCTTACTGTGTCACCCAGGCTGGAATGCAGTGGTATAATCATGGCTCACTGCAGCTTCAACCACCCGAGCTCAAGCAATCCTCCCACCTCAGCCTTCTGAGTAGCCTAGATTACAGGTATGTGCCACTGTGCCCAGCTAATTTTTGTAGAGATAGGGTCTTGCTATGTCACCCAGGCTGGTCTCAAACTGCTGGACTCAAACAATCCCCCAGGCTTGACCTCCCAAAGGGATGGGATTACAGGCGTGAGCCACTAGCTGGCCACAGGTGTCTTTAAAGACATCAAACAGAGCGTCTGGTGTTGTAATCTACAGGGGGAAATGCAAGAGAGAAATAATACAAGTATTGCTACATACTAGTAAAATCTGTATTTATCTTTACATGGACTGAAGGAACTTACAGAATCAGAAAGCAAAAACATCAATAACAGCATACAGCAGGTGAAAGGAGATGGGACACGAAAACCAGAGATTTGGGTTTTTACTTGTTTCCTAGTGAAACATAATATTGATGTTTGCTACTTTGATACAGAAACGTTTCAGTAAGAAGTTCAGAAGTTCTGCCTCAAGTTAACTGTCAATGCTTTAGGAAGGGACAGGAAAAAAAAAAAAGAGAAAGCCACAATTAATACTAGGATGGTACAAAAATAATTGTGGGTTTTGCCATTTAAAGTAACGGTGAAAGCCACAATTACTTTTGCACTAACCATAATAACAAATCTTAGTGGATTGTTCCTTACTGGATGAGCATGTATCAAGAGCAGAAGCAGGTTTCTCAGTCCTATCGACTGACTGAGAATTTCTACAAAGAATGTCTTTTAGTCAATCAACAGCGGCTATAAGACATTTTAAATTATTCACAAATACCAAAATAATTATGTTATTAGATATCTAAATTAAAATGAGAAATGTGCTGCCCTCGAAGAGGGGATGGCTTTTTTTTTTTTTTTTTTCTTTTTTTTTTTAAACGGAGTCTCCCTCTGTCTCCCAGTCTGGAGTGCAATGGCACAATCTTGGCTCACTGCAACCTCCGCCTCTCGGGTTCAAGTGATTCTTCTGCCTCAGCCTCCCGAGTAGCTGGGACTACAGGTGGCCACAACCATGCGCAGCTAATTTTTGTATTTTTAGTAGAGACAGGGTTTCACCATATTAGCCAGGCTGGTCTTGAACTCCTGTCCTTGTGATCCGCCCACCTCAGCCTCCCAAAGTGCTGGGATTACAGGCGTGAACCACTGCGCCTGGCCTTTTTTTTTTTTTTAACCAAATTCTGCTACTACAACATGAAACTCTCCCACCAAGGAAATGTTCAACAAGACCTTATCACCTTTAACTACTAAGAGATTTTGGCAGCCAAAATACATGAGTCCTAATTCTTCATCCCCGTTCACTTTTTTTTTTTTTTTGAGACGGAGTTTCACTCTTTTCCCCCAGGCTGAAGTGCAACAGTGTGATCTTGGCTCACTGCAACCTCTGCCTCCCCAGTTCAAGCGATTCTCCTGCGATTCTCCTGCCTCAGCCTCCCGAGTAGCTGGGATTACAGGCACAAGCCACTACACCCAGCTAATTTTTGTATTTTTAGTAGAGAAGGGGTTTTACCATATTGGGACGGGCTGGTTTTGAACTCGTGACCTCAAGTGATCCGCCGTCCTCAGCCTCCCAAAGTGCTGGGATTACAGGCACGAGCCACTGCACCTGGCCCCCATTCACTTCTTTCTTCATTCTATTCAATGGTAGACCTGGCACAATTACTTGTGGATGTGTAGAAGACATAGGTAATAAACTGGGCACACCAGTTGTGTTTTAGCAAGAAAAAAAGTCGGCCTCACTCATACTCTCCAGTCTCATACATCTTTAAAAAAAAAAAAAAAAACTCCTTTCCCAATACTGATTATCTAATGCATTTCAACACTCATCAATTTCCAGAAAGAACATGTTAAGGAACCAACCCACGTACACGCAATTCCTCATCCATCAACCTTGTTACATCCACCCAACTAACTAATCAATAAACCAGAACCAGAGAGTACTCTCAATATAAGTGCAAGATGATCAATGAAGGCCACGGGGCTGACAGCAGTGTCTCCATCCTCCTTGTGATTTAGCAACTTAATGTGCATTCTCTCTTCAACTAAACATAAAGAGATCAAAAGATCACCTTTATTATGAAGCAGTGTGCCCCAAGGGTCAGATGATGAGTTTAGCAGTAAGTGCTTCTATTGTCCAGAGGGAAACGTTATAGATTGCTATGTTTAGAAAATACAATATGAAGAAGAAAGCGTCTAAACAAGGTCTTGAAGGATGACCAAGTAGAGAAATACCATGTGCTTTTCCACCAAAGGGGTTGGTGATTTCTACTGCTGTGATTAACCAAGGGAAACAACAGCCCTGAATGAAAATGAAATATCTTCCATGAACTCTTATAAGTTATGCCAAAATTAGCTTTTGATTACTGCCTTCAGTATTTAGGGTCTAGAGTGAGGTATTCCCAGTAACTTATTAAGATTGGCTTTTCAGAGTTAAAATGAATCAACACATGACTGAACAAAAATTGAGACAAACAAAGCCACATAAAGAAAAGAGGAGGGTTCCCAGGCCATCAAGTCTGGTCTACAACCTCCCTGAACTTGTACACACATCTAACGAGAGAATATACATTCGCCATAGGAATTTCTGGTCAGCCACAGAAGGCTGGAACCCACTAACAGAGGCAAGACCCAGTGATGCTGAACTACAAGGGCTATAGGCAAAGAAGCAACTTTAGAATAAACAGTCTTTGTGGGCGGGGCACAGTGGCTCACGCCCGTAATCCCAACACTTTGGGAGGCCAAGACAGTTGGATCACTTGAGGTCAGGAGTTCAAGACCAGCCTGCCCAGCATGGTAAAACCCCATCTCTACTAAAAACACACACACAAAATTAGCCGGCCATGGTGGCTCACTCCTGTAATCTCAACACTTTGGGAGGCCAAGACACATAGATCACTTGAGGTCAGGAGTTCAAGACCAGCCTGGCCAACATGGTGAAACCTTGTCTCTATTAAAAATACAAAAAAAAAAAAAAATTAGCCAGGCGGGGTGGCACACGCCTATAGTCCCAGCTACTTGGGAGGCTGAGGCAGAATTGCTTGAACTTGGGAGGCGGAGGTTGCAGTGAGCTGAGATGGTGTCACTGCACTCCAGCCTGAGTGACAGAGCGAGACTCCATCTCAAAAAAATAAATAAATAAAATAAAAAGTCTTTGTGGATTCCAATGTTAACATTAAGGAGGAGAATGGCATGAACCCAAGAGGCGGAGCTTGCAGTGAGCCGGGACAGCGCCACTGCAGTCCAGCTTGGGCGAAAGAGTGAGACTCCGTCTCAAAAAAAAAAAAAAACATTAAGGAAAGAGCTTTCTACACTGGAGATGAGGCAGACTTGCTGCCAATAGACTTTGAGCATCCTTGGTCTCTTGCAAGACAGCTGTTCTCAGTTTCATCATGTTAAATGCTAGATTTACTTGGTGCTGATTCCTGCACACAACTTGAGCTTATTGTTTATTACGGAGAGGATGTGCTGGCTCCTTGTAATTTCCCTGTGAACTGACACACTGTATTAGCATTATGAGGTCAAACCAGTGTTGGGAGAAAGAATACTGTGAGTCTGCCCAAAAAGGTGACTCTCAGACCACAACTTAACACTATTCAAGTTTCTGAGTCTGTAAGGTATGTGGGCCAAGGTAAAGAATGTCATCCTCATGCAGCTGAGCCCTGAAATATCGATAAATTTCAGTTCACTGGTATACATGAAGAGGCTAAGAGCATGACTCAGGTTCCTTATTAACAAATTAATAATAATTGCACCTACTTTATAGGAATGTTGTGAGGATTCATAGTTTCTGGCACTTAGGAAAGACTGCAGAAGTGTTTGCAGTGATTATTATCATTAGTACTTTCACAATCAGCATGTTTATCATTTGAGAAAAGACTGCTAGAATGATTACGCCCAGTTACTCCACTACCCGCTATCAGTGACCCAGCTCTGGGGAAATGAGAATCTGCTGCTTATCAGCCTTTGTGTGATCCAGGGAGAATGCATCCCACTCCATGAAGTCAGCAATAAGGGGCCAACACCCTGCAAAGGACCTACAGGCTGAGGACCCAGAGTGACCCTGGGGCTCCAAGCCACAAGGGGAAACTCACCACGTAGAGCTTTCGCCAGATGACAGCCCATTCTCGCAGAGTGGACGTGAGCTCCTGCACCAGGGGGAGCTCGCCAGGAATCACGGTTTCATGCTGCCTACAAAGAACCAAACGAGGGTCACTTTCTTCTAGGCTGATCAGCACTGCTTTACTTGATGGGGATCAGACTTCCCAACGTTCAAGGTTGAGAATGAAGCTGGTTAGGCCTGGGGGCAGGAGTTGTGCAGGGGACTTTATCGCATCCAAGCATCTGGGAGAAGAGAAGGAGAGTAAGGCAGCACAGTCCTCAAAATGGGCTCCGTTCCTGCAACTGAATGAGCCTGCGGCCCAGCCTCGACCTCCCCAGTGTAGATTTCTCCAGGAGACTCGATTACTGAGCCAGGCTGGCTTCAGTGATTCTCAAAGATGGAAGCAAAATATGCAGCATTTTAGCTGGTTCCACCAAGCAGCTGTTTCATTTGGGAGGCTGGATGGAAAGGTGTGTGTGGCACGAGTGTCCTGGGGCTGTGACTCCACCCAGGACCTGGTTGGGGCAGAGGCCAGGGTAGAGGTGGGGGATACGGAGGCAGCACCCCTTTCTGGAATAGTCCCATGTTTTCTTCTCATCTGCAGTTTCACAACACAGAAAACGTACACTTAACAAAATCCTTGCTTACTCACAGAAGACTCTCATAAAGGTAGGTACTACATTTATTCACAGAAATCCTCTCTGGCATTTTTATGATTAGCAAAAAGAAAAAAGGAGAAAGCAAGAGCAAGCAAACAAATTGGAACTGGTGGTAGGACTGCCAGGCTCAATGAGGAAAAATATAGGAGACCTAGTTAAGTTTGAATTTCTGGTATAGTAAGATTTTTTAGAATAAGTGTGACCCATGAAATATCTGGGAAATGCTTACTATGAAAAATTACTTACTATTTGAATTGCCAATGTAACTGGGCATCCTGTATAACCCTAATTGGTGTGAATGTGCCTCCCCACCTACGTTTCCTCCAACATGGTGGGTGGCAGTGGAGGCAGCCCACGGCCCACCGGAAAGAGGACTTCTCCAGCAGGGCAGGAGACCTGGTTTTTGGTCCTGGTTCTGCCACCAAAGAGCTGTACGGCTTTGAGGACATCTTGACCACTTGTCTATGAAATGATGGTTCTGCCATTTCTTGTTCCCTGTGCTGTATCTGGGAGTCTGGAGCGATGAAGACCTCTGTGCTCTTGGTGGGCCCTTCCTCTTTTTTTTTACTGTTTTGGAATCCTTTTGAACTTGACCCAGCAACAGTTTCAATGTGTTCTGATGATTGGTTGTTAGTCAGAATGAAAATAAGGCCCTTTGGTAACAACACGGAAATTAGAATTGATGACATACACCTGGGAGATAACTGTCCTGTAACAAGACTGTTCTCATTTAACTATGAGTTTTCTTATCCTGTCACTTCTTGTGGAATCAAGAAAATTACGTTCCAAAGAAATGATGTTGCCCTATTATCAGTTACAGACCAATGTTGCATACTACCTATGAATTTCCAGTGGTTTGCTTTGTGAAGAGGCTTAAATTCCCATCTGTGATGCATTTTGGAATGAGCGGGTTTGAGGCCAACGCTCATTTGAAAGATAATACTCAAAAAACGAAAGGACAAGAGTCATCGGCTCCCACACAAAGTAAAACATGTGAACATAATTTTAGCAGTGTTAATAAGGAGCAATTATCCACAAGTCACTGCAACAAAAACGCCTGTGTCATAACATCCTCTCCTCCCTGAGGCACGGGAGCAAGTGGCACATACTTGCCTGGGAACCAGTTTCATCAATTCTGCTGTTGTATGGGTCCAAAGATGAGGAGGAATATCTGTTACCAATTTCACTGCCTTTTGGAGTTTTGGATAACAGATCTATACCGTGACATTTACACTTTTTAAACAGTTAATTTTAAGTGGAATTGCCATTCTAATTTTGTGAAATCAAGTTCATACAAAATAAAGCTTGCCCATCATAATTAAAAAAAGAAAAGAAAACAAAAGAAAAGAAATGATGGTGCTGAACTACAACTGGGAATGCTCTTTCTAGCTGTGAGGCTGCATGGTTCTGTGACCCAGCTGTCCACTCTCTCCTCGGCCCCACTCTCCTCTCCATCAGCCCCAGGATTCCAGTCCTACCCCAGCCTCTCCGTACTGCCTCCAGAATTCTCCTGTCCAGAGACTCACCATCACCTAAGTCACCTCTCTCTCTCCCACTTAGACTAAGTAGCTCACTCTTCTTAGCTGTCACAGAGGCAGTACTTCCCAGGACAAATGAGGTGGGCAAGATGAGGTGGGCAAGAAATATGAATACCCAAAATATAGCAGATCTTATCTTCAGGGCACATTTGCATACATTACCTCATTCGAATCTCATGACAAGCTCATGATCAAAGTAGGGTCAGATTGTTTCCCCTAATATGCTGTGAAAAACCCAGGATCCACTTAAGTTTAAGTGATTCATCCAAGGCTCAGAGCTGGTAAATGCAGGCTGTTGCTTAATCATCTCTCTCTCAAGGATCCTGAATTGGGGGCTTCTCAGATCTTATCAGTCAGAGTCCCAAATGTTCATGTGTGCAAACATACACACACGCACACACACACAATCAGTGAACAGATAATAAATGTAATGTAGAGGCAAAAGCCCTCAGTTTTTGCTACTTCTGTGTTTAGTATTCTGGAGAAGTAATGGAAAGGAGGAACAATTATAGAAAGAGAAGACAGAGGAAGGAATTGTATGAGTGAAAAGTTTTTCTTCATTTCTCTCTCATAGGAGAAGTAGAACTGATGAGATGAGAGAAATTTTTTAATTTTATTTTTTTTTGAGAGAGAGTCTTGCTCTGTCACCCAGGTTAGAGTGTAGTGGTATGATCTCAGCTCACTGCGAGCTCTGCCTCCTGGGCTCGAGTGATTCTCCTGCCTCAGCCTCCCCAGTAGCTGGGATTACAGGCACCCACCACCAAGCCCAGCTAACTTTTGTATTTTTAGTAGAGATGGGGGTTTTACCATGTTGGCCAGGCTGGTTTCGAACTCCTGACCTCAAATGATCTGCCCACCTCGGTCTCCCAAAGTGCTGGGATTACAGGCGTGAGCCACCACGCCTGGCCTGAGATGAGAGAACTATTAACGTACATAAGGCATTAATGCCTAAAGATTATCATTAATGATAATGTTACATCTTCATCATTTTTGGGGAATCTTCCTAGCTTGGAACTTACCCCAGGTCTTCCACAGTTGCCTCTTTCAAATGGATATATGTTTCAGGGAAAATGCCCTACAGAGAAAAGAATTTTGGTTATATGGCCATAAAAACAAAACAAAAACCAAACAAAAACACCTCAGCCCAAAGTAAAGAGAATAAATGGGAACACCCAGGCAATAGCTAAACTCCTGAGATCAGGTTGGCAGGACACCACTTACGTTGACTGGCTACCTCCACAAAAGCATGGTGGAAACATCAAAAAGGTAGAAATTAAAATTTGGGTTCAGAGAGCATAGGATATTTTGTGAATGAAGAGGCAAACATGCTGTGTCAGCTCAGAGATAACATAATGGGAAGGAGTGTAATTGTGAACTCCTAAACCCCTCAGATGCTACTTGCCATGAGATGCTTCCCATAAGTTTCACATAAGGGGTGACATGGAAACTATGCAGTACTCAGTAGCCCATAAAATAAGTCATCCCTCAGAATATGCAAGGGGTTGGTTCCAGAAACCTCCTTCCCACAAAGCATATACCCAAATCCACACATACTCAAGTATGGCACGCAGCCCTGCACAACCCGCATATACTTTTACACAGGTTTCATGTCCCAAGAATATTGTAATTTTGATTTGCATTTGGCTAAAAAAAAAAAATCCATGTGGAAGTGCTGCAGAGTTCAAACTCATATTTTTCACGGGTCAACTACATAGTGATTTTTCTAAAGTAGTTCCTCTCAGCACTCCCACTTAAACCAAATGCACTCAAAATCAACGGGTGTTAGTTACCTGGTTATTTTCAGCACCTCACAGTGTCAAACTGCTCTCCATTCTATATCCCTAAGAGGCAGTTCTACATCAGTATTGTAACACTGCCCATGGGGAAGACTTAGGCCTGGAAAGACCTAAGAGAAAGAGGAGAAACTGGTGGATAGAAATCAGAGAACAGAGGACCAGATCTAACCAACAGGAAGCAAGTCCCAGATGTGAGTGTTATGTGTACCAAAGCTTCTGCTGTTTACTGTGTGATATGCTCACACACAGAGGAGATGTCATCCGGAGACAGTGATGCTGATCTGTTTCATGGTATCTTACATGGAGCTTATACCTGGCACTGTTGGCTAACTGCTCCCAGCCCTATTCCTGGAAGAGTTGGTGTGAACTCCATGAACATGACATGTCAGGGGTGGCTGATCATAAAGGTGGGAGGGGATGTCCCAGTGCCCGGAGGCATATATACCCACTGATCCTTACTCCACTCAGACAGGAAACCAGTGAACATTGACAGGGTTGTTCTTGTGTCCAGTTGCATGTGCTATATTTGTCTGTACAACACTCTGCTTTCTCTCTTTTAATCCGTTGCCAATAAAACAGGAAACAGCAAGAACATTTGAGATTAAACTGCCCCTAGCATTGGTGATGACAGAGTGGATCCTGCATGTGCTTCCCCACCAGACACAAAGCCCCAAATAAAAAGTACATCCCTTCTCCTCCTCGCTTTGAGACGGGGGCAGGCGTGGGGAATATGAGTGTGAATTCTAATCCCGTTACTGATGAGACCAAGAACACACACAGACACAAGGTGACAATGACCTCTTTCATTATGGAGGTGGGATTCAGAACCATTTTGGAAAACTGATCAAATAATTGAAAACAAAAATTAAATGTGTGTCTACTGTGGGGCACAGTAGACAGGACACTTTCTCAATGCGCCACCCCTCAGGTCAGGTGAGTTTGGCCATGGAATTCTATCAGTATAAAACATACACGCATAGGCACACCATCGAAGTGAAAAAGAAGGAGATAAGTCTTCTGACTATTTATTCATTCATGCGTTCATTCATTTATTCATTCTTTGAGACAGAGTCTTGCTCTGTTGCCCAGACTGGAGTACAGTCGCACAATTTCGGCTCACTGCAACCTCCGCCCTCCGGGCTCAAGCAGTTCTCCTGCCTCAGCATCCCAAGTAGCTGGGATTACAGGTATGCACCACCATGCCCGGCTAATTTTTGTATTTTTAGTAGAGACAGGATTTCACCATATTGGCCAGGCCAGGCTGGTCTTCAACTCTTAACCTCAAGTGATCAGCTCACCTCAGCCTCCCAAAGTGCTGGGATTACAGGTATGAGCCATGTGCCTGGTCTATTTAATTTTTTTAATGATCAAAACAGGGAACTGTCCTTTGCAGTGCCAGGCATGCAGCAGGCACTGAGTAAACATCTGATGAATATAGCAATGAGAAAGGAGGGTGTTCAGTTCAAAAACTGCGTGTGATTCCTCTGGGGCCTGATTTCTGCAGTTCGGAAGCTCTAGGCCTGTCCCTAGGAGGCCTAAGGAACTCTGGGTGTTTCTTCTGCCTGCTGTGCCGCTGTGCCACTGTGCCACTGCGCCACGGCAAATGATTTGCTGACTATCATCTCTGTGGGGAACTAAACTGGGATGTTGGGAACTAACCTTGAAGACATTACACTAAGTGAAATAAGCCAGTCACAAAAGGACAAATACTGTACGGCTCCACTTACACCTGGAGTAGTCAAATTCATAAAGACAGAAAGTACAATGGGGGTTCTGAGGGGCTTGCGGGGGATAGGGAACAATAGGAAGTTAGTATCTAAAGGGGACAGAATTTTAGTTTGGAAAGATGAAAGACTTCTGGAGATGGATGGTGTTGATGGTTGCACAACAATGAGAATGTACTTAGTGCCACTGGAAAGTACACTTACAAATGGTTAAGATGGTAAATTTTATGTTATATATATTTTTACCACAATAAAAAAAGTCCAAAACTCATAAAAAAGCAGGAGTGGGGTTGCGGAGGCGCTGGGCACGGATAAACTGTTTAGTTACAAGGATCCAATTCTGGAAGTCAAAAGTAAAATGTAACACTGCTACTACAAAGGAACATCCCTGCTGAAGGTTTTTGAAATCAGAAGGTAAAGGACCAATTAAAATTTTCATGCATTCACAATCTGGTGACTAGTCGCTCCTAATAAGTGGAAAACATTCAAGATAGAAGTATTCAGAAACATAAATGCAGAGTGATGAATCTTGTGACATCTAAGCAGATCATAAGCAGACAATTTACACTGGATGTTCAGACATGATGATTTTCATATTAGGAGAATATTTGAGGCAAGGCACAGTGGATCATGCTTGTAATCCCAGCACTTTAGGAAGCCAAGACAAGAGGATCGCTTGAGCCCAGAAGTTCAAGACCAGCCTGGGCAACAAACTGAGACACCGTCTCTACAAAAATTTAAAAAATTAGCACAGCATGGTGGCACATGCCAATGGTCCCAGCTACACGGGAGGCTGAGGCAGGAGGATTGCTTGAGCCCAGAAGGTCAAGGCTGCAGTGAACTGTGATCACGCCACTGTACTCCAGCCTGGGCAACAGACTGAGATCCTGTCTCAAATATGTATGTATGTATGTATATATGTATGTATGTATTAGTTATATAGCATGTATTTGTTATACAGTATGTGTGTATTTGTTACATAGTATGTGTGTATTTGTCATCAGTAGGCTTCACCTTTCCATGATGACACTTGGCCATTTACAGTCATAGAATTGCTCTGGCAAATCTGATGCTTATAGAATGACTCCTATGCCATGATGACACACAGAAAGTCAGAGTAAACCTAGGTCATGTGTTTCTGATTTACAGCCTGTCTCTCAGTTCTGCTTCTCCTTCCTCATTGTAACCCACTCACTTGAGTAGAAAAATAAACTAATGATTTTCTAGATGTTGCCCTTATCCACACTCCCACAATTCCACCAGGATCAATAATCAGTTTCGGAAAAGCGCTTGGCTTCTTCAATTTGTAAAACCACTAGCTCCTTTTATCATCAACTAGCTCCTTTTATCATCACTCTAAATGGCTGGGTCAGCTTATAAATGACACCAAGAATTTCCATTAAAACAACAGGCCTTTCAAGTAGCTCTTCCCCTTAAAGACGGAGAAATGAGGGACACAGCACAGGAGAGCGTTTCTAATGAGCTGATCTCTTAATGACGGGGTGTCAAAAGCAGAGCAGAATTCATGGCAACTGAATTTGATTTGCCTGTATTTTCCCTGAATCTCTCCACAAGAAGGATATTTCGGCTTAAAACAATCATCAAATAAATGCATGTCCCTTGTCTGTGTCATCATTTCATTGAATTAGAAAGTTTTTCTTTACTTACCAAGAGAACAAAGAGAAACTCTTACCGAAAGATTTCTTCTGAAGGGTGAGATTTTAAGCTTAAAGGTTTTAAGCACTCTTTAATGAACACAAAAAAATTTAAAAAAAATCCAGAATTTATCATTTAGATCCTGGGGGAACCCTATCTATCTACTGTTCAAAGCCAACAACAATGGCACTATTAGCTAGACTGATTTTTATATACACAAGGCCCTCCATATCATGGGTTCAACCAACTGATGATTAAAAATATAGAAAAAAAAAGTAAGCAGAGGTTTATTTCCTTGTCATTATTCCCTAAACAATACGGTATAATAACTACTTACATAGCATTTACATTGTATTAGGTATTATAAATAATCTAGACATGATTTAAAGTACACGGGAGGAAATGCAGAGGTTATATGCAAATACTATGCCATTTTATATCAGAGACTTGAGCATCCATGGAT
This sequence comes from Homo sapiens, assembly GCF_000001405.40. NCBI lineage: Eukaryota > Metazoa > Chordata > Mammalia > Primates > Hominidae > Homo > Homo sapiens. Next base: position 25,270,821 of record NC_000008.11, on the reverse strand, counting down.
TTCGGTATTGTGGGGGTCCTGGAACCAATTGCCTGTGGAAATGAGGAAATGACTATATTAAAAAATCATAGGATACTTTAGAAAGCAAGGTCTGCCATGTTCAAAAGGATCCTTACATACTGTAGTCTATGAAAAAGAAGACCTGATCTAGGACCTTGGTTGAACGTAATTGAATTTCGCAGTGAAAAATCCAAGAGTTTCGTTTGTTCCTTAAGTTCATCACATAATTTTGTTTGAGAATGGCTTTTTGTTTATTGTTTTTAAATTAACTTTTTTTTTCTTAAAAAAGGATTGGGAATTAAGTGACATAAGTATTCTTACTGTTTAACAAATTCAGAACATCAAAATTGTTAACTCTAATGGTGCTTTGAAGTAACTACCACTTCCATAACTATGAGTAAAATTAACACCAATAGGGCTAAAAAAGCAAGAGTGGCCATAATCAAGTACTCTGTGTCACTGAGGATCCCAGAAGAAAAGCTTTCACTTTAGTTCTGTCATGTTCTCATTTACTCTGGCATGCCTGCTGTCTTGGACCCCTATTTGACGGCCCAGAGAAACTGAAGTCAGCAAGAGATTAAATGAAAATAATTTGGTTTGAAATAAAGACATGCGACACTAGAATAACTGTGGGTAGAAAAATTCATTCTCTGGCTTGAGGTGAGAAAAAAGGACCAAAACTGTGGGAATTGCATTAAAAGCAAACATTCCTTTATTTTGCTAGATGAATAAACTGTCAAAGTTAACAAAATGTGTATGTGTACACATACATGTGCAAATACTGAGTGTGACTTAAGCATCAACAATGCAGAAGCAGTCCTGGTTTCTAATGAACTATACCTTGTAGAAAGGTGTTTTCCTGGGCCCCGTACTCTTTGGAGAGTTGGGTGTGTAACATCAGCCTATCTGTGCAGGATTACGTCTTTCTCATGCTGTCCGTGAAGTGTAAGAACCGTGGGTCTGGTTTTGTTTTTTCACTCCTCTTTTGATAAATTCTAAAACGTTTCTCTCATCCCTTTCCTAATTTGCTATTTGGCATGTGAACTAATTGTGAAATAATAAGGCCCTATCAACTCTGCTCTTTCAAAAGAAAGTGCTGACATGTCATGCTGCCCCAGCGAGCAGTATCAAAGGAAAAGTGCTGACAAGACCTAAAAGAAACTGAGGGAGGTATTAACATAATTAATAGATTTTCTTTAGCCTGACGATTAGTAGTTTTGGCACTGGCAAAAGGAACCATTTAGGTCAGTATTTTTCAAACTGTGCCTTTGTTGCACAGTAAAAGATACATTCTTATGGCAACCAATATTACATATCAAATACATAAAATATAATAAAAACAATAAATAAAAGTATATACCTAAAATAAAAGTTTCGTGAAACAGTACTTACCATTGCATCTCATGTTCTCTACTTTTCGGTTTCATTTTTTGGAAAAAATTGGTTATAATCCACCATATTGATTTCATAATGTATTATTGGGATGTGAGGCTCATAATATGAAAACCACTCTTGTTTATCCAATTTACAATGAAGGAAAGGATCAAGTGGAAATGGGGAGATCCTTTAGTTTGGAATTGTAGCATTGGAAGTAAAGGACAAAGGGAGAAGGGTGGGTCCACCCCTCCCTGCAAAAGAGATCCCACTAGGGCAATGAATGTGTTACCAACTTGCTTAACTTGAGGGACAGGAAGCAAGAAGTCTTCCAGGATTTTCTCCTTGAATTGGCTGGTAGGAAATACAGTCAATGGGATTTACACTATTACATTTAGGCACTGAGGTCAGAGAATTTGCTTTCAAATCCAAAGAAGAGCCATCAAAGAGAAAGCAAACTAGGTCTAGAGACAGCAGAGAGCAGAGGAGAGGGTCACATAGCACAATACAAAACTAGCAGACAGATTTCAAATGAAATTAAAAAGTGAATGATAAGTCATACCTTTTTAGATTTATTTTGGAGGGTATATCCTCTGTACCAACCTGTCAGAGCAAAAGAGAACACAAAATATTTTATGTTTTCTGGGATATCATAAAGTTATTAGCAATATATACTCTCATGTTCTATTAGCAATACTGGGATACAACAGTTGACAGAGACAATTAACAGTACGTTAGAAGATGAATGTTTTAGTTTATTACACAAGAAAAATCTAACTGTATTTTAGAGCTGTATTCTCTTAATAACAATTGGATTTAAAATTCACTTAGAACCTAGCCTCATCTCTACTCCTTTGGAGGAAGAATAGAACAATAGCAAAAAAAACCAACAAGACAGCCCGTTTCTTATCACCCTAATACCTTACAGTCATTTAATAAATGTTTTTGCATGAATAAATATGGACTTTCATTGTATACATGCTTTCTACATGTCACCTTATACTATTAAAATATATATTTTTAAATAAATTATATTTGCTGTAACTCTTCTGAGTTCCCAGGTTAAGAACCACTATTCTGGAAAAATTTTAAATTGAACTAGCAGATCTTATGAAGACAAATATTTGCACTTTAAAAATAATCCAAATAATGAAATAATAAAACAAAATTACGTGCAATTCTTGGTAATGCTAAAAGCAACATCCCCCCGCCACCCCCATAAAAAGATCTTATGCGTTTGTTTGCTGAGGCTTTAGGTAAAGGCTTTAACTTCTTTTTAAAAATTCCAGCCGGGCACGGTGGCTCACGCTTGTAATCCCAGCACTTTGGGAGGCTGAGGCAGGTGGATCATGACGTCAGAAGTTTAAGACCAGCCTGGCCAACATAGTGAAACCCCGTCTCTACTAAAAATATAAAGATTAGCCAGGTGTGGTGGTGTGCCCCTGTAATCCCAGCTACTCAGGAGGCTGAGGCAGGAGAATCTCTTGCACCTGGGAGGCGGAGGTTGCAGTGAGCCGAGATTATACCACTGCACTCCAGCCTAGGCAACAGAGCGAGACTCCGTTTCCAAAAAAAAAAAAATTCCAATAAAGGTACACACCCCTATAGATGTTTTCCAACCCTCTATCTTGTGGAGAGTAGACAATTTACTCTGTCCATAAACAGATTTTTTATATTAACTATTTGCTGAACACCTACTGTAGGAAGTTCACTGTAATAATTTCCCTCATTCCCCATGCCCATCAACTAAAGCATCAGTGTGGTCATCTTGCCCAGGTAAACCTTGTGGTATCAGGTTGGTGCAAAAGAAACTGCAGTTTTTGCCACTGAAAGTAACGGCATACACGTATAAGGTAGCCATATATACACAGTGAGTAGATGCAAACTGTAATTAAAACTTCTGGCATCTGCCAATAGGATCCTAGAACTCTCTTGTAATTTGTTCTACATGAAATCAACCAAAAAATAGACACATACTCTACTTCGTGCATGTTATGGGTAGAAAACTGAACTTATCTTCTTTGGGCATATATTCAATAATATTTTCACAAATATTGTAAAAGTAGTATTTCATAAATATTTTAAACTGTGGCATTCAGACATTGAAAGGATTTGCTACATTTTACAGGGAGGCGTGGGGTACTATGCTGTGGAATTGTGGCTTGCATCAAGGCACATGGCTGAGAAAAAGATATCTAAACAGGAAACACTTCCCCCGATTTAGGATGCCAAGGTGTAAGAGATTCAGGAATAAGAAGGATACTAAGCTAAGCATTTCTCCCCAGGTCTCAAGGTCTGTACCCATCTGTATATACTTGCTTGGTTCTGTGAAAACATGAAAATGGGCTTTTGCATGAATAAATGGCTTCGAATTCACCCTGGGAAAAGGGCAGAGTGGGAGGCGGGCAGGCTGAGAAACAAGATATTCATCTTTTCCAAACAGTTTTCATCGTTCTGTGCCCTATAAAGCCAAGCTGTCACAATACAAACTTCATTCCACTTTCAAAGAAGAATTTATCTGTACGTTTGTAAACAGTATTTTGCACAACCATTCATCACGGAATTATGCTTCCTAAGCCTGTCATTGTTGAAAAAACTTTTTTTTTTAACCTCCTATGTCTTCTCTAGAATTGTGGTGTGTGTGTAAGCCCTACCTAAAGGCACAAAATTATCATGCTGAATTTGTAAACGTGAATGTTCATTTTCCTTGCATCAGGTATGAGAGAACAGATCTATCTCTGGAGTTTTAAGCGTATACTGTCAGAACTCCATAAATTCAATTTTAATAACTGCACAGAATATGGTAATAGTTCACAAATATGTTTGCTCATTTCCACATTACATACCTGGGTTGTCATACAAGCAAGAATCCAGTTTTCCAATTAATCCCGCGTATTTACAGTAAGACAATCATAATTAAATATAGCTTGATATTAGACTTAAGAAGGCATAATGCTGTAATCCCAGCACTTTGGGAGGCTGAGGCGGGCGGATCACGAGGTCAGGAGATCGAGACCATCCTGGCTATCACGGTGAAACCCCGTCTCTACTAAAAATACAAAAAATTAGCCGGGCGTGGTGGCGGGTGCCTGTAGTCCCAGCTACTAGGGAGGCTGAGGCAGGAGAATGGGGTGAACCCAGGAGGCGGAGCTTGCAGTGAGCCGAGATAGTGCCACTGCACTCTGGCCTGGGTGAAAGAGCGAGACTCCATCTCAAAAAAAAAAAAGAAGGCATAATGCAAAGAGGAAGTGATGGGCATATCAGTAGCTGCAATCGGTGGGTGGTGTGAAGTGGTCCGCAGGATCTCAGATGCTTTAAGTTATTACACCATTAAAATAAAGGGAATCGTGAGGGGATAATGAGTCCAGAGGGCCACTCTTGCCTACATTTAGGGGAAATGACAGTTGCAAAAAGCAAATTCATGGCAACCATGGTGAACACCAACGTATTCTATGCTGAGGGTTGCTCTTTCGCTAGGCTCACAAGTCTTTTCTGCTTTCTTGGGATTGCTCTAATCCAGAATAAAAATCTGTCCTCTCCAACTGAAAATAACAGAGAGTTGCTAATTCCACTGTCAAAATTATTTACTTTAAATCTGGCTTCTCAAGTAATCTCCATCAGTCAGGACTCTTATCTGCTCCATTTCACTTCACCTATCCAAATGTCTCTCTGGCTCCTGCACACTTTCTGTCCAACAGATCTCTTCCCTGATTCTTCTCCTCGCTACATGCAGTCATTCTACAAATCTTTATTAAACACTAATTAAGAACCATGACATAATGGAAAGCAAGAGTTCACATGAAGATTACACTCTAATGTTAAAAATATACACAAGTAGAATGACCTGAGATAATGACAGTGCTAAGAGGAAGAAGTGCTCAAGAAAAGTAATATGGCAGAGAATGGTTGGTAACATGGCACATTATTTTAGATACGGTGACCAAGGACAGATTACTCTAAGAAGCTAAAAGGAATGAGCCATTAACAGATCTGGGCAAAGAAACTTCCAGACAGAAACAAATCAAGCGAGGAAGTTGTGAGGCAAGAATAAGCCTGAAGTTCAAAGAAAGAAGAAAAATGTCATTGCCAGAGTTCAGCGCAAGAGACTGAAATGGGGAGAGGCAATACGAAGGTAGTTAGAGGAGGCCTGGTTCTCAACCCTGGGCACCCGTGAGACCCACCAGGAACTTTTACAAACACTGATGCCTAGTCCACACCACCAAATATTCTGATTTAACTGGTCTGGGGTGAGGCCCAGACTTAATGCTTCTAAAAGGTCCCCTGGTGATGCTAATGTGTAGCCAAGATTAATTACCAGACACAGGTATTATATGCCATGGAGATGGTGATGCCAATGTGTAGCCAAGATTAATTATCAGACACAGGTATTATATGCCATGGAGATGGTGATGCCAATGTGTAGCCAAGATTAATTACCAGACACAGGTATTATATGCCATGGAGATGGTGATGCTAATGTGTAGCCAAGATTAATTATCAGACACAGGTATTATATGCCATGGAGAAATTCAAGTTTTATTCTAAGTACAGCAGGAAGCGTTGGAGGGTTTCAAATGTCATCATGCCTTATGTTTTTTTTGTTGTTGTTGTTTTTTGTTTTTTGAGACAGTCCTGCTCTGTCACCCAGGCTGGAGTGCAGTGGTGCAATGTTGGTTCACTGCAACCTCCTCCTCCCAGGTTCAAGAAATTCTCATGGTTCATCCTTCTCAGTAGCTGGGATTACAGAGGTGTGCCACCATGCCTAGCTTATTTTTTGTATTTTAAGTAGAGACAGGGTTTCACCACGTTGGCCAGACTGGTCTTGAACTCCTGACCTCAATTGATCCACCAGCCTCGGCCTCCCAAAGTGCTGGGATTACAGGCGTGAGCCACTGTGCCTGGCTGCCTTAGGCTTTTAAAAGAGCATCCTTGCTGCTATATGGGAATGGATTGTGGGATGTGAGGTGTAGTAGCAAGAGGAACACCAAAGGGGAGTGGTGGGTGCAGTGAAGAGGAAGAGAGATGAAAAAAATGTAGGATATATACATTGATGAGGTTTTTTTTGTTGTTTTTTTCTTGTGGCAGGATCTCACTCTGTCACCCAGACTGGAGTGCAGTGGCACAATCATGGCTCACTGCAACCTCCGCCACCCCAGCTCCATGGATCCCACCTCAGCACCCAACCCCGACCCCTGGTAGCTGGGAATACAGGTGCATGCCACCATGCCCGGCTATTTTTTGCATTTTTTATAGAGATGGCATCTCCCCATGCTGTCAGGCTGGTCTCGGACTCCTGGACTCAAGCGGTTCGCCTGCCTAGACCTCCCAAAGTGCTAGGATTATAGGCATGAGCCACCGCACCCAGACGAATGATATATATGAATCAACAGGAGTTGCTCATGATTTTGCTGGGGGTGGCCATGAATGGGGGAGTAAAGGCAAATTCTCAAAGGTATTTGTATTTTGGGCTTAAGCAAATAGGAGGACAGTAGTCTTTGGTATAGGAAGATTGAAGAAAGGAAAACCTTGGGGAATGGGAATCAGGACAGAATCAGGAGATGGATCCTGCCCCTTCTGCCGTCCCTCCTGGGCAGCTGAGTACTGAGCCATGGGGTGGAGCAGAGTGACCTGGGCATTCGCAGTGGGGGAAGGCTGCACATCCGCAGAGGGGTCCAGACTGGCATGGCATGTCAGAGCCCAGGGGGACCGAGGTGGGCATCCGTGTAAGGGAGCAGACGGGGTGTCAGAGCCTAAGTGGGGCGAGGGGGTATCCGCACATAGGACTTGGGGGTGGTGCACTGGCCTCGGATAGCTGAGCTAAAACGGGGTGAGGGGGGTGTTCCCATGGGAGACAGCATGCTAATGAGGATGAGTGATCAGTTACATACCAGGGAACTGATCAAATAGCTAAATCTATTAAAAATATGGGAAGCTAGGTTTCTTACTATTATAGAATGGAGTTATAAGCCCCAGAAGGGAAAAATCTCGAATGAACCCTGTGCTGCCGGATTGGGATTGAAGGTATCCACATGAATTCATGACTTTTTATACATGTGGATCAGTCAAAATTAACAGGTATTAATCTGTATTTATACAAATGCATACTACCCCTAGCTCTGTTGAATTACCTAGTTAGTTCCTATTTTTCTGTCCCCAAGACAGATGATAAAGAGAGCCCTCAGAAAAAGAGCTGTCACTGGGAAAGCACAACGTCCCAAACAAGGGAGGAGGACAGACGGTCCCATGAGGAATGAATCCAAGAAAAAAAAGAAACTGATAAATGATCTTATTTGTCTCAACATATTAAAAGGCAGTCAATACTCCTGTCAGCAACCTTGAGTATGAAATAGAGGTAAATTCACAGAGAATGAAGAAAAAAAGGAATTAGCTCTAGAAAAACATATTATTCAAGAAAGGAAATGTAATCAAGGTAAATCCCACAGCCTCTGCTGCTTACACTACATAGGCATAATAACCCAAATCCTAAGTGTTTAAAAAAAACTCAGGAGGTGGAGGCAGGAGAATCACTTGAACCTGGAGGTGGGGGTTGCAGTGAGCTGAGATCATGCCGCTGCATTCCAGCCTGAGAGACAGAGCCAGACTCGGTCTCAAAAAAAAAAAAAAATTGTATCTATATTTGCTTTTCTATGAGGGATTAATGGGTATCTGCATCGTTGGTGGGGTGTACAGAAGAGTGAAATCCTTATCTTCCATAGTAAGAAATGAATTTAGAAATGAAGAGATTTATGGCATAAAACATTGGCTGAAAGAGTTGAAAGACTTCTGAAAAAGTTGAAACTCCTCAGAATTCGAGAGGAGTTAAGAAGGGTCTCCTGTTTTTCGTTATAAACCTTGTAGAAATGGTCTTGATGTTTAAATTTATAAACATATATGACTGATAACATTTTAAAAAATATACCGCTGATAAACCCTGGTAGGCCAGAACTAGGCAAAGGCAAAATTATAGGGATACAAAACACATGAGTAGTTGCCAAGTGCTCAGGGTGGCATGGGGATGACTGAAAAGGGACACAGGAGAACTTGGGGGCTGACGGAATGGTTCTGTAGCTTGACCACGGTTGTGTTTCAAGATTGTATGCATTTGTCAAAACCTGCAGAATTGTACACTAAAAACGGTGAATTTTACTCTATGCAAATTATAACTCTAAAAAAAAAAGACAGTGAAATACTATCCACCCACTGCAATGGCTAAAGTTAAAAAGATTGACTGTGCCAATCACTGGTAAGGAGATGGAGCAACTGGAACTCTCTCTCATTGCTGGTGGTTTCTTATAAAGTTAAACGTACACTTATCCTATGACCTGGCCACATCCTCACTCCAGTGCTTTATAAGAATGTTTGTGAATGCTTTATTTTTAATAGTCAAAAGCTGGAATACATCAAAATGTACATCAATGGGAGTACTGACAGTGTTATATGTATATATTACTTACTATACTATAACTATGATATATAATACGTAATATAGTTATACCTGGCAATACACAGGAATGAACTACGGATGTGCAACATCATGGATGAACCCAAAAACCATTACAATAAGTGAAAGAGCCCAAACACAATAGACACATCTAATTCCACTGATATGAAGTTGACTCACAGGTAAAACTAACTCGCAGTGATCTAAACCAGATCGGTGGCTGTTTACTGAGGGTGGGAACTGTGTGGATAAAGATACCGCGGAATTTTCTGGGGTAAGGGAAATGTGTTTTATCTTGATCGGAATGTTAGGCATACAAGCTGCATTCATTTGATAAAACACATTGAATTGTAAACCTAAGATGAATGCCTTTTGTTGCTTGTAAATTTTACTGCACTTTTTCTTTAATGTAAAAATTGACACCGTCAGATGAATATTACTCTATAAAGTAACCACCTCAAAGTAACATGGAATTGCATTGCTGAAATATGACTGAATATTTTTGTTTGGAAATGCCTCTGAAACAAGTTTGAGTCATGTGTGAAAAAGCACAGAACTATTTCTCCATTACTTTACGTGGTATTTTGTCTTCCCAAAGACATTATTCATCTTAATTACTACTGCATGCTCCAAAATTCATTCTGAACAAGTTTTGCTATTTCCAGAAGTTCAACTGCAGATTGGAGATTAATTTCTCCAGTGAGCAATTAGTTACAGATGTTAGGAAAGCAGGGTATTCAATGTCTCCGTGTCCTAAATCTTACTTAATAATGGAAAGAAAAAAATATATATGTAAACACACAAGCATATAAACAAGAAAAGTAACTTCATATAGGGCTAAAAGTTATAAAGGAATAAAAGAGGCTAACCTGGGAAAGGCCAACTCCTGAGGATGGAGCTACTTTAGAAAACATGGTTAGAAAATTCTCTCTGGGCGTGGTGGCTCACATCCATAATTCCAGCACTTTGGGAGGCTGAGGTGGGAGACCAGCCTGGGGAACATAGCCAAAATCCTGTCTCCACAAAAAACTAAAAATAAAATAACTAGCCAGGTGAGGTGGCACACATTCATAGTCCTAGCTACTAGGGAAGCCAAGGTCAGAGGATCTCTTGAGCCCAGAAGTTGGAGGCTGCAGTCAGCTATGATCGCGCCACTGCACTCCAGCCTGGGCAACAGAGCAAGATTCTGTCCGTTTAAAAAAAAAAAAAAGAAAGAAAGAAAGAAAATTGTCTCTCTGAGGATGTACATTTAGGCTGAGGATTTACATTACTAATGTGGTCATTCATTCATTATACATGAAAACATTTATTGAACACCAGTGTGCCAGACATTGTCTTCAAGGAGGAAGGAAACAGATCTGTAAACAAATAACTAAATACAAAAGGGCTTTTAATGGTAATGCTTGTAGACTCTGGCACACAAAAGAGAAAGTCATGAATATGCTGAAGACTCAGAAGCAATTACTGAGAGGGACGCATGATTTCCCAACAAGAAAAGCATCATTCAGATGCTGAAATTATGGAGTGTTTTATAAAATCTCTCCCTACTTTCTGATCACAAGATAAATTAGTTTTACCCCACGTACACACATAAAAGAGCTATGTTTCTATACACCTGCATTATGTGTGTGTTTGTGGGGACTGGGCGGGGGTGGGCGGCACCCCAGAGAAGGAGCAGGTGCTAAATCCTGTTGTTTTTCCTTTAAGTGTTGCTGGTCTGGTATCTTACTGGATAAAACACAGTAAATGAGGCCAAGGGCAAAGGCTCCATCCCCTGTGGGCCAGGTAAGCTCGTCAGGTTTCCACGGGCATATCCTGTCCTCCCATCCCCGGTGAGCTGTCCTTCCAATAGAAGCTGATTGTCTCTTGGGAAGCCAGTGAGCAGAAACTGCTGGGTGCAAACTCGTCACAGGACAGACAAAGGGCTGGGTCTAAAATCCTTCCTTACAGACAGTGGCTGCACCTCTCCCTGTGCACAGCACACTCACCGCCTTCCTGAGCCTCAGGTCTCAAGATGTCCGCACTCCACATGGAACTCACTGGGGCTTTTGAAAATAAGTTCAAAGGCAGAAAGTCAAGGGATGCAAAGATGGTAAAAGATGATTCTATTCTTTTGTACTTCTTGGTGAGACAAATGAGTCTTCCAGGTTAATTATCTGAGCTCAATTTTGTGGATTTGAGATAGCCAGATATTGGAAAGAACTCACAGCTCACTAAAATATAACAACCTTACTTAAAACAAAGGAGGCCAGGTGCGGTGGCTCACACCTGTAATCCCACCACTTTGGGAGGCCAAGGCAGGAGGATCGCTTGAGGACAGGAGTTCAAGACCAGCCTGGGCAACATAGTAAGACCTTGTCTCTAAAAAAATTTTTTTTAAATCAGCCAGGCCTGGTGATGATGTATGCCTGTAGTCCCAACTACTCAGGAAGCTGAGGCGGGAGGATCACTTGAGCTCAGGAAGTTGAGCCTGCAGTAAGTCATGATGGTGCCACTGTGTTCTACCCTAGGTGATAGAGCAAGACTGCCTCTTAAAACATAAAATAAAAAGTAAATAAATTAATTAAAGAAAGAAAACATAGTTAAGGAACTGAAAAGGTTTGTCCCATATCACCCAGCTACTTACTACCTAAGCTGGGGATACAAACACAGGCCTCCTACCTGCCAGCTCATTGCTTTACCTTATACCAAGCTAGCCCACGGCCCTGCTGGGGCACAGTAGACAGGACACTTTCTCAATGCGCCACCCCTCAGGTCAGGTGAGCTTGGCCATGGAATTCTATCAGTATAAAACACACACGCATAGGCACACCATCTAAGTGAAAAAGGAGATAAGTCTTCTGGCTTTATTTATTCATTCATGCATTCATTCATTTATTCATTCTTTGAGACAGAGTCTCGCTCTGTCACCCAGACTGGCGTACAGTGGCATGATTTCACCTCACTGCAACCTCCGCCCCCCCGGGCTCAAGCAATTCTCCTGCCTCAGCATCCTGAGTAGCTGGGATTACAGGCATGCACCACCAAGCCCAGCTAATTTTTGTATTTTTAGTAGAGACAGGATTTCACCATATTGGCCAGGCTGGTCTTAAACTCTTGACCTCAAGTGATCCACTCACCTCAGCCTCCCAAAGTGCTGGGATTACAAGCGTGAGCCACTGTGTCCGGTCTATTTAATTTTTTTAATGATCAAAACAGGGAACTGTCCTTCGCAGTGCCTGGCATGCAGCAGGCACTGAGTAAACATCTGATGAATATAGCAATGAGAAAGACAGGTGTTCTTGAGCCACTGGCTAGGTATAGAATAGACTGCTGTAAGGAATATGCAATGAAACCTGCACCCACAAGACACACTTGGATAGCAGGGTCTGAGTGACCCTTCTTTGTTCTCCTGGGATCCCATGCCCAGTGGGCAGAGACAGGCAGCGCTAAAGCACCCTGCCTACACGGCCAGAATGCCCAGAATAGAGGAGCCATTGCTTCTTTATAAAGAGAGCTTGTGTGACACCAAAAGGCCTGGTTCTCCATCCTAGCTCCACAGTAACCAGCTCTGGGGGACTCCATTTTTTTCCCTTGTCAATTTTAAGTAATTACAGTTTAAATCTCTTAAATTTCATTCCACAAAAACATTACAATATTTTTAATCTTGTTACCCCATAACATCTGTAGCAAAGAATGCCAAGAAGGTTTATTCTGGTTGCCTATCACAGAGGGTGATAGCAGAGATTTCTATTTGCAACCAGTAAATACCTTCTGAGACAAGCAGAGAGACCTGGTCCAGGCAGTGAGGGATGAGGAAGAGGACCAAATCACAGTCAGCAAAATAGAGAGATGATATATCCAAATTTCCACTGCAAAACAAGGAAACCTCCCTCTGTGCCTTCACAGAGCCCTGGAAGCTCAGTGAGAGGAAGGAAATAACACTTCCTGTAGCCTGGACAACATCATCTACTTTTTGGCCAATTCGCTTTATATTTTCTGGATGTGGTTTTTCTTTCTTTCCTTTTTAAAGCAAAGTAATCTTGCCAGCGGTTAGTCCTTCTTGCTAAAAGTCTAACTTTCCTCTTCTGTGGTGCATTTCTCTAGCTTATCCAAGCAGTCAAGAAAGCTGAGATGACAGGAGGTAGCATGTGGTTTTGTCAGTAGGAGCAATGAATTTGCTGCAACTCACTCTTATGCTGGTTTTGTTATCATCAGCATGACTTCGAAAGACGAATGAGAGAGATGTACAATTAATCAACCAACATGAGGCCCACTTTTTATAAAGAGTTATGCTAGAGGCTATGGGACCTCAAGGAATTTGAGAGTATAACCCCAATCCCTGATCTCCCTCCAGGACAGCAACGAGACCACTGGGTAAGAGTGGCAAGTTTGTGTGCCAAGAGCCATGGAGGGGAGCTAAGTTCAGAAAGAGCTCACCGCAATACAGACACATTTGGGGTGCTGCTGAACTTTTCAGGTGGCTATTTCAAAAGCAAAACAACCCTAACCCCTTTGGAAAACTTTATGTCGTGTCCAAAAGTATAAACGTCATTTGCTAAAGGGCTGCATGTTGTGGAAAGAACAATATACTAGGATTCCACAGGACCCCAGTGGGAATCACAGCTCTGCCATTTAATAGCTGCATGAATTTCTTCAAGTTTCTTAACCTAAATCTCCACATTGATTAAAAGAGCATCAATAATTCTGGTCTCCCAGGATTGTAAGAACTGAGAGGCAGTACATGAAAGGCCGTAGCTCGATGCCTGGCATAGAGAGGGATGTAAAATGTCAGACACGGAAGGTACACAATGGCACAGTTCAGGGACCAACGGCAGTGCTTAGGTCTGTCTTCTGGTTCCTGTGCTGTGGGGGGCTCTATTTGGAGTTCTTTTTTACTTATTTTTTTGAAGAATGTGTCTGTGCTCCTCAAAAAGAACAGAACCTCTCTCAACTACTTAAATTACTGCCAACAACCAAAGCTGAGACACACAAAACAGCTAGAATACCATGCTAGGGGTGTCCAGACTATAGTACCTGATATGAAGACATAATTTTATTTTCCAGCATAACTTCCCTACTCCAAGAAAATGGTAGAAAAGATGACTTTAAAAGAAAGAGGACCAAAAAAAAAAAAGTCAAGAAGAAACAATTTGAGTGATAGAAAAACCCTAAGACTGTGGCTAGAATAATCGAGAAACATGGCACTGAGTAACCAGGGCCTTGGCAGAGACCAAATGGGGCCAAACTCAAAAGTTACCCAAATTGGTTATCTAAGGCCTGATTAAACACTTAGTGTCAGCAATGAAAGTGACACTAAGAAAAAATTTCACCCTTTGTATCTTTCAATTCCAACTATAACAGATTCTTTTTTTTTTTTTTTTTTTTTGAGATGGAGATTCGCTCTGTCGACCAGGCTGCAGTGCAGTGGTGCAATATTGGCTCACTGCAACCTCTCCTTCCCAGGTTCAAGTGATTCTCTTGCCTCAGTCTCCCAAGTAGTTAGGATTACAGGCACACTCCACCACACCCAGCTAATTTTTGTATTTTTAGTAGAGACGGGTTTTCGCCATGTTGGCCAGGCTGGTCTTGAACTCCTAACCTCAAGTGATCCACCCGCCTCAGCCTCCCAAAGTGTTGGGATTACAGGCTTGAGCCATTGCACCCGGCCTGTAACAGATTCTTACACTGGCATTGGTGAAAACTAAACAAGTATTCAAGGTTAGTAATGTAATACTCATTGTTCCTGCCATTTAGAAGATTAACCAAATTGCTAGATACAGTTGTTTAAAATCCTATATTCCTATTGGAAAAGTTAAACACACACACACATATCTAATATTCTTGGTTGCATGACAAACATTAGGAACAGATACACAGAATATAATAGTAAGACTAAGAATCTTTCTGTAACTAGAAACTTTCCTGTGTTGCCTTGTCCATTCTTATTTGTAGCTTGAATTATACCTGGAGATGAGGCAAGGAAGAGAAGTGAAGTTTTCATGGGTTTCTAAGACCCATCAATAAAACACAAGTTTTTTAGGCAGTCTGTTTCCTGCTACTATGACCATTTCTGTTGAATCATTCAACTCCATGGGTGAAACAGAATGGGTGTACTCAAGCACAGAGTTAATATTTATGACACAGAAGTCTCCTTATATGCTTAAAAATTTTTAATAGCCTTTAATTTGTAGAGCAATTTTAGGTCCACAGCAAAACTGAGCAGAAGGTACAGAAAGTTATCATATACCTCTTGTCCCCTGACAAGACATCCCTGCTATCAACATACCCCACCAGAGTGGTACATTTATTGCAATCAAACCTACACTGACACATCATTATCACCCAAAGTCCATAGGTTACATTGGGGTCCACTGTTGGTGTTGTGCCTTCTATGGGTATGGACAAATGTATAATGACATGATTCCACCATTACAGTATCATACAGAGTAGATTTACTGCTCTAAAAATTCCCTGTGCTCTACCTCTTCATCCCTCCTTCCCTCTAACCCCTGGCAACCACGAATCTTTTTACCATCTCCATAGTTTTTCCTTATCCAGAATGTCATATAGTTGGAATCATGTGGATTGACTCTTTTTACTTAGTAACATGCATATCTATGTCTTTTTATGGCTTGATAACTCATTTCTTTTTAGCGCTGAATGATACTCCATTGTCTGGATGTAACACTGTGTTTATCCATTCACCTACTGAAGAACATCTTGTTTACTCCCACATTTTGGCAATTATGAATAAAGCTGCTACAAACATCTATGTGCATGCTTTTGTGTGGGTGTAAGTTTTCAACTCCTTTGGGTAAATACCAAGGACAGAAATTGCTGCATTGTGTGATGAGAGTGTGTTTAGCTTTCTAAGACACTAACAAACTGTCTCCCAAAGTGGCTGTACCATTTTGCATTCCCATCAGCAATGAATGAGAGTTCCTGTTGCTCCACATCCTTGGCAGCATTTGGTGTTGTCAGTATTCTGGAGTTTGGCCATTTTAATAGGTGCACAGTAGTATCTCATTACTTTAATTTTCAATTCTCTAATGATATATGATGCTGAATATCTTTTCACACACTTACATGCCATATGGATATATATCTTCCTTAGCGAGGTTTCTGTGAAGGTCTTTGCCCATGTTTTAAGTGGGTTGTTTTCTTATTGTTGGATTTTAAAGCTCTTTATACGTTTTAGATAATAGTCCTTTATCAAATGTTTTTTTTTTTTGTTTTGTTTTGTTTTTTTTTGAGACAAAGTCTTGCTTTGTCGCCAGGCTGGAGTGCAGTGGCACAATCTCGGCTCACTGCAACCTCTGCCTCCCAGGTTCAAGCAATTCTCCTGCCTCAGCCTCTCAAGTAGCTGGGATTACAGCTGGCCACCACCACGCCCGGCTAATTTTTAGCATTTTTAGTAGAGACGGGGTTTCACCATGTTGGCCAGGATGGTCTCTATCTCTTGACCTCGTGATCTGCCCACCTCGGCCTCCCAAAATGCTGAGATTACAGGTGTGAGCCACTGGGCCCACCCTCAAATTTCTCTTTTACAAAATTTTCTTCCATACTGTGGCTTAACTTCTCATTCTCTTGACATTATCTTTTGCAGAGCAGAAGTTTTAAATTTTAATAAAGTCCAGTTTATCACTTATTTCTTTCATATAACTGTGTTTTCAGTGTTATATCTAAAAAGTTACCCCCATATCAAAAGTCATTTACATTTCTCCATGTTATTATATTCTAAGAGTTTTACACCTTTATATTTTACATTTAGGTCTTGAATTTATTTTGACTTATTTTTTGTCAAGGGTGAAAGGTCTGTGTCTAAATTATTATTTCGGCATGTGGTTGTCAGGTTGTTCCAGCACGATTTGTTAAAAAGAATATCTTTTCTCTATTGTATTGCCTTTGTTCTTTGTCAAAGGTCAGCTGACTATATTTGTGTGGGTCTATTTGTGAGCTCTCTGTTCTGTTCAGTAGATTTGTTTGTCTAGTGTTCTGCCAATACCACAGTCTTGATTACTATAGCTTTATAGTAAGTTGTGAAATCAGGTAGTGTCAGTCCTCCAACTTTGTTCTTCAACTTCATGTTGGTTGTTCTGAGTCCTCTGCCTCTCCACATAACTTTAGAATCCATCTGTCGATATCCACAAAATAACTGTCTGGGATTTTAATTGGGATTGCTTTGAATCTATAAATCAACTTCAGAAGAACTGACATTTTGACATTGAGTCTCCCTACCCATGAACATGGGATAGCTTCCATTTATTTAGTATTTCAAATTCTTTCATCAATATATGCTTTTAAAGATAATAACTGACTCTTATATTACTATGGATGAAGCAGAGGCATATATTTAACTTTTTTTTCCAGATATAAGCAAGAGGAGAAGTATGATCATTTGCCCTCAATCAATTTTAAACTTTCCTCTAAGGCTTTCTCCTTACACTAATCCTTAATGAGGCTTAGCCAGCCCAACCGTGATGTTATATGGACATAACCTAACGCATTTAAAAAAAATAAAGGTTATGCACCAAATAATGTGAATGCTACAGCAATCAGGGGTGTGAAGACAGCTGTGAGCAGGTATGTGTGTGCATGGGATGGAAGGACTCTGCTCCCATTTCAACCACTTGATCCAACCAAGATCTGTTGCGGTCCAAAATCTGTGGAATGCTAAAAGCTCCTGGGAATATTCCTCCAGAGTACTCCCAAAAGCATATTTGCTTTCAGACTGAGTTTGCCTCCTTAGGTGCATAGGAGCTGCCCAAATAGGTAATTCCAAGTACTTACTCATGACAGAATAACTGAATGAAGGTACCACTCAGGAAACAGTTGTGAACTCTACAGTAGAAAATTCCATATATGCCTATACCTGAATCACGTACATTTTTAAAGATGGAATTTTAGGGTTGGTGGTTCATACCTGCAATCCCAGCACTTTGGGAGGCCAAGGTGGGCAGATCACATGAGGCCAGGAGTTTGAGGCCAGCCTAGCCAACATGGCAAAACCACGTCTCTACTAAAAATTAGCTGGGCGTGGTGGCACGTGCCTGTAATCCCAGCTACTCGGGAGGCTGAGGCATGAAAATCACTTGAACCCAGCAGGCAGAGGTTGTAGTGAGCCAAGATTGCACCACTGCACTCCAGCCTGGGAGACAGGGTAACACTCTGTCTCAAAAAAATAAATAAAGATGGAATTTTAGAATTTTAGAAGCATACTGAAACATACCTGAAAAGGAAAAATAGAAGGCATTCGCTTTTTTTAAAGATTAAATCCGAGATAAGACTTTTCACTGACACTCCTTTTAATTAATTTCTCTGGTAAACACCCTCCTACTGCCACACATATCTTTTGAAAAACACATCTCAGGAACATATGTCACCAGCAGTAGTAGCTCACAAGCTGTACTTAAGGTAAAGGTCAAACAGATGTGGGAAGTGACCAAGCACACTCAACAAAATGCCACATGGCCTTATCTGCTTTCCAGGCTAATGCCAAAATATTTGCACGCAGCGTCATAAAATCCAAGCTGTTAGGCTCACTGCCATTTATGTATGAGAAAGGCAGTATTTCTATACCTAGATCGTGGAGACTATATAGATTTTGAATTACAATAAACTTTCAATTATTTTAATTAGCGGGTAACAAAAGTAAACGGAAGTTACAAATACCTTGGACACCCCTATTGAAGCTTATATCCAGTAAACTTTTACACATTCTATTAAGAACTGATTTTTAACAGCAATTTTGAATCTTTTGTCTCTCTCTTGGCTTCTGACCACTGTGCATGGATGACCAAGTAGAGAAAGAAACAAGTAGAAAGGAGGAACAATAAAGAGATTTCAGTGTTACAGAATTAATTGTCATAGAGCATAACAGAATGTGACAATCAGACAGACATTCTCAAAACGTTAGATACCATACTGTATCATAATCCAATGCAGGGTTCCTATTACCACATCTCTAAAGGATGATGATTAAGCCTCTGTTTGAAAAAAATCTTTTAAAAGCACTCTTTTTTTTTTTTTTTTGAGATAGAGTCTTGCTGTGTCACCCAGGTTGGAGTGCAATGGCACGCGTGATCTCAGCTCACTGCAACCTCTGCCTCCCGGGTTCAAGCGATTCTTGTGCCTCAGTCTCCTAAGTAGCTGGGATTATGGGTGCACACCACCATGCCCGGCTAATTTTTGTATCTTTAGTAGAGACAGGGTTTTGCCATGTTGGCCAGACTGGTCTCAAACTCCTGGCCTCATGTGATCTGCCCGCCTCAGCCTCCTAAAGTACTGGGATTGCAGGCATGAGCTACCGCACCCAGCCCACTCTCTTCTTTTTTATATCTCTGTTAGAAAGTTTTGGCAAACATGCAGACAAAATTCATTGCCATGTAACTTACCTGTCATAACACTGCCCACTGTCCCTACTCACAAAGGCCTGCTTTATAAAAATGAGATTCAAAACACATACAGCTCAAGTCTTAATACATTTTTATTCCTTTTCATATTAGAGGGAAGTAGATTTTTTGATTAAAGTGCATTCAAAAACTAGACTTCTTCTATATAGAAGAAATAACATGGGTATTCTGGGGAACTCCTGTACGTATACAAACCCTTCTTTTTGTTTCTTTTAACTTTTCAGGTTTGCCTGTTTCCTCTGGTTCCAGTCCAAGCATTTGTGCTATCCTTCGAGTCTTTACAAATTGCCCTGAAATAATATGTGCTGTGCCTGCCTCTGTACAGTTCAGCTCACCTTTGAGACATTTCGTTGTGTTTGTTCCAACAGCGGTCAATTGTGTTGTATTTACCCCAGAAATCACTGCTAACACCAGCATACCAGCCGCCCTTTCTCGTGAGCTTGTGAGTGGTTTACGGAGCAGAAAAAGAGTTAATCGATGGATATGAATTAAACACAGGAAACCAGCACTAGAGGAACCTCAGACTCCAGGCCTAAAACCACTTGTGACTGGAGTGACGTTAATCACAGGAGAGGGGAGCTCCATGGTAACAGGATGCTGAAACCTGACACATACAAGGTACTATGCACTTTTCAAAGCACTTACATTTGATCACTCTTGACTCAAAAAGTGACTCCAATTTAGATGAAATGTCCTTGTCACAAAGACAGCTGCAATATCTTGCCCAGGGACAGTCAATCTAGACAAGGACAAAACTACCAACCTACAATAGTCTTCCGTCTCCCTCTCCATCGCTGTCCTCCACCTCTGGCCTCTGCAATACCACCCTCTTCTCCCCATAGCATTTGTAAGCACATATCTGAATTGTTTTGTTTACTTACTTTGTTTACTTGGTTTTGTCTATCCCTCCAATGTAAACCCTATGAGAGCAGGAACTTGCATTTTGTCACTTAAGAGACCACAGAGTACCCAGAACATCTCTCATGCTCAATAAATGTACTTGGCACATACTTGGTGCTCAGCAAATAATGTTGAATGAATAAATGACCTCACGGCCGGGCATCTCCAGAAGTCAGTGCACTTTCTGCCATGGATCTGGGGTGGAAAGGAACGTTCACAGTAATAAACAGCTACCTCGCTGCCAAATACATTCCACAGTAAAAGAAGCAAAGACACAAAAATGACTGTGGGCAAGCCAGTGCCAAAGATGAAGAAAGGCAAGAACGCTCGCTTCAGTCCTTAAGGAATTCTGTTTCCTGATAAAGTCTCTAAAGACAAATAATTCCTGGAGACCTGTAACGGATGAGCAGTAGATAGCTTCTCAGTCAGTTCTGCTTCTTTCCTTCATTTAGCAACAAATGAAGTTCAGGGGCAAGGCCAGAGAGTCAAATGAGTGAAAAAAGATGATGGATAGAAGCTCGTTCATCTGGACTCTGGTCGCCTGTTTTGGAGCCAAAGCTCAATCAGTCTGGCAGTTCCTCAAAATATTAAACATTGAGTTACCCTATGACCCAGCAATTCCACTCCTAGGTACCTACCCAAGAGAGATGAAAACATATGTCCACATAAAAACTTGCACGCAAATGTTTGCAGCAGTATTATTCACAGTAGCTGAAACATCTAAACGACCCAAATGTCCAACTGATGAATGAATAAAATATAATGTACCTACATAATACATATTACTCAGCAATGAAAAGAGATGAAGTTGGGCCAGGTGCAGTGGCTCATGCCTATAATCCCAACACACTGGGACACTTGGCCCTTGGGAGGCCAAGGCAGGAGAACTGCCTGAGCCCAGGATTTCAAGACCAACCTCAGTAACATAGCGAGACCCTGTCTCTACAAAGAATAAAAATTTAGCTGGGTGTAGCGGTGTGCACCTATAGTCCCAGCTACCTGGGAGGCTGGAGTAGGAGGATTCCTTGAGCCCAGGAGGTCAAGGCTGCAGTGAGCCGTGATCATGCCACTGCACTCCAGCCTGACCAACAGAGCAAGAGAGAGGGCGAGAGAGATGAAGTCCTGATGCCAAATGAAGGCAGCCAGTCACAAAAGACCACATATTATGTGATTCCACTTACATGAAATGAATTTGAAGCTGCCTAGAGCCAGGGGAGGCATGACTACCGATGGGTACAGAGCTTCTTTATGGGATGATGAAAGTGTTCTGAAAGTAGATAGTGATGATATTTGCCCAACCCTCTGCATTAGTAAATATCCATTGAATTGTATACTTTAAATAAGTAAATTGATTGGTATTTGAATTATATCTCAAGAAAGCTGTTATTAAAAACAAACAAAAAAACCCACAAGGCCAGGCACGATGGCTCACACCTGTAATCCCTATACTCTGGGAGGCCGAGGTGGAAGGATCGCTAAGGGCCGGGAGTTCCAGACCAGCTAGGGCAACACAGCAAGGCTTCACCTCTCCTAAAAAATTAAAAACATTAGCTAGGCATGGTGGCATGTACCAGTAGTCTCAACTACTCAAGAGGCTGAAGCAGGAGCATCCGTTGAGTCCAAAAGGCCAAGGTTACAGTGAGCTGTTATTATGCCACTGCATTCCAGCCTGGGGGACAGCAAGACCCTGTCTCTAAAAAAAAGATAAATAAAATAAAAACAAAAACTTCAGCAATGACTAAATCCTCCTATAATTGCAGAGGACCAAAAAACATTAGCACCCCCTGTATTTCCCTCATAGAGAAGGAACAGCACCTCTGCCTTGTAATACCCAGGGTTTTGTGGAGGTGACCCCTGACCCCCTTACTCTCTACACCAGCTTGCCTTGGTCTCCTATTTTACCTTCATCATTCAATAGATTGTTGCTGAGCACCTGCCGTATACCAGGAGCTAGGGAGGCACAGGCTCTGCAGATGAAGGAGGAACAGGCTTTGCCTTCAAGGAGCCAATACTTTCTGAAATTTTTCAGCCAACCACACGGCAGGAAACAGAAAAAGGAGAATCAAAAATAGTATTCTGTCCCGGGCGGTGGGCAGAAAAAATGTTTCATGTCTGGGTGGATTCATGTCCACGCTGGAAAAACACACACAGATCTGGTATGCAGACATCTCGAGGGCAGGGTGGGGCAGAGTGCAGAGGGAGCGCCCCAAAGTCAGCTCCGACAGGAAGCTGGAAGACACGAATCCCAGGGCCACAATACAGTGCCAGTGTCACCCTTCAGTTCCACCCGGCAGGACTGTCGGTGTTTTCATTGTGTTTATTTTTCTAAAGTTAAGAGGGACTAGGAGAAGAGGGGTAGAAGACAAGTGATTACTCAGCATTCCCATCGCGTTTCATGTTTGCAAAGCACTCCGGCCCTTGCCTCGAGCTGCCTTAAATAATAAAGGAATTTGAGAATCAAGCCAAGAACTCTAAGTGCTTAGCAGATACAAGGACCTATCATGGGACATCTGGCAAGGTAGGCACGATTTTAAAAATTAATCCCAGAAAATAAACACTAATGAAAAATATAATCCAATATAGTAATCTCTCTGTCAAGCTGACCTGCCCCTTGGTGGTTAATGAACTCAGTAAGCTCACGGTGCAGGCTCAAGTGTTCTCAACCTCCCTCCCCTTCACGCCTTGACATGCGCTTACTTTTAAAGAACAGGCACTGACGTCCTTTGAGATGAAAAAGTTCTACGGCTGACGCAGCAAAAATGTTATGGTAGCAGTTAAGAAGAGCGGTTTCTTGCGGGCAGGACTACAGCATCCGGATCACCATAACTGAAGAAGTTAACCATTTTTGTGTGACTGTCAAATGGGCCAGCACATCCTACAAGCATATCGTAGTGTGAGCTGTAATATACTAGAAGCACTGTGGGTTTTGGACTGTTTGGACTCAAGTGCATGGTATTTGAAATGAATGTATCTGTGATTATATTTATATTCAACTAAGCTCAGTGACCCCCTTAGCTTGGTCCATAGGGATGCTGTCTTGAGGAATGTTTATAGGCCAACTGGAGAACTCTTGGTAAAGTATAGTGAGACACTTAAAATTACTTTTTTTTTTCTTTTTGAGACAGGGACTCACTCTGTTGCCCAGGCTGGAGTGTAGTGGTGTAGTCAGCTCACTGCAGCCTCTGCCTCCCAGGCTCAAGCAATCCTCCCACCTTAGCCTCCCAAGTAGCTGAGACTACAGGTGCATGTCACCATGCTTGGCTAAGTTTTAAATTTTTTGTAGAGACAAGGTCTCACTATGTTGCCCAGGCTGGTCTTGAACTCTAGGCCTCAAGGGATCCTCCCATCTCAGCCTACCAAAGTGCTGGGATTACAGGAGTGAGCCACCACACTCATCCTTAAAATTACTATTGATATGAACCCTAACAGGACAAAGTGTTTCAATTAACTATTTCTTAGAAATACGCTGAGGTCACATAAAAATGAAAAAAAATTTGAAGAAATATTTTAAAGGTATCACCTGGGCCAGGTGCTATGGCTTATGCCTACAATCCCAACACTTTGGAAGGCTGAGGCAGGAGGATCATTTGAGGCCAGGAGTTTGGGATCAGCCTGAGCAACTTGGTGAGACCTTGTGTCCATTAAAATAAATAAATAAATTAGCTGGGTGTGGTGGCACATGCCTATAATCCCAGCTACTTGGGAGGCTGAGGCAAGAGGATAGCTTGAGCCCAGGAGCTCAAGGCTGCAGTGAGTTATGATCACACTACTGTACTCCAGCTAGGGTGACAGAGCAAGGCCCTGTCTCAAAGAAAAAAAAAACAAAAAACAAAAGACATTACCTACTTTATTTCAGACCAAGTCTCCATTCTTCCCTCCCACACTCTGTAGGACAATTAGAAAAGCTTGACAAAACAACACACACAAACATATACACTGCCCCACCCCGCCCCCGCCACACACACACACACACACACACACACACACACACACACACACACACACACAAACTAACATGGCAGTGAAGAATTACCAGGTCAAAATCTGAAAGAGACCAAAACCTAAAAAGACCAGCTCAGCATCTGGGGCTGCTTTCCGCTTGGGGCATCCATCTGCTGATTTAAGAAAGAATTCCTGACCAGGTGCGGTGGCTTACACCTGTAATCCCAACACTGGGAGGCCAAGGTGGGCGGATCACCTGAGGTCAGGAGTTGGCCACGAGACCAGCCTGGCCAACATGGGGAAACCCTGTCTCTACTAAAAATACAAAAATTAGCCAGGCATGGCGGCGGGTGTCTGTAATCCCAACTACTCAGGAGGCTGAGGTAGGAGACTCGCTTGAACTCGGGAGACGGAGATCACAGTGAGCCAAGATTGAGCCACTGCACTCCACCTGGGCGACAGAGCAAGACTCTGTCTCCAAAAAATACAAAAAACAACAACAACAACAAAAAGAAAGGATTCCTGAGTGGCTGAGAAGCTGAGCAGCATTTCTGATGGCCTTGTGGAGCCAGGAGGACAAAAATTGAAGCCCTGGGACTTGCCAGTGAGTTGGCTGCAATTTTACACAACACAGAGTAAGACATAGCATGTTACTACAGAGTAAGACAATGATAAAGGTTTAATAAATAGGAATTAAAAGTTAGAACTGTTTAACACAACAATTCTAAATTAGCAGGCACCTAAAAACAAGTCTCAGAATACATAAAGCAAACAGCTGACATCACCATAAAGAGACACAAACTACAATCATGGTGGAAGAGTTAACACAGTTCTATCAGTAACAGAGAAAGCAGGAAAAAAAAGTTAGCATATAGCAAACCTGAAAAATGACTCAGAAATTAGAACCTAATTACCATATATAGAACTTTGCCACCAGGCATGGTGGCTCACACCTGTAATTCCAGTACTTGGGGAGGCCAAGATGGGGCTATCACCTGAGCTCAGGAGTTCAAGACCAGGCTGGCCAACATGATGAAACCCCGTCTCTACTAACAATACAAAAATTAGCGAGGTGTGATGACATATGCCTGTAATCTCAGCTACTCAGGAGGCTGAGGCATGAGAATCGCTTGAACCCAGGACGTGGAGGTTGCAGTGAGCTCAGATTGTGCCACTGCACTCCAGCCTGGACGACAGAATGAGACTCCATCTCAAAAAAAAAAAAAAAAGAACTTTGCACCCAATAATCCTTAAATATACATTCTTTCCAAGCCCACATGGAAGAGTTAGAAAAATTGAACTTATGCTTTTTACCTGCACAATAGGAAAATATGCATCCATTGAGGCTAGACAAAGTGAATTAACCTGGCCTCCTGACAAAAGAGGTATGAGCTGATAAGACTGGAAGAGCTGTAGGCCGGGCGCAGTGACTCACACCTGTAATCCCAGCACTTTGGGAAGCCAAGGCAGGCGGATCACGAGGTCAGGAGATCGAGACCATCCTGGCTAACATGGTGAAACTCCGTCTCTACTAAAAATATAAAAAATTAGCTGGGTGTGGTGGTGGGCACCTGTAGTCCCAGCTACTTGGGAGGCTGAGGCAGGAGAATGGCATGAACCCGGAAGGTGGAGCTTGCAGTGAGCTGAGATCGTGTCACTGCACTCCAGCCTGGGCGACAGAGCGAGACTCCGTCTCAAAAAATAAATAAATAAATAAAAAGATTGGAAGAGCTGTGGTTTCCATAAGCAAAAGATTCTGGAAAAGATAAGGCGACTGCCCTAGTGTCTTGGAGACTTTGAATTGATGCTTTGGCTGGGCCTGAGATGGTGAGAATAAGCAGTAGAAAGAAAAAGGGAAGAGTTCACACAGCCCTCTCTGTCTTCTCTCTGCCCCTGGGAGCTACATGATTACATTGAGTTGTGTGGAAGGGAAAAGGATAATGTGAAACCCCAGCCCTCTGCCAAAAACTAAAGGGAGGCTGCAGTAATAGCAGAGTCTTCCATGCAACCATGCAGATAATTTAGCTGTTCTGTGGCCAAATCCTGCTTCCTTTCCTCCTGCCTTCCCATCTCTTCTTTCTCATCCTGTGTCATCCCATCCCACCCTAGGAACCTGCACGGGGTCCTCGCGGACCATCTCTGCCGTTTCACCATCACAAGGGTTTACATGGGGGCTAGACCCGGAAAATGCACGGTCCCTGTCAAATCTGCCTAATTTCCACCTCATTTGTACCCTAACCTTCTGAGAGAATAACTGGACCCTAAACATAGTTCTTGGTTTGGTCCTCAACTTCAGTGGCCTGGCTATGCTTTTGTTGTGCTCCAGAGGTTTGGATTAAAAATGTGGATATATGGAGGAAGACTTCTTCTAGGATTTAGAGAACCTGAGCTGAAGTTGGAAGCCTGCAGTGGAGTGGGTACAGACATGACCAATGCTTGGCAGACAAATAGGCAGTCCTAAGTACTGCCCCGCAGCCCACTAACAGGTTAATGGAACCACGGCCCTCGCCTGACCTAGTTGAAGGAGATATACAATCAGGCTTTCTGGACCTGCTGCAGTCATGACCTAATTTTCTAAAAGAATCTCAGCAACACCAGAAAGACTCTCCCTCATTTCTCCCCCAACCTGGGAACATTTAGTGCTGAACAGAAAGAGACCCTTAATCAGCAGTGCTTCCTTTGAGCTACTGCCAGCCCAACATCCCAAGTGTCTCCTCGCGAGCCAGCTCTGTCACTGATCCTTCTGTGCCCAAGTGGCCTGGCCACACCAGCACCCTTCACATATGCATGAGCTTTCACCCTGGTGTCTGTGCAAGTTTGTGCTCATGTACTCAGCTGGCTGTTTTGAAATCACACTCTGTTCAAAATTGTGTCACCCAAGTACTTCCTGAATTTTTACTAGCACTGTTTCAGGAAGTCAAGCATGTTGATGTTTACTCTAAGTGCCTTTTTAATAAGTAACTTACACTGTTTTTCCCTTGCCCTCATCTGGCAGAAGGCCAGCCAGACTTACCCTCGTACATCTCCAGGATGTGAACTGTGTCACCGATCTGCAAGGAGAGCTCCACATCTTGAGAAGCATTGTAGTTATAGATCGCTGGAAATGAGAAATAAAAAAGGGAAATTAGAATGCATGTCACTTGGCTGGGCACGGTGGCTCACGCCTATAATCTCAGCACTTTGAGAGGGTGAGGTGGGTGGATCATGAGGTCAGGAGTTCAAGACCAGCCTGGCCAAGATGGTGAAACCCCATCTCTACTAAAAATACAAAAATCAGCTGGGCGTAGTGGCAGGCGCATGTAATCTCAGCTACTTGGGAGGCTGAGGCAGGAGAACTGCTTGAACCCGGGCAGCAGAGATTGCAGTGAGCCGAGATCACGCCACTGCACACCAGCCTGGGTGATAAAATGAGACTCCGTCTCAAAAAAAAAAAAAAAAGAATGCATGTCACAGTGAACAATTCGGTCAACAAACAACTCTCTATTTAATAATTTCATGTGAATTGCCCACTGTAAAGCACAGAAATGGATCCTCATTTCCCCCATCCAACAAATATGGATCAGTTGCCTGCTACACATCACGAACTGTGTTAGAGACTAGTGATAGAGGGGCAAATCACATGGACATGGCCCCTGTCCCCAGGGAACTTAACAGTTGAGTGGAAGGAAGAAAGATATCAAATATATAATCACAGAAATAACTAGTTAAAGTTGTGATAAGTGTTAGGAAAGAAACAATCCAGTTACAATGAAAATATATTGTGGGATTTTGTTAGTCAGTGCCCTTGTTCATCAGACAACAGCCAGCCTGCAAGAACACGGAACTGATGATCTCTAGTACACAGGCGAGCCATGTCCTGGCTTCCATGGCACAGTATCTGATGGCAAAAGGCCACCTGTGAGGCCCATCCACCCTCCAGTGACAAACTGACACAGGGCACGGTGCAACGATGGTGCCTGGCCCCAGCCCAGGGCACCCTGGGCAACTGGGTTACCCCAGCACTTCCTAATCAAGGTGACCTCAGCCACCACAGTCTTTAGGGCTGGCAATGGCTGGGCCGGGTTGTGAAAAATGATAGACTAACTCATAACTCAAAAAAAGAAGACAACCCAATTTTAAGACAAGCCAGAGCTTTGAATAGATATTTTGCCAAAAATTATGTATGAATAGCTAACAGGCACACGAAGAGATGTTCGACACTATTAGTCATGGGAAAATACAAATTAAAACTACAGTGAGATACCACTCCACACCCACTAGAATGGCTATGATAAAGAAAAAAGAAAAGGCAGACAAATGGCAAGAATGTGGAGAAACTAGAACTCTCCCGCATTGCTGGTAGGAATGTAACATGATACAGCCCCTTCTGAAAACAGTTGGGGAACTTCTCAAAAAGTTAAACATAAATTTACCATAGGTCCTAGCAATCCATTCCTAGGTACCTACAAAGAGAAATGAAGCCATGTGTCTACATAAGAACCTTATGTGAATGTTCAGAGCTGCAGTGGTGGGCTGTAAAGGTGCCCCCCGGCCAAAAGAAATCCACATCAAATCCCTGGAACCTGTGTATCTTACCCTGTAAGGCAAAAGAGTTGATTAAGTTAAGGTTTTTTTTTTAATTATTCTTTAAGCTCTGGGATATATGTGCAGAACATGCAGGTTTGTTACATAGGTATACACGTGCCATGGTGGTTTGCTGAACCCATCAACCCGTCATCTACATTAGGTATTTCTTCTAATACTATCCCTCCCCTAGACCCCCACCCCCCAAAAGGCCCCAGTGTGTGATGTTCCCCTCCCTGTGTCCTTGTGTTCTCATTGTTCAACTCCCACTTATGAGTGAGAACATGTGGTGTTTGGTTTTCTGTTCCTGTGTTACTTTGCTGAGAATGATGGTTTCCAGCTTCACCCATGTCCCTGCAAAGGACATGAACTCATCCTTTTTTTATGGTTGCATAGTATTCCACGGTGTATATATGCCACATTTTCTTCATCCAGTCTATCATTGATGGGTAGTTGGGTTGGTTCCAAGTCTCTGCTATTGTGAATAGTGCCACAATAAACATACATGTGCATGTGTCTTTATAGTAGCATGTTTTATAATCCTTTGGGTATATACCCAGTAATGGGATTACTGGATCAAATGGTATTTGTGGTTCTAGATCCTTGAGGAATCACCACACTGTTTTCCACAATGATTGAACTAGTTTACAGTCCCAAAAACAGTGTAAAAGTGTTCCTCTTTCTCCATGTCCTCTCCAGCATCTGTTGTTTCCTGACTTTTTTTTTTTTTGAGACGGAGTCTTGCTCTGTTGCCCAGGCTGGAGTGCAGTGGAGTGATCTTGGCTCACTGCAACCTCCACCTCCTGAGTTCACACCATTCTCCTGCCTCAGCCTCCCCAGTAGCTGGGACTACAGGTGCCCGCCACCAAGCCCAGCTAATTTTTTTTGTGTTTTTAGTAGAGATGGGGTTTCACCATGTTAGCCAGGATGGTCTCGATCTCCTAACCTCGTGATCCACCCGCCTCAGCCTCCCAAAGTGCTGGGATTACAGGCGTGAGCCACCGTGCCCAGCCTCCTGACTTTTAACGATCGCCATTCTAACTGGCTTGAGATGGTATCTCATTGCAGTTTTTATTTGCATTTTTCTAATGACCAATGATAAGGATTTTGAGAGGAGCTCTCTTCCCTGAATTATCAGGGTGGCCTTAAATGCAATCGCATATATCTTTATAAGAGAGAAAGAGAGAGAGCTGAGAGACACACCTGAGAGAAGGCGACATGCAGATGGAGGCTGAGATTGAACTGATGTGACTGCAAGTCAGAGAAGGCCAGTATCCACCAGAAGCTGGAAGAAGCAAGGAACAGAACCTCCCCGAGGGCCTCCGGAGGGAGCACAGCCCTGTTTGCACCTTGACTTCCTAACTCCCATCTCCAGAACTGTGAGAGAATAAACCCCCACTGTCTTGAGACATCAAGTGTATAATTTGTCACAGCAGCCACTGAAATCCACTACAGTAGCATTATTCACAATAGCCCCCAAAATGGAAATAATTTATTAACTGATGAAAGGATACACAAAGTATGGTATATCCATGCAATGGAATACTATGCAGCAATGAAAAGAAATGGAATACAGACACATACTGCAACGTGAATGAACCTCAAAACATTACACTAAAGGAAAGAAGCCAGATGCAAAAGACCACATAGTTTATGACACCATTTATTCAAAATGTCCAGAATTTAGCAAATCTATCAAAGGCAATATAGGAGATTATTGGTTGCCTGGGGCTGTGAGGAGGGAATGGTGATTGACCACAAAAGGCCCTAAGGAGCTTCTTGGGGAGATGAAAACATCCTAAAACTGGGTTGCGGTGATATTTACACAACTCTGTAAATTTACTAAAAATCAGTGAATTATATGCTTAAAACGGGTGGATTTTATGGTATATAAATTACACTTGACGGAAGCTGGTTTTTTTTTTTTTTTAAGTAGATTTACTTCTTACCCTCACTCTACTGATGAGGGAACTACATCTTTCCAGGAAAAAAGAACTCCCTTAGAGATTCAGCTCTAGCCATGGACTTGACAATCCAAGGAACCCATAAGGCTCCCATCTCTGCAGGCCTGATGAGTGGCCATCCACACTGATGAATGGATAGTCACTCAGTCCATCAGTATATCCCACAGGGAAGAAAGGCGTCCTTGACATTGCCAGTGGTGGGTCTTCCCGGCTCTTCCCAGCTCTTCCCTGGGCCTGCAGTGCACCCTGCACCTGCAGCTTGGCTTACATCACAGTCAACCTCTCAGTGAGCAGGAAGGAGCACACGTCCAGCCACCTGTTTTCCAGTGGCCTCTCCTTGATAAAGGAAGTCATCCAAGTAGTGCTCTCCTGCACTCCTGGCACAGAAGCCTGGACAAAGTATGTTGGAATTTATTTTACTATTGAGCTTATGGACTAGGCTATGAATTTACAACCAGGATTGGCTGGTGACATAGGTTAGGAGAAATCGCACGCGATTCAGAAGTAGGAGTAATTCCCAATTCCTAGACTTTCTCATGGGTAACTGGGCCACCGCTGCTATTCCAGTGGAGTTCAACTCCTTCATTCGTCTGCTGGTTTACGCAAATGCTCTGCCTGCTAGTTTGGCAGACCTCATATCCTTGACATCTCCTACTCCCTATTCATGGCCTTGTACTGAAATGGTCCCTTCCATTGGCCCCCTTCTCAAATGAAAACAGGAAGTAGTGAGGTCACTGAGTCACAATGCATTGTGTAATGACCAAGCTTCACCTCTTCCTGGTTCCGGTCATTGGAAAAGTAAGCAGAAGCTCTCAAAGGCAGCACCTTGCACTGGAAGCTCCAAACACAAACACCTACCAAGGACTGCTGGAAACACACACAC
This sequence comes from Homo sapiens, assembly GCF_000001405.40. Lineage (NCBI taxonomy): Eukaryota > Metazoa > Chordata > Mammalia > Primates > Hominidae > Homo > Homo sapiens. Next base: position 25,239,360 of record NC_000008.11, on the reverse strand, counting down.
ACACACACACACACACACATACACACACACACACACACACATATACACGCACACACCAAAGACCGGTTTGCTTAAAACCTAGATCTCTAAGCCTGACCCAAAATACCTCCAAAATTGTCCCAGCCCGTAATTATCTGTCTTTGTCTCCACTATCTGCGAAATTCCAGCCTACTCTCCAGTGAAGACTCCTATGTTCTCCCCTAAATTCTGAGCTCAGTCCATGGTTTGTTTCTGCCTAGAACAAGGGCCTGTCTTGATTTGTAACAATCCAAATCTCACATCCACAATGCAATTCAACAAATGGCTACTAGCTCCCGATTACCTGCGTGGATCTCTTTCTTCTCTGACATTCCACAACAATTTTCCCTTCCAGCGCAGTTTGGGTTTTTAATCATAGACAATCTTGTGTAATTGTCTGCCATCAATTAGAAGGAAATCCCTATGATTGGGGCCCTCGTTACACATTACTTTTGTGTCTTTCTCATTACAAGGCACAGGCTTAGTCCCAAAGAAAGTACTCAAGGTATAATAACGATGTCAGAAAAGAATATATTTTAAAAACACATATTTTTATCTCTTCTATAAAATCCATCAAAAAATTCAGTTATTCACCACTTCTTCCCCAAACTCAAACACACTTCTGCTTTCCTCCAGAGCAGAGGCTGTGGTTTCCCATCACTCAAGAAAGGGTTACTAAAATCACTTCTCCATCCATTTGGTTTATCACAAGAGAGAATCTGCCTCTCCAACCTAAGCTTTCAAAGAGATTCATGTTAGAAGCACATCCCTTCAAGAATGCCTTTCACTGGAATGAAAAGTCACCGCTTAGAGGATGTTTGTACAATCTGTTTCATGTCTCTGGGCAAAAGCACAAACAAGATTTCCAATCACCGCCGTCATCTATTCATTCTAACTCTTGGGTTTGGTAGTATGCCCTCCATATCATAATATACCTCACATTTCCAGCGTATTTCATAGTTTACTTTCATATATATCTTAGTAATTGTATACAGTGGATGCCAGGTGTCACATTATTTAATGCGGAAGCTGAGACTCAGAAGGGTTAAACCCAGCTTGCAAGCAGCAAAGCTGTTATAAAGCTGGTCTATTCATCACATTTGACCAAGCCAGTCCATAGTGGTGAAGATATGCCCTGGAATAGCCCAGAAACAAAGAGAAGAGCCTAGATTTCTCTCTTTAAATGACCATCCTACTTCCCAAACCAAGCTTTCTCATCACACACATCAGTGACTGGTGATCACATTGTCCGCTAGTCTGATGCTATTTCAAGAATGAGAGTACAGCTAATGCACTTAGTGGGCCCATAGTTTCTTTCTAGAACATGAATAACTGTTATAGAGAAAGCTAGAGAAATGGGAAACCAAGAAAAACCTCAGGGTAAGCAAAACGGATTCAAGACTCAACTTTACCACTTACACAATGCATGACCTTGAATGAGCTACTAAGCCTAGGCCTCAGTTTCTTATCTGTAAAACAGGATTGCCTTTAAAGAGCCCTCTGGTTCTAACGCCTTCTGATTCACGGGGTAATGAGAAGAGGCAAAAGAAACATGTGCCATTTTTGAACCGGCAGGCACCACCACAATCTCTTGTTTTGACTGAGGAAATTAAACAAGAACCGGGAGTTGCTGTACATACGTTGCCTCGCTGGCTGCCATGAACAGCACTGGGAAAGACAAATTGCTGGAATTCTTCCCTAAGCAGCTTACTGTTTATAACAGGAAAGTATAATTTTGCAGAGCCAAGTAGACAAGACAAAATAGTTTGCATTTTACTGAATCTTTGATTTGGCTCTTTCTTTTAAACCAGGCTTACATGAGAGAAGAAAACTGAAGTCCTGGGATTATGCAATAAGAAACCAACAGAACAGACTTACTGGCTGCAAACTGAGTGATCAGTTTTGACAATGAAAAGTCTGTAGGCTAGAAAGTAATAAATATTTCTTTTTTTATGTTTATTTTTTATTTTTTTGAGACAGGATCTCACTCTATCAACCAGGCCAGAGTACAGTGGCACAATCGTGGGTCACTGTAGCCTTGACCTCCCTAGGCTCTGGTGATCCTCCCGCCTCATCCCCCCAAGTACCTAGAACGACAGGCATGTGCCACCACACCTGGCTAATTTTTAAAATTTTTTTGTAGAGACAAAGTTTCACCATGTTGGACAGGCTGGTCTCGAACTCCTGGGCTCATGTGATCCACCCACCTTGGCCTCCCAAAGTGCTCAGATTACAGGCATGGGACATCCAGTCCGGCCAAGTAATGAATATTTCTAATGAATGAGATTATTACATGAATCCTCAAATTACAATCCCCTGAAGAATAGCTACATTATATTTTTTATTAGTCACCTGATAGAATCTACAAAAGAAAGATCCAGCAAACACAGAATGAGATACCCATTGGAGACATATATCATTCATAATATTCCAAAGATGACTATGGCCAGGCGCAGTGGCTTATGCCTGTCATCCCAGAACTTTGGGAGGCCGAGGCAGGTGGATAAGTTGAGGTCAGGAGTTCGAGACCAGCTTGGCCAACATGGTAAAACCCCATCTCTACTAAAAATACAAAAAAAAAACCACACAAAAAAACTAGCTGGGTGTGGTGGCTCATGCCTGTAATCCCAGCTACTCAGAAGGCTGAGGCAGGAGAATCGCTTGAACCTGGGAGGCGGAGGCTGCAGTGAGCCAGCATCGCACCACTGCACTCCAGCCTGGGCAACAGAGTGAGACTCTGTTTCAAAAAAAATAAAAAAAAGATGGTTACAATTCTTCTTTTCCATTATGATCTTGATCTGCCTAGTTTCAGATATGCATTCTATAAAAACTAAAGAGGCACAACTCATCTTTGATCTTCATCTTGGCTTTCCTGCAATGATATCCAAGAGGGCCAAACAGATTTCATTTTCTTATGCTCTGTAATTACACTGTACTATAAGGACAAGAAAATCATATTCAATAATAGGTATAACACCAAGAAGTCAAATCTGTGGTTTTAGGATGATAATTACAAGTAGGTTCCAAATCAGTCTTTCTACAATGAGATGACCATCACGCCACCTCTCTGCTCAGACCCATCCAGGACGGAGGCTATCAGGTTAGGACATCAGCTCTACTTCTCACCAACAGTACTCCATAAGAGCAGGCTCTTACAGGATTCTTAACTTCATTTTCTAGATAGTTTAGGAGAAGAGAGGATTTCATAATCAATGCATTGATTACTATTTAGAAATCTCTATCTTGGCCAGGTGCAGTGGCTCATGTCTGTCATTCCAGCATTTTGGGAGGCCGAGGCAGGTGGCTCACTTGAGGCCAGGAGTTCAAGATCAGCCTGGCCAACATGGTAAAACCCAGTCTCTACTAAAAATATAAAAATTAGACAGGCATGGCAGCACGCACCTGTTATCCTAGCTACTCGGGAGGCTGAGGCATGAGAATCGCTTGAATCTAGGAGGTGGAGGTTGCAGTGAGCTGAGATCGTGCCACTGCACTCCAGCCTGCACGACAGTGAGACTCCGTTTCAAAAAAAAAAAAAAAAAAGGAAAAGAAAAGAAAAAAATCTCTATCTTAAAGATTACATATATTTGTGAAGGGAATAGATAAATATCTTGAACTGGAGGGGTATTTCTCAGATATAAACTCAAATATTGTTTCTTGATTGCCTCACTGGCAGCAAGTGATGACTTAGAAGCCACATCATTTACATGAATATGACATTAAATTTATATGAAATGCTTACAGCAGGAAAGCAGAAACAAGGCAATTCGAAATTACAGAACAAAGGCCCAGCATAGTGGCTCACGCCTGTAATCCCAGCATTTCGGGAGGCTGAGTGGGAGGATTGCTTGACCTCAGGAGTTTGAGACCAGCCTGGGCAACATAGGGAGACCCTGTCTCAAAAAATTATAAAAATTAGCCAGGCATAATGGTGTGTGCCTATGGTCCTAGCTACCCGAGAGGGTGAGGTGGGAGGATCGCTTGAGCCCAGGAGGTTGAGGCTTCAGTGAGCTGAGATTGTAGCAGTCGAGGCTACAGTGAGCTGAGATTGTACCACTGCACTACGTAGGCGACAGAGCAAGATCCTGTCTCAAACAAACAAACAAACAAAAACAAAATTACAGAACAAAAAGTCTATGGTGTATAATCATAGGAGTTTTTTCCCACAGCTTCCTCCTCTGAAAAAGGGAGGCAACAGTACATTCTTCCTATGGTTTTGTGAGGCCCAAAAAGGAGAATTTGTGCAGGGCCAGAATGATGACTAACACCTGGCAGACAGTGAGTAAAGAGCAGTCTCCTCCCCTCCACTCCTTCCCCTTTCTCGCCGTGTCCAGCTTCCCATTCAGGGCATGGTGACACCTACATCCTCAAAGATGGACACTAACCCCTCATCAATAAACCAGTGGGAGTCGGTCAATGAAAACAGTGAATCAGGAAGGACTGGAGAGGTCAAGAACAAATCAGCCTCAATGGTCCTTCCAAGGCAATGGTTGATGGACAATGAAATGCAGATGTCTTTGATTAGAGCAAAGCCATTTTATTGCAGGCCGCTAAATACAGAGCTCCTTTAAGAAACAGCACCAGGTGCGGGGAGTATTTTAATACATTCACCATTTCTTGCTGCCCCTTCCAAGCATTTCTGCAACAATTCATTGAGAAACCAGGGTATTATCCAGAATACTAAAGATGGCCTCAGCCATGTACTCACCACAGGACCCTCAGGCTGTATATAATATCAAAGGTACACATGCTAATGTTATTCATGCCTATAGTTCTATTAGCCTCCATTTTTCTCAATGAATATCTTCCTTATTAAACAAAATAGGAAAAAGTAAAACAGAAAAAAATCTGATAGCAACTATTGCAGTCTTTAATAATGAAGGAAAACAGCTCACTACCCAGCCCAGAACATCTTTTCCAAAGCAAATAAAGTCTCCTTATCAGGTTCTTCTTGGTACACATCCTTATGAAACAAAAGGTGAACAGATCTAAGATTAAGACGGTCACATCTAAGACTCTGTTGAGCTAAGACTCTGTTATAGACAGAAATCATCACTAAGGAATAGAGAATCTGAAGATAAATGCCAGAGGTTACTGTGGAATCTAGAAAAAGCACTTTTAAATGATAGTTGAGGATGTCACCGATTATCCTCTCTATATGTACATGAATGAGACAAACACATTTCACTGAGAAAAGCAATGATCCCCAACCAGGCTACACAAGTCATTACTTTGACAATAACAACCTAAAAAATGCAAGTACAACAGCAGCTTCCGGCCCTGGGCCAGTCTGAGGACAAGCTCTGGCCTGACTCCTTTAACCTCTGGATCCTACTCAGGAGGATTTTAGAACTGAATCTCAACTTCCTGGGTATTTATATACTCCAGAATCACACCCTACTGAAATTGCAGTGAGGAAACAGAAGGATAGGACATGTGTACATAGGTGTGTGTGTGAAGTTCAAAGTGACAGACCTGATGTGATTATTTCACATTGCATGTCTGCATCAAAACATCTCGTGTACCCCATAAATATATACACCTACTATGTACTTATAAAAATTAAAAATAAAACAAAATTTTTTAAAAAGTGAAGCACTAAAAAATATCTAGAATTTTAAAAAAGAAAGAAAAGTGATAGACCAAGGCGAACAAAATTACAGCTGTGCCATTGAAGATATTTTCCATAATGTGGCCAAAAAACTACCATCCTGGACTCTAGGGCAAGTGATTCAATCTTTGCAGGCTTCTGTTCCCTCATCAGTAAAGTGAGCTGGTGTTTTACCTAACTCTTCTGGTTAAGAATAAAATGAGAAGAAACAACGAGCAACTATTGGTCATGTCTTTGGAACCAAGATCTTTCAGCATCAAAGACAAGTACACAATCAAAAAGGTTAACTGATTCTGGGATGACGTGGGTTGGAAATATCAGTTTGAATTTGGGATTTGTTTTCTACCTAAAAAATACATATATCAATTCTACTTGTTGCCCAGGTGGACTAGGGAAGCAACCCATCAGGGACCAGATGAATTATCCTGCTTTAAGCATTAAAAACTAGGCAAAATGTACATGACACGTTGGTTTTCAGACACTGAACAGCAGGCAATGCAGGGAGTGATACCTGAGAGGAGAGAAACAGATAAGTGAAGTCTACACCTGCCTGCACTTACTGCTTGAACAGGGTTTCCAGGCTATTGTGCAGGCAGCCAGTGGTCACTCTGAGACCAGGAGAGTGGAGAATTCAGGGGGGTCAAGGTGGCTAGAATGTGCAGGGCAGAGAACCAGAGAGAAGAGGGCTGCTCAGAGAGAGTGCTAGAGATGTGTAGAAGGTTCCCCAAGTCTTTAGCTGAGTACTGGTCAGTGCATGTGTGTGAAAATACCCGAGGCTAAGAAAAAAATCACTGGAAAAGAGCAAGAGGCATTGTTCCCAACCCACGCACATGGATGAGAACAGCTTACAGATCCCACAACCAGAGTAGAGAAAGCTTGGAATATGAGGGTACTGGGCTGAGAGCTCAGAAGGGTACTAAGTACTCGGTAGTGCAGTGTTACAGACTGAATGTTTGTCTCCTGTACCCCTAAATGTTTATGTTGAAATCTACGCCCATAGTATTAGGTATTAGGAGGTGGGCTTTTGGGAGGTAATTAAGTCATGAGGGTGGAGCTCTCATGAATGGGATTCGTGCTCTTATAAAAGGCCCCAGAGAGCTCACTTGCCCTTTTTGTACCATGCAAGGACACAGTGATAAGTTGGCAGTCTGCAACCCAGAAGGTTGCCCTCACCAGAACCTGACTGCCCTCACCAGAACCTGACAATGCTGGAACCTTGACCTTGGACTTTGAGCTGCCAAAACTGTGAGAAATCTATTTCTGTTGTTTACTAGCCACCCAGTCTATGAGACTTTGTTATAGTATCCCAAATAGACTTAGACATGTAGCCAAACTGGCCCCAGAATAAAGGCTGTGTTGGTCCTGCATAACAAAGCTTAAATGCAAACCTTGAATACGTTTCCTAGCTCAGCCTTGTTCTGCATTGCATTGCATCTGCATTGCATTGCATTGCATTCTGCATTGCAGAATCCTCCCAAGAGGATTAAATTCATGACTGACATCTGGTTCAAGATTACCAAGTAGCCAAAGAAGAAGAAAAATATTACTCATAGTTAGGAGAAAAGAGACTTTTAGAAAAAGACCCAGAAATGACATAGATCAGGCAACAGAACAAGTCCTAATTAATTTAAAAGGATGCAAATCATACAAAGCATTTTCTTTGAATACAATAGAATTGAATTACCAATTAGTATCAGAAAGGTACTTAGGAACTCTCAAAATATTTGAAAACTAAACACACACCTCTAAATAACCCGAGGAACATTCCAATATCAACATCACCCAACATATTATGATGAAAAAAGGAAAAAAATATGATCATCTTAATAGATATAGAAAAGACATTTGGTAAAATCTGATCTCTATTCATAATAAAAACCTGTCAGCAAAGTAGAAAAAAAATCCATCATACACATCTAGAAAACACCATAATGAACTGTTAAATATTAAATGTGCTCCTCTAATACCAGGTACAAGGCAAAGATATCTGCTTGAATCGCTCTATTTCACATTTTAAGGGTGGGTCTAGCTAATGCAATAAGGCAAGAAAAAGAAATAAAAGGCATATTAATTACAAAGGATAATATAAAATTGTGTTTATGAGCAAATACCATGATTATCTATATAGAAAATCTTAAGGCATTTGCAAAAACAAAGTTACTACAACTAATATGTGAGTTTTTAGGGAGGTTTCAGGGCCTAATTTTTTGGTCAATGTATAAGAATCCATTGTATTTCTCTATACTACAACAAACAATATGAAATTGCTTGGTTATGATAAAAAGTGCATTTCTTCCCACGAAGTGCAAGTGTAGTAATCTGAAGACTATGCCCCAGAGAAACACTTGCACAAGTGTACCAGGAAATATGTCCAAGAAAGTTCACGGAAGCACTGTGTGTGATAGCCCTTTGAAAAGAGATTCACCCCTAATGTCCATGGAAAGGAAAACGGAGAAATAAATTATGGCATATTCAGATATAGAATTCTATATGGCAGGGAAAATGAGTGCATGCATGACACTAACAGAATGTAGAGAGAATTGAAAAATTATAGAAAAAATATACACAGGATGATGCCTTTAGATATAATACCAAGTCTTACAAAACTAAGTGAAATGAATTTGCATATACATATGTGTATGGATGATAAAACTACAGAAAAAAAAGGAGGAAATGAAACACACTAACCCGAGGGTATGTTTACATCCAGGGTGGGGCCAAGGTGTCAGACAATTAGGGAAGAGCATGAGTATAGGATTAATATACTGAGAATCATGTTGTTTGCAATTCATTTGACAGGGATATGTAGGTACTTTTGCTACTGTTCTTCTTCATACTCTTCGCAAATGGTGTAAATTTATTTATTTATTTATTTATTTTTGAGATGGAGTCTCACATCATCACCCAGGCTAGAGTGCAGTGGCACCATCTTGGCTCACTGCAACCTCCCCTTCCCAGGTTCAAGTGATTCTCCTGCCTCAGCCTCCCAAGTAACTGGGGTTACAGGCATGCACCACCACACCTGGCAAATTTTTGTATTTTTAGTAGAGACAAGGTTTCACCATGTTGGCCAGGCTGGTCTCAAACTCCTGGGCTCAAGCAATCCTCCCACTTTGGCCTCCCAAAGTGCTGGGGTTACAGGCATGAGTCACCATGCCCAGCCTGGTATAAATATTCTTCATGCATTCAATGTTTAATTAAAACAACAAAAACCAGTTAGACAGATATTTATATATGTATGCAGGAGAGGATCATAATGACAAAAGGAAACCTGTTTACATAATTGATGGCACGTTAACACAAACCTACATATAGGTATTATTCCAGTGGTTCGCGACGTTTAGCACACATCGGAATTACGTGAGAGGCTTCCTCCAACCCAGGTTGCAAGGTCCCAAACCTAGTTTCTGATTCAGTAGGTTGGGAATACAGCCCAAGAATGTGTGTTTGTAGCACATTCTCAGATACCACTGGTGCTCCTGGTTCAGAGATGACATTGCAAAACTCCTGCATTACTATATGTGAGCCTCATGCAAACCAGCAGAGAAGAAAGAGCTCATAGTCCTCGTTTTACAGATAAAGAAACATAATCTCTGAGAGATTAAGAGGTCTGCAGTATTACATAATATTTAATCACACCAGCTCTGGACTCAGACTGTTTATGTCCAACCCTGGCTCTATACTTGCTGATTCTTATTGAAGGTAATTCTAGATCCAATTGCAGTTTTCACTTACGAGAAAACTATGACCTGAATAAAGTAGCTTGCTTAAAATCATAGAGAATTAAAAGCAGTCTAGGATGAGCAAGCTGGAACCATTTTTTTCAAGGGCCACATTAGTGATCTTTATAATAAATTTTACCCTGTATTAAATTATACTTTTACAGTGAACAATAAAAACAGTGGAGGAATAAAAACAAATGACCAATTACCTTTTATGCAATGAAGGAATGATAATCAATCAAATAAACAAATGAAACATTCAGGTCTATGAATTATTAAATATGAATATATCAGAGGGTTAGAATGACCCTCTGATATATTTTCCTTCTTCATATATATATGTAAGCAACCAAATAAAATTTTCTTTTTGAGATACAATTAGTCGCAATCAATTCAAAGCAAAGAAACGAAAAATTCTTTTCAATCTCATTTCTTCTTCCAGTCTGAAGAAAGGTAAATCAGTATTTCTATGACTTAATTTTAAAAGAAATGAAAACTTAAATTCACCGGAACTGCACTTTTTTTTTTTGATACAGAGTCTAGCTTTGTCGCCCAGGCTGGAGTGCAGTAGCAAGATCTCAGCTCACCGCAACCTCTGCCTCCCGGGTTCAAGAGGTTCTCCTGCCTCACCTCCAGAGTATCTGGGATTACAGGTGACCATCACCATGCCCGGCTAATTTTTGTATTTTTAGTAGAGATGGGGTTTCACTATGTTGGTCAGGCTAATCTCAAACTCCTAACCTCAGGTGATCTGCCTGCCTTGGCCTCCCAAAGTGCTGCGATTACAGACGTGAGCCACTGCACCTGGCTCCAAGCAATTTGTTTAAGTCAAGAAACGTATGTGTGGCATTCTTTCTGGTTCCTGCATCTGCGACTTTTCGTTGCCTTCAAGTTCAACTGAGTGTAAAATTCTTGCATCACAATTTTTTTTTTTTTTTTTTGGTAGACATGAGGTCTTACTACGTTGCCCAGACTGGTCTTGAACTCCTGGGCTCAAGTGATCCTCCCGTCTTGGCCTCCCCGAGTGCTGGGATTACAGGTGTGAGACACTGTGCCCAGCCCACAAATTTTTTTTGTTTAAAAGATTGAAAGAAGAACCAAGAAAATAGATACACATCATGTTCCTGTAGGAAAAAAAGTAATCTTACGAAGAGTTCAATTCTCTAAATAAAACATAGACTAAATTAAATTCCAAATGAAATAAAAAAGGTTTTTAGAAAATGACACAAAAATGGTAATAAAATATATCTGGAAGAATAAACATGTGAAAAAAGGTTAAAAATAGTTTAAAATAGCTTGAAAATGAAAAATTAAAGGGAGACTTGCCTCAGCATATTTATGTCAGGTTACCACTGCCACGGCAACGCATGGAAGTTACTGCCCTTCCCATGGCAACAACCCAAAGACACAGAAGCTACAATCCTTTTTCTAGAAATTACTGCATACTCTGCCCCTTAATCTGTCTGTAACTCAAAGTGGTATAAATATGACTGTAGAACCAGAGCTGCCATTGTGGGCACACTGCCTATGGGGTAGCCACAAGGAACAGCCCCTCTGCCACTGCTGTACACTGCCACTTCAATCAAAGTCACTGTTTAACACCACTGGCTCACCCTTGAACTCCATCCTAAGTGAAGCCAAGAACCCTCCCAGGTTAAGCCCCAATTTGGGGACACACCTATCCTGCATCATGTATGGGTATTAAGTTAGACAGTTACTGATAAAATTGCCATAACTTTTTCTAAGTGGAACAAAACTATGCTGAAATATCTTAGTATATGATGTTCTATTTTCATTAAATAAGTAAATGTGTGTTTCAAAAACACAGAAAATGGCCAGGCATGGTGGCGCACACCTGTAATCCCAGCACTTTGGGAGGCCAAGGCAGGCAGATCGCTTGAGCCCAGGAGTTTGAGACCAGCCTGAGCAACAGGGCAAAACTCCATCTCTACAAAAAGTTAGCCAGGTGTGGTGGTGCATGTCTGTGGTCCCAGCTACTCAGGAGGCTGAGGTGGGAGGATCACTGGAGCCTGGCAGGTGGAGGCTGCAGTAGGCCATGATCCTGCCACTGCACTCCAGCCTGGGTGACAGAGAGAGACCTTGTCTCAAAAAAACAAACAACAACAACAACAACAAAAGCACAGAAAAACATCTTCATGTCCATACTATAAATTATTAATGGATGCTTAGAAAACTAGAGAAAGTATTATCTAATACTTTGTAGTTTGCTTGACAAAGATGAGGATATATCTTTATTCATAAAACACAATGAGACATACAAATACATACACACACCAGATTATATGTGGTAGATTTAAATAGGATTAGAACCTCACTTGGACTTTTTTAAATAACTGAACAAATGGTTTAAAACGTCATAAGAAGGAAAAAGTATCTGAGAGTTCACAACATTTTGAGAAGGGAAAAATGGCAAGGGATTTTGCTTTCAAGACATTGGAACTTTCTATAAGGTTTACATACCCAAAGCAATCTAGCACTGACACAGAAATAAAAAAATAAATCAATGGAATCAAATAAGAAAATATCCAAAATGCATATAATTATGTATTTTAATTTAGCAGGACAAATGATTTAATAAACAGCATGGGTATAATTGGCTATTTGCTTGAAAAAAAAACAAAATTAGACTCCCTATCTTTTATCACATCCAAAAAAAATGCAAGTAATAAATTTATAAAAGCTACTCAACTTCCTAACTATATGTTTGAAAGATCACAGCAAGCCATTTTCTACCTGCAGATTACAGTACCTGGCCCTCATGGGAGGTCGGCAGTCAGGCTTCTCACCAGATGTGGTGTGAACGTGAGCTGCTCTGGACTTTTTGAAAAACAATCTGGCACTACTCTTGACCTAGCAACACTTTTTGAAATTCGGCAGAAGTCAGAACAACCACAATAAAATGGTAATATGAATAAGGCTGTTTATTGCAACACTGTAGTGGCAACAAAACTGGAAATAACCTGAAGGTTCAGAAAAAGGAAACGTGAAATAAATCATGGTACACACATCCCACAGATAATTAGTCACCTTTTAAAGGAAAGTGAGTCAGATCTATATTTGCTGACCTGGAAAGATGTCCATGGTATGGATTTAAAACATGGAGGAGCCGGGTGCGGTGGCTCACGCCTGTAATCCCAGCACTTTGGGAGGCCAAGACGGGTGGATCACGAAGTCAGGAGATCGAGACCATCTTGGCTAACACGGTGAAACCCCGTTTCTACTAAAAATACAAAAAATTAGCCGGGCGTGGTGGCGGGCGCCTGTAGTCCCAGCTACTCAGGAGGCTGAGGCAGGAGAGTGGCGTGAACCCAGGAGGCGGAGCTTGCAGGGAGCTGAGATCACGCCACTGCACTCCAATCTGGGGAACACAGCGAGACTCTCTCTCGAAAAAAAAAAAACTTAAAATTAAAAAAATAAAAAAATAAAACATGGGTAACGTCAGGCATGGTGGCTTGCGCCTGTAATCCCAGGCCTAGACGGGCAGATCACCTGAGGTCAGGAGTTTGAGACCAGCCTGGCCAACATGGCGAAACCCCGTCTCTAATAAAAATAGAAAAAATTAGCTAGGCATGGTGGCACGAGCCTGTAATCCCAGCTACTCAGGAGGCTGAGGCAAGAAAACCACTTGAACCTGGGAGATGGAGGTTGCAGTGAGCCAAGATCATGCCACCTGCACTCCAGCCTGGGTGACAGAGTGAGACTCTGTCCAAAAAAAAAAAAAAAAAAAAAAGCAGCCTATACACACATTTGGCACATATAAGCATTAAGACTAGTGTGGAGGATACATACTACCCTCTTTTTAAATTTTATTTTACTTTTTTCTTAATTTATTTCTATGTTTGTTTCATTTTAACTAATAAACAGATTCAATTTTTCTTGTTTTATTTTACCTGCTAAATGACTTCAGTATTTTTTCTTAATTTTCAATTGTTGTAAAATAAACATAGCATAACATTCACCATCTTAAAGCATTTTCAATTGTACAGTTCAGTAGTGTTAAGTATATTCACACTGTAGTGCAACCAACCTCCAGAACTCTTTCATCTTGCAAAAGTGTAACTCTACACTCATTCAGCAATAACTCCCCATTCACTCTCCAGACTCCCACCCCCTGGTAACTCCCTTTTTACTTTGGGTCCCTTTAACTCTGACTACTCTAGGGACCTCATATAAGTAGAACCACACAGTGCTTTTTTGTGTCTGGCTTATTTCACTTAGCATAACGTCCTCAAGGTTCATCCATGTTGTAGCATGTGTCAGAATTTCCTTTTTTTTTTTTTTTTGAGACTGAGTCTCACTCTGTCGCCCAGGCCAGAGTGCAGTGACGAGATCTCGGCTCACTGCAAGCTCCGCATCCCGGGTTCATGCCATTCTCCTGCCTCAGCCTCCCAAATAGCTGGGACTACAGGTGCCCACCACCACGCCCGGCTAATTTTGTGTATTTTTAGTAGAGACGGGGTTTCACTGTGTTAGCCAGGATGGTCTCAATCTCTTTACCTAGTGATCCGCCTGCCTTGGCCTCCCGAAGTGCTGGGATTACAGGCGTGAGCCACCACGGCAGAATTTCCTTCCTTTTTAAGGCTGAATAATATTCCTTTGTATGGTCAGACCACATTTTATTTCTCCATTCATCTGTACACAATTTTGTTGCTTCCATGTTTTGCTATTGTGAATGGTGCTGCTATGAACACGAGTGTAAAAATATCTCCTCCAGACCCTGCTTTCAGTTCTTTTGGATATACCTAGAAGTGGAATTGCTGGATCACATGGTAATTCTATCTTTAATTTTTGGAGGAACTACCACAATGTTTTCCATAGGGACTGCACCATTTTACATTCCCACCAGCAGAGCACAAGAGTTCCAATTTCTCCACATCCTGGATGACCATTTATTTTGGTTTTTGTTTTTTGTTTTTGATAACAGCCATTCTAATGGATGTGAGGTGATATTTCATTGTGGTTTTGTTGTGCGTTTCCATACTGCTTAGTGGTGCTGAGAATCTTTTCATATGCTCGTGGCCATTTACATATCTTCTTTGAAGAAACGTCTTTTCAAGTTTTTTGCCCATTTGTTAATTGAGTTATGAGGTTTTTTGATGGTTAAGCTGTAGGGCAGATGACTTTCTTCACATCAGTCTCCTGAGAAGGGTGCCAGGGTGGCCCAGAGCAGAGGTGGGGCCAATGAACACAGTAACTTTTTCTTTATACATTTCTGTATTATTTGATTTGTTATAAAACACATGGGGGTTGCCTTTCTGGCTGTTTTTATATCTAATGTGTTATAGGAAGAAAATATGATGCCATGTCTTTCAATGCAGAGAAGAGCCTCAGGCCAGCCTCTACAATTTGCAGTCCATCTTCCCTCAACCATAACTATTTTAAATGAAAGTTTCTCTCCCCTAGTTGAAGCGTTCTTACTTCATTTGTACCTTTTCCAACAACAAGTTAGTAAGATTCAGAGTGACACACTTCCTTGCACTTTTTCTCATGGATATAAGAATGTCCATAATATATGCCACATAGTGAAAAGGAGATATTTGTTTACACACAGAAATGACAAAGATGATTAAGGCCGGGAGCTGTGGCGCATGCCTGTAATCCCAGCACTTTGGGAGGCCAAGGTGGGCAGATCACTTGAGGCCAGGAGTTCGAGACCAGCCTGGCCAACATGGTGAAACCCCGTCTCTACTAAAAATATATAAATTAGCTGAGTGTGGTGGTGCCCGGCTGTAGTCTCAGCTACTCGGGCAGTTGAGGCGGGAAAATCACTTGAACTCGGGAGGCGGAGGTTGCAGTGAGCCAAGATCACACCACTGTGCTCTAGCCTGGGCAAGAGAGCAAGACTCTGTCTCAGAAAAAGAAAACAAAAAACAAAAACAAAGATTTGGAACTCAAGGATAGTATATAAACGTGGAAAGCATGAAAAAAGGATAAAGTTAAAAATGCCTCATTCATTCATTCAACAAATATTAACTGAGTGCAATTTAGCCTTGTTCTCCATGTTGGAGATACAGCAGTAAATAAAACAGAGAAATTGGAGGTGATAAGTGCTGTACAAAATAGTACAAAGCATGGTCAGGGAAACTGTCTGTTATGATGAGCCTCAGTTTTGACAGGTCATGAATTCAATGCTTCATCCATAAAGTACAGGGTCTCGCTGTTTAACAGAAATTTAATCTCAGAGAGATTTTAATAAAACAAAATAATCATCTACCCAAAAGGGCCCAAATCCATCTTAACAAGTAAATGTGTAATCAACACATTTGTTACAAAAGTAAGTTACCTCTCTTGACAATAATAGCAAACCATTCTTATCACTCGCTCTTATTTCATTTTTTATGCCCATTGTTGGTGGTATTAAAAATCACGGCCAGTCCCAGAAGCAGTGGCTCACACCTATAATTCCAGCATGGTAGGAGGCCAAGACAGGACGATTGCTTGAGGACAGGAGTTGGAGACCAGGCTGGGCAGCAGAGCGAGACCTCATCTCTACAAATAATTTAAAAATTAACTGAGCGTGGTGGCCCACGCCTGTAGTCCCAGATACTCAAGAGGCTGAGGTAGAAGGATCACTTAACCTGGGGCAGTCAAGGCTGCAGTGAGCTGTGATTGTGCCACTTTATGCCAGCCCAGATGACAGAGCAAAAACCTGTCTATTAATAAATAAATAAATAAAGCATTCTGGCTGGATGTGGTAGCTTGTGTCTATAATCCCAGCACTTTGGGAGGCCAAGGTGGGAGGATCACTCGAGGCCAGGAGTTCAAGACCAGCCTGGGCAACGTAGTGAGACCTTGTCTCTATATTTAAAATAAGATTTCAAAAATTTTTTTTAAAAACCTTCACATATCAATAGTCCCAATCATAAAACATTCCAGCACATGTACTTTATTTATGGGACTGAGACCCTGAATACATATTCCAAAACTTGGCTCCTAGGTAAGCCACTGGGCTCAAGCAAGGATGGATTAATTAGCTCCTCGGTTCCAGGACTTTCCATGGAAGCACTTCATGGGCACCTGGGCAAGCAGTACTCCAGGTAGGGTGAGAAGCCCTTTAGGAAGGGCATTACTTGGGGTGTCATCTGCTGGCGACGTAGCTGCCAAGGGCACCAAGCGTGCAAGACACTTTTGGCAAATTTCACATACTTTGTCCTCACTGGATGATGGGAATCTGCTTGCAGGCAGGGAAATGCTGAGGACCGACAGCCTCTATGAAGGTCTCATTGAGCTGCCATGGGCTTGGTGCTTGCGGAAGATGAGGACACACAGCCCAGGGCTGCCAGGAGCCCCTGATGGAGGCGAGGAACAGATGGAAGAAAGGGAGATTAGAAAGGAAGAAAGGATTTCTAATGTGCTCTAACTAAGTGTGTTAATGTGGCAATAATTATGATTCCTGGTCTTCATCCTATCAGATTAGAGGGTAAAAGAATGAATTTAGAGATCTTCTTACTTATTCTCATGGAACTCCTGTGAAACAGCTAGAGACGGGGCATATCACACGCTTTTACTCAACGGCTCAGAAAATAAAGGACCATCTGAGTCAGGGGCCGGTTCAGGCCACCTGACTCCTAGGAGAGCTCTCATATCCCCCCAGCCTAGAAGTGAACATAATATGACCCACTGAATTATATTTCCATTTATTTTAAAGACAGGGTTTGGAAACAATTCATAAGTAATAAGGCATGGCCCTCAAGAGTATGGTCTGCCTCTCAGATCCCGTTTGAAATAATACTGGAATTATTCAAAGAAAGACAAATCCATAGCCACCCTAGAAAGCAAACCAAAGCATTAATCATATGCCAGGACCTTGGGGAGAGCATTGTTCTATCTAATAACAGTGCAGAGTGGACCAGCATGAAGAAAGCGAGATCACGAACTCATCCTTTTTCCTTCACAGAAAACAGAGTGTCCTAAACAGCAAAAACCCCTAGCAAAAAGCAATGCTCTCTCTTAACTCGCAGGGCTGACAGCAGGAGAAAAGGTAAGATTCAGAGCACACTTCCTCACTCTCAAAGGCCCTGAAGGTGAGTCTTGGTTGGCATGGGTCAGCATAGCCCTGGCAGTGGGGAGCTGATATGATCAGCGTTACTATGCCATTAGGTGAGCCTGGATATAAGTCCCAGCTCCAAGCACCCACTAACCCTGGGGCTCTGGACAGGTCATTAAACTTCTTTAAGCCTTCATTTTCTCCTCTGCCAATCTGAGGAATAACTGTACACTTTATGCATGATTCCTGTGAGGATTAAATGAGATGAGAACGAAAACTGCTCAGCATGGTCCCTGTAAGTACTCAACTAATGATGATGATGATGATGATGGGATGGTGATGGAGATGATGATGATGGTAGGTAGCAGAAGTGGAATTTAAGATTTGGCAGAATGGGCCGGGCACAGTGGCTCACGCCTGTAATCCCAGCACTTTGGGAGGCCAAGGCAGGCGGATCACAAGGTCAAGAGATTGAGACCATCCTGGCCAACTTGGCGAAACCCCTTCTCTACTAAAAATACAAAAATCAGCCGGGCATGGTGGCGGGCGCCTGTAATCCCGGCTACTCAAGAGGCTGAGGCAGGAGAATTGCTTGAACCCAGGAGACGGAGGTTGCAGTGAGCCCAGACTGTGCCACTGTACTCCAGCCTGGCGACAGAGCGAGACTCCATCTCAAAAAACAAACAAACAAAAAAGATTTGGCAGAATGTAGCTGAAGCTTTTAAAAAGCTTCAAGTATTTTAAATATTTTAATTCTTTGATCTAATAATTTCACTTATCAGATATATTCCTTTGGAAAGAGAAAGACAAGACAAATTAAACATAAAGTTCAGTAATAAACTGGGAGAAGCAGCAAACA
Organism: Homo sapiens; assembly: GCF_000001405.40. Lineage (NCBI taxonomy): Eukaryota > Metazoa > Chordata > Mammalia > Primates > Hominidae > Homo > Homo sapiens. Next base: position 25,221,142 of record NC_000008.11, on the reverse strand, counting down.
AGCTAAATACCCAACAATGGGGGGGACTGAAAAATGAACTGTAGAAATAAAGTGATATAGGTAGCTTGGTCCCAGTTAGGGACAGACTGGAGAGGTAGACTGCTAAGAAACAGGGAAATTTGAGAGATGGGACAAATAACCACCATCCCTACCCACCCCCTCCACAGGTCCAGATAACAATCCCTTCTCCACTCCCACGGGAGACAGGAAAGTTCATCCCCTGTAAAAACTGAATGAGAGGCCAGGCGCAGTGGCTCGTGCCTGTAATCCCAGCACCTTGGGAGGCCAAGGTGGGCGGATCACCTGAAGTCAGGAGTTCAAGACCAGCCTGGCCAACATGGTGAAACCCCAACTCTACAAAAATACAAAAATTAGCCAGGCATGATGGCAGATATCTGTAATCCCAGGAGTCTGAGGCAGGAGCATCACTTTGAACCCCAGAGGCGGAGGTTGCAGTGAGCCGAGATTGCGCCACTATACTCCAACCTGGGCGACACAGCAAGGCTCTGTCTCAAACAAACAAACAAAACAAAACTGAATGAGAGATGTTCCGGCCTCAGGGACACCCGGTACCTGTGGAGAGCTGGGGGTAACAGAACACATGAAACGTGCTGTGACCCCAGCCCCTCCTGCTGCAGACAAAGAGCCCTAGCAGCAGGTGTGTCCTGCCTCGGTATGAAATCAGAAAATCTTTTCCTGGAGAATCTGAATTGCCACAGAGAAATTTCTACAGATAAAGGCATTTGAAAGTCTTAGAGAGAAAGAGAACAAAAAAGGCAGTTAAGTGTGAAGTCCACCCGTCAACATGCCTAGCCATACACAGAGCATCCAATCAACTTTCAGTTTCTCACCTTTATATAGGAACAAGCGGCCAAGGACCAGGAAACCACTGGGGAAATTCTCTAACAGGAAGTACACACACCTACATATACACACACACACACAAAGAAAAGGAAAGGAAAGGAAAGGAACGAAACGAAACAAAACAAAACCTGGCAGAAAAAGAGGCAGTGCAAGTATTAGAGGAAAAACTAAAATAATAATAATAATATCAAAGCGATCATTGATACCTGCAGAGAAGATGAAATATCATGTCTGTGAAACAAAGAGAAGGACAATAGACAAAAAAAAAAGAAGAAGAAAACTAAAGGGTCAATTCCCAAAGACCAACATCTGTTAGAAATTTCACAAAGAATATACAAAATGAGTAAGAAGAAAATATTATCTTAAATGACACAAGACAGTTTCCAGGTAAAGAGCATAACTTTCTGGAATCAATGAATACCTAGCACAAATAACGGAAAGACGATTCCTACCAAGGCATGCCAACACAAAAATAAAGAGAAGATTTTAGAACCTTCCAGAAAGAAAAACCAGGTCACAGTTGAAGGGGACAGAAAGTCAAAAGTGGTTGTGAACGTCTCAAAAAAAAAAAACACGGACCCCAGAGGACAACAGACTACTACATATGCATTATTCCCATGGGAAAACACTTTCAAGTTCTATGTGCAAACTGTCAAGGAAGTGGAAGGGTGGAATAGAGATATTTTCAGACATTTAGGCTCTCAAAAGTTACCACGGAACCTTTCCTCAAAGAGTTACTACAGGATGCAATCCAGAAAAACAAATAAGTAAACCAAGAAGGGGAAAGACAAAATCCAACAATGGAGAGAGGAAAAGGAAGGTCCCAAAATGAGGAGGACAGGAGGTCTCGGATGATAGCCATGGACAGAGATATAAAGAGCGACTATGCCAGATTGAAATTAACAGAAAAAGTGCTCCAGGGATGAGGTCTTTAATAAAAAAACATGCCACTGACAGATTATCAGAGGGGATATATTGGAGGACATAGAAATGAAGCAATTATTAACTCCAGAAAAAGAAAACTGTACAAGGAAGGGCTCAGGGTCATAATACATATTTTATTCAGCCAAGAATATCTGCATAGTCATAATATCATAAACATGGAATGTGAATTTAACAAAAAAATTGTGACTCAGAGGGGAGGGGAAGTAGCCAGGTAGAAGAGCAGATACTCGTCTACCAACAGATAGCGGAAGTCAGTAAATAATGCCTAAAACCGATGAATCACAAGAGAGCAAAATAAGCATGTTTAGAGTCATCAATATGAATACCAAAAGAATCCTCTTTAAAAAGGAGTATCAGTGAGATTTGGGTGAGAAGAAGACGAAGGAAAGTGTTACTTGATACATTATAAGCCTGTTAGTGCTCCTTGGATTTTTAAAAAGTATATGCATGCATTATTTTGATTACAATGATTATTATTTCTGTTACCCAGCCTTCAAGGTCCTGCCACCTAAGCTCTCTTCCTGGAAACTTGTCTTCCTGCTCTAGCCTTCAAGCCTCTCCCTAGAAGAGCCACAGCACTGCCACAGAGGCTCCACACAAGACAGTCCTTAATTGTGACAAATCGGTTAGTGTTTCCTTCTATGTTAGATTTATCCCTACAACGGGAAAGTGAACAATGCTATCACCTTCTCCTGCATTGTCCATTGCCCCCAGCATACAGCTGAACGTGTCATAAACACCACAGGAGGGACTTAAAAGATCCTACTAGTCAGGGACTAGGAACATCTCCTAGCCACCACTAAGGTGACATTGGTGATGCCCCCTTGTAACAATCCAGCTGTCCCTGGACCATGGCAAGGTCCAGACACCACACAGAGGCACTATGGAGGCAAGCAGCGTGAAATAAAACTGTAAGAGCACAGTGGTCATGGTGGCATGTGTGTGGTAACCAGGACAGAAGCTGAGCTCTGCGGCCACCCCGGGCCCTGCAGGGATGCCCTATGATAATCAGAGCCTGTGTGACCAACCTGAGGGCACCCTGGGATTCCACACTCCATTCCTGTCCACGGAGGCAGGAGAGTCCCTGTCACTTAATCAGGTCATAACCATTCTGAAAAAATCTTAAAAAGTTTAACTTTCATAGAAGAAAAGATTCATGAAACCCACTTGAAAACAAATTCCAGAGACACCAATGACCTAGCTCAGGATTTCCCAGGCTCTGTTTGTTCATGTACCTGCCTCCAGGATTTCAGTCCCATCAGCCACCTGTGATACTTATTTGCTTACTATTTGCTTAAACGAATTCACTGTTTTTCTCATAAGTACATCATTTAGATGTATTTGAAATCAAATTATTTAAATTGATTTCTTTATAGTAATTGGAAAACCAGCACCATTCCCTTTGAATAAAAGGTAATAAAGAACAATCTTAGTAGGTGCAGTGGCCTGCAAGACTGGGATTGCAAATGTTAGAGAGTCGTTACTAACATGTCCCATTCTCTTTGGTGAAACCAGAAATACTGAAAGAGAATTTTTAAAGAATTATTTCCTCACTACATGATTCAATGTTAGATTAATGTCATGCATACTGCACCCTCTCAAACTACCATATGGCTCTCTGAAATCACAGACATGGTCCCCTTCTTGCAGGTGCTGGTCTGGGCAATAATATTTTCCCACCAACTTTGACACATTGTTCTCCACCAACATAACCCACCCAAGAAGCACCCAACCTTGACTGCTGACTTCTGTGCCACTGGAACTAAAGGCATTAGAACAACTCTATTTGCCTGATGTCTGGCACATGCGTTGCTGGTATCAGCTGGCACAGAAAGAAGAATCTCAAACTCTCCAACAAGTGAATGCTACTGGTCAGGGCAAGTCCCAGGGGTAGTAACTTCAGTAAACTCATGGTGACTCAAACCCCTAACTTCAGTTCCCCGTTTTTAAGTTGTTCATTACTAAGGTGTCCAGAGATCATCAGTATAATTAATTGTTTAAATACAAACTAGTTTTAAAAATCTCCCACTAATATGATATTGTGTGTATATATGCATATATATGCATATATAGTATACATATATACATATTGTATACATATATACATATTGTATGTATACATGTGTATGTGTATATATATATATATCTCTCTCTCTCCCTACAACAGGAAAGTGAACAATGCTATCACCTTCTCCTGCATTCGTGTATATATACACATATATACGTATATATGTGTATATATACACATATTATATATACATATATACATATTGTATACATCTATACATGTATACACATATTGTATACATCTATACATATTGTATACACATATTGTATACATCTATACATATTGTATACACATATTGTATACATCTATACATATTGTATACACATATTGTATACATCTATACATATTGTATACACATATTGTATACATCTATACATATTGTATACACATATTGTATACATCTATACATATTGTATACACATATTGTATACATCTATACATATTGTATACACATATTGTATACATCTATACATATTGTATACACATATTGTATACATCTATACATATTGTATACACATATTGTATACATCTATACATATTGTATACACATATTGTATACATCTATACATATTGTATACACATATTGTATACATCTATACATATTGTATACACATATTGTATACATCTATACATATTGTATGCACATATTGTATACATCTATACATATTGTATGCACATATTGTATACATCTATACATATTGTATGCACATATTGTATACATATATACATATTGTATGCACATATTGTATACATATATACATATTGTATGCACATATTGTATACATATATACATATTGTATGCACATATTGTATACATATATACATATTGTATGCACATATTGTATACATATATACATATTGTATGCACATATTGTATACATATATACATATTGTATGCACATATTGTATACATATATACATATTGTATGCACATATTGTATACATATATACATATTGTATGCACATATTGTATACATATATACATATTGTATGCACATATTGTATACATATATACATATTGTATGCACATATTGTATACATATATACATATTGTATGCACATATTGTATACATATATACATATTGTATGCACATATTGTATACATATATACATATTGTATACACGTATAGACATATTGTATACATACATATTGTATACACATATAGACATTGTGTACATATGTTGTATACACGTATAGACATATTGTATACATATATACATATTGTATACACGTATATACATGTTGTATACATATATACATACTGTATGCAGATATATATTCATATCGTATACGTGTGTGTGTGTGTGTGTGTGTGTGTGTGTGTGTGTGTGTATTTATTTCCAGGATTTGAAAAGATTAAGAAAAAAATCTGAGAGGTGTTACTTTTAATAATCTAATATAGAAATGACAATAACCTTTTCTCTATCCAAACTGGGGGAAGCAATATCAAAGTTAATAGCTATCACTTTCTGTTATTATTGTAATAGGAATTATTATATATTCATTAAAAACAGAACAGTACTGCTTTAATAAAGCCTTTTTTATATTTAAAGGTGAAAAAAAAGAGATGTGTTCTAATCATACATACTGTTGTCAGAAATGTTGCTGGAAATAGAAATAACACAATGACCAAGGGATTGAGTAGGTTGCAAATTGCTCTCCTGCCCTGCTTGGGAAGAATTCCTTTCTCCTTATCTGTGCCCTCCCGAGAGTCACTGTCCTACCTTCACAATAAATGGCAACTGTCACATAGTGGACAAGTTGCACCAGTGACCTTACTCGGCCTCTGATGATGGCCAGGGTACTGGGGATCGGGGTGTAGAAGAAACACTTCCTGCACTTGAAGCACTGAAAGTTCTGTGCCTCTCTCTCTCTCCCCAGCCTCTACAGATCCAGGACAGAGGAGAAAAGACATCCCCCCACCCCCATCCTACCCTCACCCAGAGACACTGCCTTGTCCAAAGGCCCTCTGTTCCCATGGAATATGTTGATGGCAGTGTCACCCTAGCCTATCCATGTTTTAAAGCTGAAATCAAACTGGTCACCCAATTCCCCTGTTTTTCAAACAGACACAAAGAGTCCAGCTGAGCCATTGTTAGGGCCTTCCCTGGCCTGAAGAACCATATCCCAACGGGGGCTGGATGACTCCCTCTCCAAAATGGAGTCCAGGATTCCCCCAGCTCCAGGACAGGCATGTTTTCCCACAGCCCCTAGTCACAGATCATGTCTCACCCTTCAAAAGGCTCATCTGCTGATGCATGGGAGAAATATGTCCAGCCAGCAGTATAGGAAGTCTTTCATTCCAGGCCCTAGCCTCTGCTGGCAAGAGCAAATTTGCAGCTGGCCAGTGGCGGATAAAAACAAAGTTAGGGTAGGACACAGATTCTAGCCATCCCATCTGGTCCTCTGTGCTGTACCATGACCTCAGCGGAGCAGCCAGGGACAGATGGGGCTCTCTCGCGTGTCACAACCCAACATCCTGATCCTCTCTGTCCCCTTTCGCAATGATAAAGTGCGTGGTTTGTGGAAGATTAATGACCAACCGATGACTGCTGAATCGATAAGACTATTCCCACAGGATAAAAGAGGTGCCAGGGGATGGCATTTAAGTCACACTTTAAGAGAAGTGGCAGTGGGGCTTGGGGGTCAGGGGTTGGCAGCTGACAGTCTTACAGTGAAGGTACAGGAATCACTGTGTATACTTATAGATACTGACAGTGTGTGTCACCCGCCTGGATGTTGAAGAGGTAAATAGGAGATTGAAATTGGGAACTACCAGATTAGACACAACCCATATTTGCTGTGAAAATGCCACTTTTCCTTTTTCAAAGGTGCTCAGAAATGGCTTCCCCACTCATGTGCCCAGGATCCCTTGACCCCAAGACACACACCCAACACGGGGTCCAGGCTCACCTCTCTGTGCCCTCCTGGATACCAAACATCCAGGAGAAAGAGGAAAATATCCAAGGTTAAGATCAAAGAGGAACAGGCAAAGCAGAGAATTCGTTCTCTAAAAGCAGAGGGGTCAGTGAGGGAGACAACAGAACCTGCTAAGGGCTGAGCATCCCTAATCCAGAAACCTGAACTCCAAAATGCTCCAAAATCTGAAACTGTTAGAGCGTTGCCATGAGAGAGTGATGCCTTTGCTTTCTGATGGTTCAATGTACACAAACTTGGCTTCATGGACAAAATTATTGAAAATAATTGTACAAAATTACCTTCAGGCTACGTGCATAAGGTGTATATGAAACCAATGAATTTTGTGTTTAGACTTGGGTCCCATCCCCAAGATGTCTCAGTATGTATACACAAATATTCTAAAATCTGAAAAAAATACAAAATCCAAAACACTTCTGGTCTCAAGTACTTTCCATAAGGGACACACAACCTGTAACAGGTTTACTAATCAAAGCATCAACCTCTCCCCCATCTCTTATTGCATCTAAAGAGGACACTCCACCTCAGCCACAGTAAGAAGCATAAAACTGTCAGGCTCCACCAAAGTCATTTCCAAGAACAAATGCGTTTGTGATGTCAGGATTAGAGTGACTGCAATTCTGGATACACATTTAATTTGCATTACTGCTTTTCTTTGGGGGGTGAGGAGGTATTCACAAAGAAAGTTCATTCCTCCCTGAAGGCTATTTCAAAGACAGTTGCTAATTAAACCCTGATGTAGCATGAGGAAAATGAAAATGCCAGACCCTAAACAAGAGTAAAAACTAGGAAAACAAAAAAACAAACAAACAAAAAACACCAGGTCTCCAGTTTCTCAAACGTTAAAAGGCTTCAAAAAGGGGACACTACCAGACGCACACAAAGGAAAGGTTACAAATAGCTGCAGCAGCCAGAAGGGGGATGAAACCTAGAGATTATCAGCTTTTTTTTTTTTTTTTTTTTGCTACATTCATGTCTGTTTTCAGGAGGCTCCTGACTTTCCTGTGAAACAAAAATATCTGGGTGTGGGGAGAGCTTTGGACATCAGAGAGACCCCGGAGAAGTCACTGCGGCCCATCCTGGTGCCCATTCATTTGAGGCTGAGGCTGGAAACACGGAGACCTTCCCCGTTTCCTAGGTCTGGGCCTGACGCACAGGAAACTTCTCTCTTGATTAGACGCCCACTGAGCCCAAGGTTTAACTTTCCATCTTCCATTCCAACACACACGCCCTGCCACTCTACCGAGAGCCCAGTCACGGGGGCTTTTCCAACAAACTCGTCCACCCATGACCATTGTAGGCAACCTCCAAGACTCCGTTCACAGTGAACCTTGCCTTTTTCTGCAAACCCAGAAACTAGCCTTTAAATTGCTCAGGGAATATTCTCCAAACAGCAGATTCATCCTTATTCAGGGTTTTGGCAGTCAAAACTCAGGGGTCAATTAAGCCACGCCAAGCCCTCGTGCCTTAATCTATTTCCTGAGCATTTCCCTGCCATGGCTGGGGAGGGTAGAGGATGGTGTCAGCCCCATCTAGAATCACGCTGGCCTGACACAGACCTCCCTTGCTGAGGTTTTCCTCTAGTCCAGCATAAAGGGGTTTTCGACCCTCTCTCTTGCAAGCATCGAAATAAAATTATTCAGACACTCTCTAGCTACTTCAGATGAATTGGTCACAGTCACGTGACACATCTGGATATTTCCTTTCAAAACAGACTTCGCAAGTGAAATGGGATCCAGATGTTTTGAGCAGAGGTACATCCAGTCCCCTTCCTAGGTGGTACCCACATAATGAAGACTCAACATAATTTGACTTTTGTGTATACTTCTTATTTCCCCGACTAGAATGTAAGCTCTTTCAAGACCCCACATGAAACTTGCCCGTGGCCCTTAGCACACTGTTGGCCCACAGTTGGTCCTTAAAAGCTGCTCTAATTAAAGAAGCAATAAATAACACAGACAGTTCAAGTGTATCAAACACAAGCCAAAGTCAAGAACAAAATGTTTCCTGAACAAGGCTATACAGATGGATTTAGATTTGGAAAAATCTTGATCCTCTTGTTAATTAAGACTACTCATAAAGCAAACAACCAGATTTAAAAAAAAATAGCTAGCTATTTTGACCTGAATAGTTCTTTACATGGAAGCTGTCTTTTTTTTTTTTTTTTGAGACGGAGTCTCGCTCTGTCACCCAGGCTGGAAAACAGTGGCATAATCTCGGCTCACTGCAAACTCTGCCTCCCAGGTTCACGTCATTCTCCTGCCTCAGCCTCCAGAGTAGCTGGAACTACAGGTGCCCGCCACCATGCCTGGCTAATTTTTTTGTATTTTCAGTATAGACAGGGATTCACCGTGTTAGCCAATATGGTGTCGATCTCCTGACCTTGTGATCTGCCCATCTCGGCCTCCCAAAGTGCTGGGATTACAGGCATGAGCCACCGTGCCCGGCGGAAGCTGTATTTCTAAAAAATCTGCATGATAAACTACGTAGATAGCATTTATTAATTAATTAATTTATTTAGAGATAGGCTCTTGCTCTGTTGCCTAGGCTGGAGTGCAGCAGCATGATAGTAGCTCACTGTAGCCTTGACCTCCTGGGCTCAAGCGATCCTCCCGCCTCAGCCTCCAGAGTAGCTGGGACTACAGGTATGCACCACTGCACCAGACTAATTTTTTAATGTTTTTGCAGAGATGTGGTCTCTCTATGTTGCCTAGGCTGCTCTCAAACTCCTGGGCTCAAGTGATCCTTCCGCCTCAGCCTCCCAAAGTGTTGGGATTACAAGCATGAGCCACTGTGCCTGGCCACAGACAGCATTTTATATTTCAGAAATCGTAAACCTTCTTTAAGACGCAAGTCAAATGCTTGCCCATATTTTATTGAGCACTTACTAGGTGTGTGCCAGGCCCTGTGTGGAAAGCTTTCTAGGCACTCAAACAGTTTATCTATACAATGCTGTGGGAGGTTCTAATACCATCCCCAGTGCATGGGTGATAAAACTGGCGTAGTTGTTCCCTGGGGCCTTCCTGACCTCTCCAATAGATAGTACTCACTTCCTCTCCTGAAACTCTATTTGGCACTTTCTGTGCTTCTCTTATGAGACACAGCAATTCTCCCATGTGCACAAAATAATGGAGACACCATCCTGTCCCCTCTGCTGTACTGTAAGTTCCTTAAAGACAGGGATATCTGATTCCAATGGTACTCTGCAAAGCAGGCTATCCAGGTGCTGTTGACAGAAGGAGGTTTGAGGACCACTGTCTTATTAAAGCAGCCCATTGCTGGTAATGAACCAAGCCTATGAAATGAATGGGTGGCTTATCAATAACCATTATTATTAGATGTCATTTGAGTACAGATAATTGTGTTTCCAGTAGACAAAGAACTACCCCAACCTCAGCTCTGCCAGTCTCTCAACCTGTCTCCCACCTCTCCCTCCTCCCTTCCCCCTCCCCTCATTCAGCTCCAGGAACATTGGCACTTTCCACTGCTCCTTAACTGTGCCACATCTTCTGCCTAGAATGTTCTTACTTTAGATTTGCATGGCTCAGTCCCTCTTTTTTGTTTTGGAGACAGTCTTGATCTGTCGCCTAGGCTGGAGTGCAGTGGTGCCACCTCAGCTCACTGCAACCTCTGCCTCCCAGGCTCAAGCAATTCTCATGCCTCAGCCTCCCAAGTAGCTGGGATTACAGGCATGTGTCACCACACTTGGCTAATTTTTGTATTTTTCAGTAGAGATGGGGTTTCTCCATGTTGGGCAGGCTTGTCTTGAACTCTTGGCCTCAACTGATCCATCCACCTTGGCCTCCCAAAATGCTGGGATGACAGGTGTGAGCCACAGCGCCCGGTCCCAATCCCTCTTTTATTCACATCTTTTCCCACATATCCCCTCCACAGAGCCGTTATCTGACCATCCCAACTCGACAACAGCACCTCACCCCATCACTGTCTATGGCATCACTGTGCTTCATCAATATTTTCAAAGCCCTGATCACTGACATCATGCTATACATACTGTGCATTTGCTGTCTGTTTCTTCCCGCTTAGAATGCACACATCAAGAGGTTATAGAGGGCCAGATGCAGTGTCTCATGCCTGTAATCTCAGCACTTTGGGAGCCCAAGGCAGGAGGATCGCTTGAGGCCAAGAGTTCAAGACTAGCCTGGACAAAATAGCAAGGCCCCATCTCTACTCGATAGATAGATAGATAGATAGATAGATAGATAGATAGATAGATAGATAGATAGATAAATAGACAGATACACACACACACACACACACACACACACACACATTTATATATATATATATATATATATATAATTAGCCGGGGATGGTGGCATGTGCCTGTAGTCCCAGCAGCTCAAGAGACTGAGGGGGGAGGATCATGGCGCCACTGCACTCTAGGCAACAGAGCGAGGCTGAGACCCTGTCTCTAATGAAAAAGAAGTATGGTGTCTTTTGAGGAAAACACAGGAGGCTCCCATGTTGCTTGCGCCTTCTGCACGAAATGCTGGCAGGGCAGGCTTGCCTCTTGTTGAGAGTAGAAGTGAGAGCCCAGCTGACATTCTAGGTTCCTTCCAAGATCCAAAGTCTCAGAAAAATGCAATTGTAGAGATACAAAAAAAGTTCAGACATCATCTCATGCAAGACTTCTTCTTAAGCTGGGATCCTTGAGTCCCCAAAGATTTCTAAACTTCCTAAAGTTGTATGTGAAATGTCATCGACAGACATATGCACCATTTTCTGTGGAAAGAATCCACAGCTTTCATTACAGTCTCAAAGGAGCTTTATTTCTCAAAAAGTTAAAATCCTCTTGGCATCATCCTTCATTATAGATGAAGAAGCAACTTCTGGAAGGTCAAATAGCTGGTTAGTGGCAGAGTTTGAAGCAGAATTCACATGTGCTGATTTCTAAGCGGTCTCTTGCCTCCACCCCGCTCCCTCACAATGTTCGCTTATTGAAAGGAAGCATCCTTCCCTGGCACTGCCAGACTGGCATCCTGGACCACTGGGCTCCCAGAGTAGCGACCTCATTGTGTGTCTGCCTGAGCCTCGGGCAAGACCCGCCATGCATGACTTTCCCCTTCCTAACAATTTAATTATTCACGAACTTGCGTGTGGTGAGAACATCAGACAGGGATGACGGCGCTAATGTGCTCTGAGCCTCCTTCAAATGGCATTTCATACTAGAGCAGTGCACCCGCGGCATCTTCACAGACCCTCCCTCACCAGATGCCCTCAGCAGATAAAGAACTCATTTTCCTTTCCCTGCTGCTAATGGCTCCAATTTTCTTGTGATTTTCTGTAATGGTAAATGCCAACAAAACATCACCCCACCACATGTTCCTACTGGCTATTCTTTCAACATCATGAATTCCAAACCAGCTCTGCTGGAATGAAAAAGAATGAAAAAATAATATTCACAAGTCATTTGGGAGGAGTGCAGGGAGGGAGGGAAGGCAAAGAAATGAAGGTCATGGGCATATTTTAACCTCAATCAGAAGCAAGTGATTTGTCCTCTATTCTTAAGAAATTTGCTATATAGGCATACCTAGGAGATACTGTGGATTTGGTTCCAGACTGTGCAATAAAGCAAATATTGCAGTAAAGCCAATCACACAAATTTTTCGGTTCCCCTGTGCCTATAAAAGTTATGTTTACACTACAGTCAATTAAGTGTGTAATAGCATTATGTCTAAAAAATGTACAGACCTTAATTTGAAAATATTTTATTGCTAAAAAAATGCATATGATCATCTGAGCCTTCAAGGACTCTTAATTTTTTGGCTGGTGAAGGGTCTTGCTTTGATATTGATAGCAGCTCATGGATCAGGGTGGCAGTTGCTGAAGACTGGGGCAGCTGTGGCAATTTCTTAAAATAAGACAGCAATTAAGTTTGCCAGATCAATTGATACTTCCTTTCATGAAATATTTCTCTATAGCATGTGATGCTATTTGATAGCATTTCATAGTATTTCACCCACAGTATAACTTCTTTCAAATTTGGAGTCAATCCTCTCAAACCTTTCCACTGCTTTGTCAACAAGTTTATGGATTATTCTAAATCCTTGGTTGTCAACAATGTTCACAGCATCTTCACCAAGATAGAGTCCATCTCAAGAAACCACTTTCTTTGCTCATTCATAAAAAGTAACTCTTCTCTGCTCAAGTTTTATCAAGAGATTGCAGCAATTCTCACATCTTCAGGCTCCACTTCTAATTCTAGTGCTCTTGCTATTTCCACAACATCTGCAGGGACATCCTTCACTGAAGTTTTGAACCCCTCAAAGTCATCCATGAGAATTGGAATCAATTTCTTCCACACTCCTACTAATATTGATATTTTGACCTCCTCCCATGAAACATCAATATTCTTAGTGGCATTTAGAATGGGGAATCCTTTCCAGAAGGTTTTTAATGTACTACACCTAGAACCATCAGCGTAATCACTATTTATGGCAGCCACCATTTCATGAAATGTATTCTTTTAAATAATCAGACTTGAAAGTCAAAATTATCCCTTGATCCATGGGCTGCAGTATTCATGTTGTGTCAGCAGGCATGAAAACATTAATCTCCTTGTCCATCTCCATCTAAGCTCTTGGGTGACCTGGTGCATTGTCAATGGGCAGTAATATTTTGAATCAAGGAATCTTCTTTTTCTCAGCTGTAGGTCTCAACAGTAGGCTTAAAATAGTCAGTAAACCATGCTGTCAACAGATGTACTGTCATCCAGACTTTGCTGTTCCATTTATAGAGCACAGGCAGAGTAGATTTAGCATAATTGTTAAGGGCCCTCAGATTTTTCAGAATGGTGAAAGAGCACTGGTTTCAATTTAAAGTCACCAGCTGCATTAGCCCCTAACAAGAGGGTCAGCCTATCCTTTGATGCCCGTCACTGACTTCTCCTCTCTAGCTATGAAAGTACTAGACAGCATCTTCTTACAATAGAAGGCTATTTCATCTACACTTAAAATATGTTGTTAGTGTAGCCACTTTCATCAATATCTTCACTAGATCTTCTGGATAACTTGCCACAGCTTCTATATCAGCACTTGCTGCCTCACCTTGCACTTCTATGCTATGGCAATGGCTTCTTTTATTAAACTTCTTTCATCAAACTTCATGAACCATTGCTTTATTGATCGACCATGAATCTTATGGTCGATCAATAAAGTGATGTGCTATATAGAAGGAGGTATGTCTGCATTCATAGAAAGCTCTGCAAAGTACCCTGAGTTGCCACATAAACTTCTTCAGTGATGCCACGGTATTGCAAGGAACAGAGACTCACTCAAATTGCCTCAGAAAAGGGATGTTTTAGACCTGGACTTGGAAAGCTGCTAAGAACAGGGGCCACTCTAGGGCTGTAGGGTCTCTCCACATCTGCTCCCCTCTCTCTATCAATCAGCTTTTTCAGTTTCCTTGTGGTTTCCATTCACAACATTGGCTTCCACATGGCTTCAGGTTGCCACCAACTCAACTCCCAAACGACATCCTTTTAGCTTTTGCCCCTGTGGCAAAACATATTGGTATTTCCTCATTCAAATTCCCAAGAGAAGGAACCTGATTGAGTACTTACTTCTTTGCGTCAAACCATATGTCATTGTCCAGGCTACGGAATGGCCTCTAGGTAGTGTGTCCATCCAGGGACAATCAGTGATGGCCACAGGAATCTTAGATGGTGTAAAACGAGGCTACCTAGGCCTTCCCTGGGTCTTCTATCCAGGCTGTGGGCAGGCAGGTACTGTAACTATTTGTCATGTAGGAACTAGCCCAGGTTTTTCACAGAATACTGGAGCAAACTTGTACTAGTTTGGAAGGGCCAACTGTTACATTTTCAGGAATTTTCAGGAATTCTGTGAGCTATCTCTTAATCCACTGCTGGTCTGAAATTGGCCACTGTGGGAGTATTTACACCACAGATATTGGTGAATGCTACAAACTCAAGTTTTTTCCTCCCACTCTACAGAGCTAGTTTACCAGCACACTATTGCAGCATGAATGGTTAAAGAGGAAGAAAAAAAATCAAGGTAAACAAGTCTCCCCATAATCTGACAAAATCTATATCATTTCCCTCTTTTCCACTTTACCCACCCTTTGCTTCAGCAAGAATGGACAACTTCCTCATTATCCACTTGCCACAAATAACTGCGTTAGGGCCAGGGCTCACGCTGTGCCAGGTCCCCAGCCTTCCCAAACCTGATGTCCATCTCTATAAAGTTCAACTACTTCCCTGAAGCTTCCTCAACTCCCTCAATTAGAATAATCTCTGCTTCTCTAAACTCCAATAACCCCAACTGGACTTTTTTTGCAACTTTTTTCATGTTCAGCCTTCCTTTCCCTGGAGTTATTTATGGCTTTATACTTGGGGTCTTTTAATTCATTATAAACTTCCCACAAACAGAATCTATGTCCACTTCTCTTAAGTGTTAGGAGAAGTATCAATTAAGTGTGCAATGGCATTATCTCTGAGTATTCCAAGTGCTAAGTGCATACCTCCTACTCAGATACCTGGTGAATCGGTGAAGATGAACACAGCATTTATTTGCACAAGTCTTCAGTAACCCATGTCTCTCTCCCCTTCCCACACCTACAATTCTAGACCTGCAAACTCATGAGTTCACCAGCTGATTTGGGCCCTGACAACTGAATCAGCAACAGCAGGATTTTCAAGGCCAGAAGGCTGCTAAAGGCATGTATCTGATGTGCATGTGAATTACTTTCACTAGATTCAAATCCCTGTAAAAGAGGAGGGAAAAATCTAGGATTAAACTACAGAGATTGAACTTTGATCTGGCAACAGTGGACTCGTATTTCAAATAACACGCAACTCCCTGTGTCTCAGTCAGCTTAGGCTGCCATAACAAAATACCACACACCATGTGGCTTAAATAACAGAAATGTGTTTTCTAACAGCTCTGGGGGCTGGAAGTCCAAGATCAAGTTACCATCATGGTCAGTTTCCGGTGAGGGCTCTCTTCCCGGCTTATAGGTGGCCACCCTCTCATTGTATCCTCACATAGCATAGAGAGAGAAAGAGAAAGACAGAAAGAGAGAGACAGAGGGAGAGAGAGTGAGAGACAGCAAGAGCGAGAGAGAGGGAGAGCGCTCTCCACATAAAAGAAGAGACCAGGCACAGGGGCTGACACCTGTAATCCAAGCATTTTGGGAGGCTGAGGTGGGAGGATTGCTTGAGGCCAGGAGTTCAAGACCAACCTGGCCAACATAATGAGACCCTGTCTGTACTTTAATTAACTTTTTAATAAAAGACATTTTTAAAAATAATTTTTTTTAAAAAAAGCACTAATCCCCTCATGAGGGCCCCACCATGAACTCATCTAAACCTAATTATCTCCCAGGACCCATCTCCAAATACCATCACACTAGGGGCTGAGGCTTCAACATAGGAATTTGTGAGGGACATAATTCAGTCCATAGCACTCTGTTAAAATCAATCTTCCTTTAAATACTTTGGGAAAGACGACTGAGAGATTTGGGGAAATCTGAGAAGTGGAAACCAGATGAAAAAGATCACAAGTTCAGCCTCAGGGAGAGAAAATTAGTTCTTCCTATTAACGTATGACTTAGCCAGTCTGAAGAGTATATGAAAGCCGCCAAGAAGTTAGAAGAAAGACTACTGGATTACCATCGGCATGTGAAGAAAATTTGGCCATAAAGTAATGGGGTTCTTTGCACCAAACCTTTGTAGACAAAGTTTCCTCAGTAAGTCTTCAGGCAGAAAGTTCAATGGCATGTCAACTTTAGATCCTAGCAGTTTTTAGTCCATTAATGTGGCCTAACAGGCATCGCTTAATTCATTTGCAGAAATTTTCAACAACTGAAAATTCATCACACTCTGAGAATCTAGAAGGTAATAGAAAATATTATCTCTGTTTTGCAGATGGAAAAACTAAGCTAAAGAGAGTCAAGCCACTTGGTCACTCCTGTAACAGAGACTGAAATACAAACCCAACTTCCTAATCCTGGGATCAATACTTCTGTTAGTTTCACTCCATGCACTATCCCCCAAAAACCTAAATGCCCCTAAAATTTTAAAAAATTTCTTGTATTAAAAAGTTAAAGTACAGACAGGGTCTCATTATGTTGTATCGACTATGAAGTCGATAATTCCTGAAGTTACTTCTATGAAGTCTATAATTCATCCAAACACATGCTATTAAAAAAATTGGCAAAGAATTCTCAGAACTGAGGCAGATAAATGAACATGGTATAAGTAACTATTTCTGCAAGAAAAACAAACAAACCCTCTAATCTTCCAAAAGTATAAAATCCTGTCACTCAAGGCTGCTGATAAAAGCAAGAAGATAAAGACATCTAAGACGAAAGAACACGTTTCATTTTAGATATTTCTATTTCCTCCATCTGTATTTGTTGAGGAGCAATTTTAGGAAGGCAGGATCACTGAGATGCTGTACTTTTCCTAAGGTTTTACAACTGTTAGCTAATGCCTCCACAACATGGGATTTTGTACCTCAAGTCCTAAAAGACATTAAACCAAAAGTAAAGAGAGGCGAAAAAAGGCAAATAAAAGAAAAAATCACTATGTCCATATGTCCTCCCTGACAGATTCCAATCTGATCTTTAAAATTGAGTCTTTTGGGCCACAAATGAGAGGCTCTCTCTTTTCCTGGTCTAAAATCTATCCCCATGCCACCACATTGTATCAGAATCGAAATGTCACCAGAGGAGAGTGATACAGGGTTTGCTTCACGGAGTGAGCTATTTGTTTTTGAAATAAGTCATGTTGTCAGAATCGGAACTGAGCAAGTATACCCATTTCTCATTCAGGAAAGAAAATATAAGACGGATTCAAAATTTCCAAGGCTCTTGGCTTAGATCACAGCTCAAACATGAAAAGAATTCTTCTGTAGCCTCAAACTATTTCTGAATTTGTGAGCTTACCAGTGGACCTCCCTGAAGCTATCAAACAATTTGAAAACAATCTTGAGCAGCAAATCTAATTCCGCCAAAGATAAACTGGATGCCACCCTCTGCCAAGCCATGTAAGGATCTTCTGAAAAATGACTCCAGTATATTCTATATGCAAGCAACTCTTTAATTCAAGAAGACATCAGCCTTCTTTGAGGCAGGCTTTCAGGCACATAAGATAGTCATTCAGGATTCTGTCATCAGTGGATTCCTATCCTCATATTCTATGATGATCTGGGTGTTAAGACCAGAAATGGCTGGCCAAGAGCTACTGGTCACACATCCATGAATTCATGACACTGGAGATGTATTTGGTAGCACTCTTATCAAGCTAAAGAAAAGGAAAGCAGCCATTATGAATCCCTGCCTACTGCTTCTATGTGTGTTTCTATAGACTCTTTATCTTACACAGTAGTCTCCTAGTGTCCCCTGTGTCACCTTCTGTGGCTTCAGGTACTCAAGGTCCAAAAATATTAAATAAAAAAATTCAAAAACAAACTGCCGGGGTATTGCAGTGCTGGTGTTCAAGTCACCCTTATTTTACTTAATCATGGCCCCAAAGTGCAAGAGTGGTAATACTGGCATATTGTGTTGATTGTTCTTTTTTATTATTAGTTATTGTTGATAACCTCTTACTGTGCCTAATTTAGAAATTCAGCTTTATCATAAATATATTTGTATAGAAGCAGCATTGTATATACAAGCTTGGGTACTATCCGTGGTTTCAAGCATGCCTTGAGGATAAGGCGGGACTACTGTGTGATCCTCACCACCATCCAGCCCAGCAAGACCCTGGAACATAAAAGGTGCTCAGTGAACATGGGCTTCCTCAGAACAGTGAGGTGGGTTAGCCACAGTAAGGGGATTCACACGCAAGGTGGCGTGACTCAAAACATTTCCGTTAGTTTGTTGTGTGTGAATTCATTCATTCATCCATTCCTCTTAGGATTCCAGGCTGTTCTAAGCCAGTGAGTGAGTACCACCCCAAAAGCACAGGATCAGAAGAAAGTAACAGTCCCATCACCCAGAGATCCCTGGGAATTCAAATATTTTCCAGGGGTGGGTGCGGTGGCTCACACCTGTAATGCCAACAGTTTGGGAGGCCGAGGCAGGTGGATCGCTTGAGGACAGGAGTTCGAGACCAGCCTGGCCAACATGGCAAAACCCTATCTCTTCTAAAAATACAAAAATTAGCTGGGGGTGGTGGTGCATGCCTGTAGTCACAGCTACTTGGGGAGGCTGAGGCAGGAGAATCGCGTGAACCCGGGAGGCAGAGATTGCAGTGAGCCACGATTGTGCCACTGCGCTCCAGCCTGGGTGACAGAGCGAGACTCTGTCTCAAAGAGAAGAAAAAAATATATATATATATGTTTTTTTCCCAGGAAGATTCTTGCAAGATAAGGCCATTTCTGGCCATAAGGCTCTAAAATCAAAAATATACTCAAATCTATTCTGAACTTTGAGGACAGGTTCTGAGCCAACCAGTATTAACTACTTGGTAATCAGCCCCACTCTGCAAACAAAGGCACCTGATTGCCAGGCTAGGGTACTGTCAGGGAGGCTGCGACTGAGCAAACTTTCAGATAGCTATCACGTACTGCCCACTGTACCAGGAAGTGTGCTAATCTTATTCCTTCCGTCTTACTTGACTTAGAGCCTTATATGACTTCACAAGGTAAAGAGTAATAAAAGTTAGGAGACTTGGACTTCAAAAATCCCAGCCACAAGCAACTACTCTCCAAAACCTCACTCTGCAGCCAATGGCTCTTGCATCCACCTTGACGATTCTGATTTCAAGCATGGCTTGGCTGCCCGGCTCCACAGCCTGCAGGACTAAAGGTAGTAATCAGCGTTCTAAAGTTAGCTTAACCTGTTGCCCTAAACAAGTCAACATCTGTATCTCAATCTTCTTCAGTAACTCAAACATATTTTTTAAAAGGCATGTAATGTTAGTGATACTGTTAGACTATAGAAATAATTGTATATAAATGTTCTCTTTCACTATTGAAATACTTTGTTTTATGTAATGCTACTAGTGTTTTGTATGTCATGGGACTAAATATTACCTTATCAAAATAATACAATTACATCATACTTTATTGTCTTCAAACAGAGAGAGGAGACGAAGCCTGAGGCTAATGGTTTATTCACCATGAAATAGCCATTTAGGCCGGCCACAGTGGCTCACGCCTGTAATCCCAGCATTTTGGGAGGCCGAGGTGGGCGGATCACCTGAGGTCAGGAGTTTGAGACCAGCCTGACCAAAATGGTGAAACCCTGTCTCTACTAAAAATTCAAAAATTAGCCGGGCATGGTGGCATGCACCTGTAATCCCAGCTACTCAGGAGGCTGAGGCAGAAGAATTGTTTGAACCCAGGAGGCGGAGGTTGCAGTGAGCCGAGATTGCACCACTGCACTCCAGCCTAAGTGACAAAGCAAGACTCCATCTCAAACAAAAAAAGAAGAAGAAGAAATAGCCATTTAGATCCTTAAACAACCAACAAATTAACACTACAATTAATAAGATGTAATTATACAAGTTTTAAAAAGTAGGATTATAAAGAGATGAGACCAGCACAGGCATGTTTTATTTTGCCCTTTATTGAAGTAAAATATTGGATTTGGTTTTTGTTGATTAACAAAGAGATGGTCATAAGTAACTAACTGAATGGCAGAAAGCAAAATGTATTAAATTACAGATGGTCTATTCTAAGGTAACAAAAATGTGCTCTTATGTTTTCTTCTAAGAGCTTCCACTGTTTTATCTTTCATACAGCTGGAATCAATTTTTTATGTGGTATTAGGTAGGGGTCCTGATACATTTTGTTCAGTATAGATAAACAAACGACTCAGTATCATTTTTTGAAAAGATCATCCTTCAACCACTACATGCCACTCTCACCTTTGTCAACACTTTATCTATCACTGCGTCAGAATCTTTTTAATGGCTATATAGTTTTCCATTGTATGCATGTGCTATAAATTACTAAATCCATCCCCAATTAGCCAACACTTGAGAGTTTCCATGTTTTTGGTATAAATAATGCTATAATGAATAACCTTGTCCATGTATTATTCCCCACATGTGGAGTATATTTGTAAGATAAACTCAGAGAAACGGAGTTGCTAAGTCAAAGGGTATGTGCATTTTTAATCAATACATGATAGAGGTTATACCAACTTTAATTGGAATTTTCAAGTCACAATGAACTCCAAAGTATTATGATAAGATACAGCACATTGCCATTTCAGTTACTCCAAAGTTCCCAACATTTTTGGCCCTTAGGATTCTTTTATAAAAGACATCAAATGTATAACAATGCTTCCAGTATCCACTGATTGAAAGTATATATAACCACATAAGTTCACAGAAAATGTGCCTCAGTATTCTGCAAAATGTAAATTAACAAATCTAAAACAAATCATGCAGTCACAATTGGATAGACAGGCCTTCTCTGCTTATGGTAAAGAACAAGGGCAACTTGCTGTTTACTTTTGTTCTGAAGGAAGTTCAAAGCTCAGCACCAGCACCAGCACCAGCACCTCTGGTTCCACGTGGGTAGATATTGCCCCATTTCAGGAGTTTGCTCCCGATGGAGAATGACAGTGATTGTCTCTGCATGAGAAGAGGCTGCATCTCCTCCTCCAGAGTAAAGCTGTCCACTCCCAGCAAAGAAAATAGAGCAGAAGTTGGTTGGGCGTGGTGGCTCACGCATGTAATCCCAACACTTTGGGAGGCCAAGGCGGGAGGATCACCTGAGGTCAGGAGTTCAAGACCAGCTTGGCCAACATGGTGAAACCCCGTCTCTACTAAAATACAAAAATTAGCCGGGTGTGGTGGCAAATGCTTATAATCCCAGCTACTAGGGAGGCTGAGGCAGGAGAATTGCTTGAACACAGGAGGTGGAGGTTGCAGTGAGCTGAGATGGTGCCACTGCACTCCAGCCTGGGCAACAAAGCAAGACTCCGTCTCACAAAAAAAAAAAAAAAAAAAGAACAGAGCGGAAATGGAAGCTGAGGGAGAAGGCGCTTACTCACTCAAACTTTTCCTAAGTCTTCAGAAGATGACATCACATTTTATTTGAAATACAGGTCTGAAAAAGTAGAAATGTTCTCTCACATCCAGGTTACTAACATAATCCTTTATTAGCAATACATGACCCTTTCTTCACCCCTTAAACGTTTACTTTGCAAAACACAGTGATGTTCATTCTCAAATATGCCTGTGATGTAGTAACAATGCCACATTACTTATTAATTTTGCAACTGATGTCATGTCAATACCACGGTGCTAAGGACTGAAACCACGTGAGAAGTCAGTGGCCAAACCGTGCAACCCACAGTGTCACTTCCACTTTGCAGGCTCAAACCTCCTCAAACACACTTCCTTCCTAGAACTCTTAAAAAAGGGAAGATATTTAACAGCCAAACCTTACTTATAACAAAACCTCCACCTGGAAAAAACCCAGGAGACACAGGCATCTTCCCCTTTGGATGGAGAGGGGAGAATTTACTCTTCCAACCTTAAGGAGATCTGATTAACAAACCCCTCTCCAGAGTTGTAAGTAAGGAGAAAGATAGACAGCAAGTTGAAACAAAAATTTGCTACTAGCTGTGTGACTTTTAGGTAAGTCATCTGATGTCTCTGGGGCTTTTTTTCTTCTGATAAAATGAGGGTGTTAGCCAAGAGGTAATACTTACAAACTCCGGCTCTTAATATCTTCTGATTCTACATACAAGAGGGCAAAACTGTTAGATTTTGACAACTGAGTCTTATTTATGACTTAGTATTTTTTTTTTTTTGAGATGGAGTCTCGCTCTGTTGCCCAGGTTGGAGTGCAGTGGCACGATCTCAGCTTACTGCAACGTCTGCCTCCCGGGTTCAAGTGATTTTTGTGCTTCAGCCTCCTGCATAGCTGGGATTACAGGCACACACTACCATGCCCAGCTAATTTTTGTATTTTTAGTCGAGATGGGGTTTCACCATGTTGGCCAGGCTGGTCTTGAAACTCCTGATCTCGGGTGATCTACCCGCCTCAGCTTCCCACAGTGCTGGGATCACAGGTATGAGACACCGTGTCTGGTCGTCACTTCGTCTTATAACTGGTCTCTGGCAGGGAAGGCT
The DNA here is from genome assembly GCF_000001405.40 of Homo sapiens. Taxonomy (NCBI): domain Eukaryota; kingdom Metazoa; phylum Chordata; class Mammalia; order Primates; family Hominidae; genus Homo; species Homo sapiens. Next base: position 25,198,249 of record NC_000008.11, on the reverse strand, counting down.
GGGTCATGAGAGCCGCATTGTTCCAGGCTCACAGAAAGTACAAATCAAATACGATGCAACTTGTTGCAGGTATACAGGTAACAAACCCATCAGGAGGGTGCATTCTAATGCACCTTGGCTGAGTCAGCAAAGAGTTATTTTCAAGAGGGAATTAGTCTCCACTGTGTTTTCCTTCCCTCAAGCTGTTTTAAAAGACAAAGACACCGGCACAGTGCCTCATGCCTGTAATCCCAGCACTTTGGGAGGCCGACGCAGGCGGATCACGACGTCAGGAGATCGAGACCATCCTGGCTAACACAGTGAAACCCCGTCTCTACTAAAAATGCAAAAAATTAGCCGGGCATGGTGGTGGGCACCTGTAGTCCCAGCTGCTCAGGAGGCTGAGGCAGGAGAATGGCGTGAAACAGGGAGGCTGAGCTTGCAGTGAGCCGAGATTGCGCCACAGCACTCCAGCCTGGGTGACAGAGCGAGACTCCGTCTCAAAAAAAAAAAAAAAAAATTAGCTTGGCATGGTTGCATGTACCTGTAGTCCCAGCTACTTGGGTGGCTGAGGCAGGAGAATCTCTTGAACCCAGGAGGCGAAGGTTGCAATGAGCCGAGATCACGCCATTGTACTCCACCCTGGCAACAGAGCGAGACTCCTTCTCAAAAAAAAAAAAAAAAAAAAAAAAAAAGACAAAGACACGATCCTTAAAGAGAGGGCATCTTTGGGGTCCAACTATTATCTGATGTGGATAGTGACAGGGTTTAATCAGCTGTGGAAATATGAGAGCAAACGGCACATTTGGGAAAAGGTGGATAATGACCATGAACCCATTCGAACAACAGTGGCTTTGCAATGGCACAGAGCTTTCTGAAAGACAAAGCCCACTTCTGTCTCTTGCTTGGGAAGTGGCTGCCAGCATTCAGACAATCGTTTGAGTGAGCCCAGGCTCTGAGAGGACATGGCCCAAACATTACTTGGAAAAACACAATTAACGTGCTCATCCACATCTCTGCCTCAAAATAATTTCTCAAAAAACACTTTTATAAAGCTTGACAATAAAACCCCCATTATTCCGGAGGTATGCTGGTGTAGTTATAAATCAGTCAAAGGACTCCCAAAGGGCTTATTATGTCCTTTAATGTCCACGGAGAGTAGGCATATTCTGGGTGATTTTACCTGTTTGAGGAAGGGGAAAACGATTTTTCTTTCTACTAATTTTTTTTTTAAATAATAGACAGGGTCTCACTATGTTGCCCAGGCTGGTCTCAAACTCCTGGGCTCAAGCAATCCTCCAGCCTCAGCCTCCTAAAGTGCTGGGATTACAGGCATGAGCCACGGTGCCCAGCCAAAATATTTAGTGAAGAACAAACTGTGTGTTCCTTGACCACAGACATACGGTTCAATTCCGCTACAACTCATTCCAAAGAACTGGATGATTCCTTTTTTTTAATTCTTTTGAAAGTACTAAAATCTTTTATATGCATTGCATTATAACGTCATTGCATTGAATACTGCTGGCAATAAGCTAGAAGTTAGAAAAACTTTGCTTTATGGTAAAATTAAGTACAATGAGATTTGATTCCTTACATTCAAGCCCCACTGATTTGTCTCTTGAAATTTAGATGAGGAGAAAACACAAATTAATTTATATTTTCAGCTAACAAGATGGCTACATGACAGCTATGGCCACAAGAAAAATTTAGACAGACTAATGTTTGAGTAACCATGGCTTCAAAGCCCCTTGCCAGTATTCTAAATTACTTTTTCTTCTTCTCCAAATTACTTGTGATTTCTCAGATTTTTTATTTAATTATTGAGTGTACAGTACATATGCTCTTTTTGTAAGGAATCTCAACTCCTTGTATTAGAAATGGGAAATAACAGATGAATCTAAATGTCTTGTTTCTTCCATGAGACTGCGCCTTCTTTCCTTTCCAATTCATGTGCTCAACACAGCACCAACCAATGACTCAGAACCTCCTAAACTCTGTACACCACATGGTCAAGCATTTTCTTTCCAGGTAGCCAAGTCTGCAGTGCCCCTTCCTCCATAAAGCCTCCAGAAATAATGACCCAAAAATAAAAAAGCAAATCCCATCACTTCCATCTAATAATGCAACATTTATGATTCTAAGTCCTCACCCACCCCACAGGATTCACGTAATCTTTTGCTTATGCAGTTTATTAAATCTATTTTCTCCATTACTTGAATGTCCCTTTCTCTCTGCCTTTGATGTTTCTCTCATGGGAAATACACACAGGGTGGTATTTTCCAAAGTGTGGGCAAAATCCTGCTGATGGTAAGCAAGATGAATTTAAAGAGATGATGGGGTCAGTATTCATTTATTCATACAGCATATATTCACTGAGGACTTACTATGAGCCAGGTGCTATTCCAGGGGCTGGGGCACACTGATGAAAAAGAGTTCGTGTCCTCATAACTTTACATTCTAGTATGGGAGACAGACAGTAAACACTAACAAATAAATAAAGGAAAAGGGCTAGACATTGTGAGGTGTCAGCAAGGAGGTGGGATCATGCAGCTAGGGTTCTTCTCAGAGAAGGCTCTCTCTAAGCAGGGATTATTTGAAGGAAGACCAGAGAACCGGACATCTAAAGATCTAGGGAAACACATTCCATAAGAGGGAGGAGTAAGTGCCAAGGTCCTGAGTCAAGCTGAGCTTGGCAAGTTCAAAAACCAGAAATAAAGCTGGTGTGGCTGGAATGCAGAAGGGAAAGAGGGAGGCGGCAGGTCTGATCCCACAGGGCCGGGAGGGCATGACCAGGAACTTCAGTGCCATCCCAACTGCAATGGGAAGGTGGAAGCAGGGAGGTGGCAATGTCAGGTTCTTGCCTTTAAAAAGTTCCTCTTAGCTGGGCTTGGTGGTTCATGCCTGTAATTCCAGCACTTGTGAGGCTGAGGCAGGAGAATCACTTGAGGCCAGGAGTTCAAGACCAGCCTGGGCAACAAAGCAAGATGCCCATCTTAAAAAAAAAAAAAAAAAAAAAAAAGTGATAAGGAGTCCAGTTAGAAGACCATTGCAGCTGGGCGTGGTGACTCATTCCTGTAATCCCAGCACTTTGGGAGGCCAAGGCGGGTGGATCACTTGAGGTCAAGAGTTCAAGATCAGACTGGTCAACAAGATGAAATGCCATGTCTACTAAAAATACAAAAATTAGCCAGGTGTGGTGATGCGCACCTGTAGTCCCAGCTACTCGGGAGGCTATGGCAGGAGAATCACTTGAACCCAGGAGGTGGAGGTTGCAGTGAGCCAAGATTGCGCCACTACACTCCAGTCTGGGCGACAGAGCGAGACTCCGTCCCCAAAAGAAAAAAAAAAAAATACCGTTGCAGTAGCCCTGCAGACGCTAATGCAGGCTTGCATTGAAATGGAAACATCAGCAGCAGTAATCTGAGGACATATTTTGGAGGAAGGACAGACTGCACTTGATGACAGATAGAATGTGGGGTGACTCTTAGTGTTCTGCCTGGGCCACTGGACAGACAGCAAGAAACTGGGGAAAGTGCGGTTCTGGGGTTAGAGAGGATCCAAACTTCTGTTCTGGAAGCAGGGACTGCCTGTTAAGAAAAACACTGGGAGACGCCCAGTGAACAGCTGTATGTGATCCCGAAGCACAGGGAAGGGGTCTGGGGCTATCCATGTGGAAGGCTGCAGCAAATGAATGGGAATGAGAGCCAAGGCGGGGGATGAGATCACTTGTTATCAGGTAGATAAAGGAGACACAAAAGCCAGCCAGGCTATGGCAAGACTTAAAGTTGTGGCAAAGCGGAGGGAAGGCAGGGAGGATGGAGGGTGGGGATATGGGAGGAAAACTGTGGAGAAATGGGATCAAAAGTCTAGAGAAGAAAATGTTTCTAGAAGTAAAGTCAACTGCATCCAATATGTGAACAAAAACAAACACATGGGGAAAGGAAGTGATTCCATTTTCAATTATCTTTTATTTTTTTGAGACAGAGTCTTGCTCTGTTACCCAGGCTGGAGTGTAGTGGCGTGATCTTGGCTCACTGCAACCTCCGCCTCCTGGGCTGAAGCAATTCTCCTACCTCAGCCTCCCTAGTAGCTGCAATGACAGGTGAGCACCGCCACACCTGGCTAATTTTTTTTTTTTTTTGTATTTTTTAGAGATAGGGTTTCGCCATGTTGGCCAGGCTGGTCTCGAACTTCTGACCTCAGGTGATACACCCGCCTCAGCCTCCCAAAGTGCTGGTATTACAGGTGTGAGCCACCATGCCCGGCTTCAATTATCGTTTTGTGAAACTACAGTAGATCCTCATTGTTGACAGACTCCATATTTGCGAATTCACCTACTCACTAAAATATACATGGAACCTTAAAACCAATACTCCTGCACAAGTTCCTAGCTAAGGGTGAGCAAGGTGACGCTCTGCATTCTTTTTTCAGCTAACATATTGTAAACAAGTGTCTTTTTCAGGGTCTATTTACTGCCACATTTCTCTTATTTTTCTGCCTTTTTTTTGACCAGGGTCTCACTCGCTCACCCAGGCTGGAGTGCAGTGGCACGATCACAGCTAACTGCAGCCTTGACCTCCCCAGGCTCAGATGATCCTCTCACCTCAGCCTCCCAAGTAGGTGGGACCACAACCACATGCTACCATGCCCAGCTAATTTTTGTATTTTTTTTTGTAGAGACGGGGTTGCACAACGTTGCCCAGGCTGGTTTCAAACTCCTGGGCTTAAGCAATCCTCTCGTTTCAGTCTCCCAAAGTGCTGGGATTACAAGTGTGAACCACCACATTTGGCCTCATTTTTGTGCTTTTTGCTGGTGATTTTTCTATTTAAAATGGTCCCAAGCATAGTGCTACAGTGCTGTCTAAGTACCTAAATGCAAAAAAAAAAAAGCTGTAATGTGCCTTAAAAAAAAAAATACACGTTAGATAAGTTTCTTCATTCAGGCATGAGTTACAGTGCTTTTTGCCATGGGCTCAATGTTAGTGAACCAACTATATATGTTAAATAAGGTAACTTTAAACACAAACACACATAAAATAAGGTTATGTATTGATTGGCTGATGAAAAGCTTGTGACCAGAGGCTCACAGGAACCCTGCCTCTCCCCTAGGAGCAACGGGTCAGTATTCACTAACTCAGTGTTCACTGTGACTAAATAGAACATAATTACCATGAATAATGAGAATGGACACTATACTGAAGAGAAAGATTCCATTGGGTATCAGCTTCCTCCTTTTTTAATGAAGAAAAAGCAGGTCTGGGGCTCTAGGCTTGACAGCAACAGTATCTAGCCAGAATCTAATACACCGCTTTTATTTTTGTTGCTTTCATTTTTACAATTGTTTCTTTTCTACAGCAAGTAGTGGTAGAAAGATAAGGCTTTCTTTTTCAGTAACTGCTAAAATTAAAAAAGAAAACAAGCAGACAATATAAAGAAAATATAACATAGAAAATAGTATAGGCTGAGCGTGGTAGCTGGCGCCTGTAATCCCAATACTTTGGGAGGCCAAGACAGGAGGACTGCTTCAGCCCAGGAGCCCAAGACCAGCCTGGGAAACACAGTGAAACCCTGTGTCTACGAAAACAACAACAACAAAAATTAGCCAGGCATGGTAGTGTGTGTCTGTAGTTCCAGCTATTCCAGAGGCTGAGGTGGGAGAATCGCTTGAGCTCAGGAAGTCCAGGCAGCAGTGAGCCGAGATTGCACCACTGCACTCCAGCCTGGGCAACACAGTGAGACCCTATCTCTTAAAAGAAAAACAAAAAAGAATACAGATGGAAATGGGTATAGCAATAGCCCTGAAGCTGCTACACAGTGGTACCTGAACAGGGCAAAACCAAGGTGACGATGAACAAGTGGAACTTGGGAAACACAACATGGGTTAAATATTTTGTTTTTGCTAGTTCAACCATTGTGGAAGACAGTGTGGCGATTCCTCAGGTATCTAGAACTAGAAATACCATTTGACCCAGCCATCCCATTACTGGGTATATACCCAAAGGATTATAAGTCATGCTGCTATAAAGACACATGCACATGTATGTTTATTGTGGCACATTCACAATAGCAAAGACTTGGAACCAACCCAAATGTCCATCAGTGATAGACTGGATTAAGAAAATGTGGTACATATACACCATGGAATACTATGCAGCCATAAAAAAGGATGAGTTCATGTCCTTTGCAGGGACAGACATGGATGAAGCTGGAAACCATCATTCTCAGCAAACTATCGCAAGGACAAAAAACCAAACACTGCATGTTCTCACTCACAGGTGGGAACTGAACAATGAGAACACTTGGACACAGGACGGGGAACATCACACACCAGGGCCTGTTGTGGGGTGGGGGGAGGGGGGAGGGATAGCATTAGGAGATATAACTAATGTAAATGACGAGTTAATGGGTGCAGCACACAATGGCACATGTATACATATGTAACAAAACTGCACGTTGTGCACATGTACCCTAGAACTTAAAGTATAATAAATATATATATATAATTTTAAAAAAAAGATTTTGTTTTTGGAGTGAGATTATATGGCCATGGATGAGAAACTCATCTTCTGCAAACCTCATTTCCTATATCAGAAACAGGGGACAACAGCATTTCATATCACTGCCACAATGATTTAATGAAATAACAGGTAAAGCAGCTCAAATGTTTGTCTCAGAACCCCTTTACTTGCTTAAAAGTTACTGAGAACCACCAAAGAGCTTCTATGTGGGTGACATCTATCACAACTTGCCATATCAGAAATTCAAATTGAAACATTCAAAAAGTAGTTGGTAATTAATTTAAAATAACTATGATAAATCCAATACATGTTTGTAAAAATACATATTTTCAAGGAACAGAACTATTTTCTCAAACAAAAACACTTGGAAGCGTGGCTTTGTTTTGCATATTTGGAAGTCTCTTTAATGTCTGACTTCACTATAGGCAGCTGGGTCTTTATAGCTGCCCCTGCATTCCATCGGTGGCCATATCGCACTTTGCAAAGCCTCTGGAAAACTCCACTAACGAGAGAATGAGAATGTAAACAGGCCAATAACGGCTTAGCATTATTGCAAAAAGAAAGTTTTAATTTCATGGACCCCCCCCATTCTGAACGTGTCTCCAAGACCCCACATGTCCCTGGAACATACTAAAATAAAGGGTTCAGAATGGTACCTCACAAGAGAAGTTCTCAATGAATACTAATTCTCTCTTCCTTTTGTTCTTAGCCTCAATGCTGTTAAAACATGACCAAGTTCAGGAGATCAAGACCATCCTGGCTAACACGGTGAAACCCTGTCTCTACTAAAAAATACAAAAAATTAGCCTGGCGCAGTGGCGGGCGCCTGTAGTCACAGCTATGCGGGAGGCTGAGGCAGGAGAATGGCGTGAACCCGGGAGGCGGAGCTTGCAGTGAGCCGAGATCGCGCCACTGCACTCCACCCTGGGCGACAGAGCAAGACTCCGTCTCAAAAAAAAAAAAAAAAAAAAAAAAACCCATGACCAAGTTAAGGCCAGGCCTTCTTCGGGTCATTATAATTATATAATATCCGGTACAGTGTTATGTGCAAAGAGGTGGTCAACAAGTATCACTGTCTTGCTCAGATGGCACTGTAACTAATTAGCTATGTGATCCTCAGCCAAGGATACTTAATCTGTTAAATCCAGAGGATCCACGAACTTGAACAAGAAAAAAGTTACATCTCTATTTTCTGACATTCAGCACTCACTTTAATTACGACTGTAGCCAATAAACCGCAATTGCACTACTAGCGCCTGTGATACTGTCACCAATAAAACAGGGATTTTTATATCATAGTATGGTTACTGCAGATATCTTGAAAAATCATATATGCTCGTGACTAATTCAAAATTATGCTAGTTATTAGACCTGTCACTAGATCTTGGTACTTTATGCATTAATAAAGAAGTACATATACTGCAGTATCACGAACTTTGAAAAACACCTTCACGGCCTATTTCAATACGGCTGTTTTCATTTTCTATCCTTTGTAATTTACTTAATTTTTATTTCTACAGTGACTTGGAACTTTGTATCGTACTTTATGCATTTAAAAACATTCTGGGCCAGGAGCGGTGGCTCACGCCTGTAATCCCAGCACTTTGGGAGGCCAAGGCGGGCACATCACATGAAGTCAGGAGTTCCAGACCAGCCTGACCAACATGGTGAAACCCCGTCTCTACTAAAAATACAAAAACTGGCCGGGCGTGGTGGCGTGCGCCTGTAATCTCAGCTACTCAGGAGGCTGAGGCAGGAGAATCGCTTGAACCCAGGAGGCAGAGGTTGCAGTGAGCCAAGATTGCACCACTGCACTCCAGCCTGGGCGACAGAGCAAGACTCCATCTCAAAATACAAACAAATAAGCAAACAAAAACACAACAAAAGCCCAAGTCTGAAGTCAGTCTTAAATCAGCATTCAAAGCTCTACTCCGTTAAGTCAGATGCTTCTAAACAACTAAAGAGCTTTAAACAAGTAAACACCTGAAGAGCTAACTAGTAATATTTCCCAAAACTGCCTTTTGTTACATCATAAAAATATATGTGATCACAAATCCCAACATGCAACAATGAGCTACTTTTCAAAGAATAAGGCTGGGTGTGGTGGCTCATGCCTGTAATCCCAGCACTTTGGGAGGCTGAGGCAGAAGGACTGCTTGAGCCTAGGAGTTCCAGACCAGCCTGGGCAACATGGTGAAACTCCATCCCTACAAAAAATACAAAAATCAACTGGTTGTGGTGGCACGCACCTGTAGCTCTCAGCTCTCAGCGGGCTGAGGCTGGAGGGTCACTTGAGCCCAGGAAGTTGAGGCAGCAGTGAGCCATGATTTTGCCACTGCACTCTATCCTGGGTTACAGAACGAGACCCTGTCTCAGAAGAAAAGAAAAAAAAATCAGCCAGGCTCATGGCTCACCCCTGTAATCCTAGCAACATGGGAGGCTTAAGGCTGAAGGAGCACACGAGGCCAAGAGTTCCAGATCAGCCTGGACAATATAGAAAGACTCCATCTTTAAAATGATTATTTTAAAAGTTTAATATTTTAAAACTTAAAAAATCAAAAAACTTAAGCCAGGCATGGTGGTGCACACCTGCAGTTCCAGCAACTTGGAAGGCTGAGATGGCAGGTTGCAGTGAGCTATGATCATACTGTACTCTAGTCTGGGCTGTGGAGTGAGGCCCTGTCTCAAAAAAAAAAAAAAAAAAAAGAAAGAAAGAAAGAAAAGAAAAGAAAAAAAAGCTTTGCAAAGAATCCATAGTCAACCTAATCTGGGGCTATTCTTTACATAATGGCTTGTGTGGAAGCAAACTTAAAAATAAATGTTTTTATAATCAGACTATTCTGGATATTTATCACTAATGTTTGCTTAAAAGTGTTTTATATCTTCATATGCTCAAACAGAAAAAAGAGAGAGAAAAGAGAAACAAAGAAAGAAAAAAGATGAGAAAAAAGCACATTTTCCACGTCTCCAGGGAAGAACACTTAGCCACTGAGCACTTAACACTGGGGTACTAGAGCACCATAAGTTTAAAGAATCAAATAGATCAGTCACTTCACTTGATAACACACAGAAACCATTGAGATCCACTTAATGCTAGAGCCTGAGCCAACACTGCTGTTTAAGAACTAAGAAAGCCCAGACAGGCTGCATTTCAGTCCCTGTAGAAACATCTAGGATATGTCAGGAACAGCCAAGAGTGGCACCAAGATAAAATATGACAGTAGCGACTGCCAGCTTCAGCAGGCACAATTCATACTGAGTCCAAAGCTCTATCCTCACACAGACTAGCTCTGCAGAGGCACACTCCTCTTAGAGCACAACAGGCAAAGTCATAGCTAGCTCTGAGTCATCCAAATGCTTCAACATGACTATCCTACGGTTCCTTCATCCAGAAACCAAATCTGACCAGTACACACTTAGAGAAGTCCAGAAAGCCAATTTTCCCAACTATATTTAAGAAAGTCTGTCTGCTCCATGCTTCCTTGTTTTCTCAGCAGAATATCTCATTCTCTTACTTGCAGAGATAAAGACAGAGTGGAGGCTCTCCCTTCCTCCATCTAACCAAACAAAATTCAACTCATATTGGGGTGAATGAGATGTTATGCCTAATGGGAAGAAAAAGAAGAGGAAAAAACTGCATTCAATTACCAGACAAGCTAGGTTAGTGTACTTTAGAACGGCACCCCAACATCAAGGACAAGCAAACTGAATGCACTAATACCTGGTACACCTGTTGAGTGCTAGGAATACAAAACCACAATGGTCTGATTCACTGAACCCAAGGATGGCACAGTCCAGGAACTGCGAGGAAGAAGCAAGGAGGTTTGGGACAGTCTGACAAATAGCAAATTTGAAGAAGGGAGTAGGAATGGATTTGAGCCCTCAAGGAAAGGTGAGCTGTCTGAGGCAGAGTTGGGAGGGCACTCCTGGCAGGGACAGGCACAATGGGAGCAAAGTCCCAAAGGAGGGACTCTGCAGGGTATGTTGCACAACAGTGGGAAGGGCAGTTGGTCTGCATTGGAGAGCTAGTGAAAGAAGCCTCGAGAGATAATGCTGAAGATAGGCTGAACCAGATTATAGGAACCTTGGAACGGAGGCTCAGACTTTATCCTGTTGACCACGAGAGACTTCCAAGCAGGGAGGTGACATAAACATAAGCAAGGAGGTGACAAAAACAATGAGTTTTAGCAATAAGCAATGGAGATTTCTCTCTTCAGTTAATTTATCCCAACTGTGGGTCCTTTTGTCAAACCCAGACAAACCAGAATCTATGTCTGGTGAAATAAGTGTTCAGAATTATATCCTGGAGCAGTTTCCCTAACACCTAGGCCCTGGAAATGCAATCCAAATATTTTACACACACACACACACACACACACACACACACAATTTCCACCCATATTTCCATATACATATATATATACACACACACACATATACGCATATATACATATATATGTATATACATATATACATATATGTGTGTGTATACGTGTGTGTGTGTGTGTATATATATATATACGTATATATATGTATATATAGTTTTTTTTTTGAGATCGGGTCTCACAGTATCACCCAGGCTGGAGTGCAGTGTCGTGATGGGGGCTCGGTGCACCCTCAACCTCCCAGGCTCAAGCTATCCTCCCACCTCAGCCTCCTCAGTAGCTAGAACCACAGGCACAGGCGACCATGCCCGGCTAAATTTTTTTCGTATTTATTGTAAAGACCCGTTTGCCATGTTGCTATGCTAGTTTTGAACTCCTGGGCTCAAGCAATCCTCCTGCCTCTGCCACCCAAATTGTTGGGATTACAGACGTGAGCCATCGCACCTGGCCCAAATATTTTTCTTGACTGATAAGTGACACAGTAAACTGACTCCAGAACATAAAAACAAAATATTAAAAACAATTATACTTGCTCCTAGGACTATGGCAATAAAAACCACATTTTTGAAACATGTTTGCATTAATTACCCTCAACTGAATAGTTTTGAAAAGAGCTTTTAATCCTGATAAAATTAGAGTTGATAACATTTCTGTAGTGATTGGGCATTGTAAATATGCTTTCATCTAGGGGCCAGGTGAGGTGGCTCATGACTGTAATCCCAACACTTTGGGAGGCCGAGGCAGGCGGATCACCTGAGGTCAGGAGTTTGAGACCAGCCTGGCCCAGATGGCGAAACCTGGTTTCTACTAAAAATACAAAAATTAGTCAGGTGTAGTGATGCAAGCCCGTAATCCCAGCTACTCGGGGAGGGGGGCTGAGACAGGAGAATTGCTGGAACCTAGAGGTGGAGCTTGCAGTGAGCCGAGATTGCGCCACTGCACTCCGGCCTGGGCGACAGAGTGAGACTCCCTCGTCAGTCCGTCTCAAAAACAAACAAACCAAAAAAAAAAAAAAAAAGAGCCCTGAGGCAGAAGCAACATCTCTACCCATTTCTGAGATGCAGCTAAGGGAGAGACTAAGATTCTAAAAGCAACTTAAGAGCAAAAAAGAAAATGTCTTTTGAATTGAGGGAAAACAAAAAATAATAAATATATAAAGGATCACAACCTAAGAATAATATAGTAAATATGAGACTGTTAAAAAACAAAACAAACAACAACAAAAAACCCTGACTCCTGGCTACAGAGTTGAAAAGCCCCTAGACACGTTGAGTAGCTCTTAATTGAGACTGCACTTCATTAACCAGTGAGGTGAGGAAAAACAGGACCTCAGTAAGGGAGTAAAGTCAAAGACTAAATTACAAACAGGCCAAATGAATGGATCTGAGAGGAAGTGATAAAATTCGCAACACACTCAGCCGTGTTTATTGTAGGGAATCACCCCAGGTCTAACTGCCATTGTAATCACCCCGTTCAGGGCAGAAGTCTTCCCACAGGCCCTCAATAACTTCAATCCTTGATAAAAAGCCAAAGGAGCCTGACTTTCCACCTGGGTCAAAATCCCCGCACATCTATTGTTTCGGAGCCAAAGCACCACCACCAGCAACCCCTGCGCACAACCCGGGGCTCTCCAGCACCGCTGTTCTGAATGCCAAGTGCCCAGCACGGGGTCTGGCACAGTTTCCTTAATAAAATGTCCTCTTCTCGTCTCCAGGATGAAACTCAGGATCCGGAAGGCAGCCTTACACCCTCTCCAGACAGGCTCCGTTAGGGGATGAGTGCGCACAAACAGCCCCAGGGGCCAGCCACCCCCTTCCCGTGCCACAACTTCCTGTCCCTTCCATCACTTCCACGCCACGACTCTAGTTTCCATCCAGCTCACAACTGTCATCAAGATCCCAGTCTCTGGAGGAAAGGGGGCAGGGCGGCTTTCCACCCTCAACTCCTCACTTAAGGGGCGTCTGAGAAGAACCTACGAAAGCGGGGGGCAGAAAGCACTGGGACAATGAGCACCAGTCCATGTGCCGACCCGGGCTGGTCACCTACTCCCAGGTGAAACCCACGCTGGGCGCACCGGGGCGAGCCACAGAGCTGCGGCCCCAAAAGAGCAGCAGGCGCGCCCCCCTCGCGTTGACATTTCCCTGGTGTGAAGTGCCGGAGATTGGGATGCAAGAGCGGGATTACGGTCCCGAAGCTCAGCTGCACTTGGAAGCACTCGGAGTCCCCAAACCCTGGGCGACTTCCCCATCGGCGCTCCCTGGAGAGGACTCCTACCGTCCCCGGCTCCCAGAGCTGCGCAGCCGGGCCGAGCCCCCGGCCAGGGTCCTCCGCCGGGCTCTGCGCAAACCTGGCAGGGCCGCTGTCCGCGAACTTGGCCGCGTGGGTCGGGCCGGGACAAGGTGGGGCGCGCACTCACCAACCCCGTACTTCTGCCTCTTGGTCGGGATCCAGCGGGCCATGGCGGCGACCTCGCCCCGCGGCGGCGGCGACTAAGGCTGCTACAGCTCCTCGGGCTCCGGCCGCCGCCGCCCCGCGCTCCTGCGTGCCCCAGACGCTTCCGCCATGTTCCGCCAAACTTCGCTGGACTCCGCGGGCCGCCTCCTCGCCGCGCCGCCCGCGCCCGTGCCCGTGCCCGCGCCGCCCGCGGTCACCTGCTGGGCCGGGCTGCAGCGCAGCAGTGCGCGCCCCTCCTGGCGCCGCCCCAGTCCCTCCCGCCGGCCGCACCCTCCGCCCGCCGGGGCCGCCTCCGAGCCGCGGGCGCCCGGCCTCTCCCGCCCGCGCCGCTCTCTGCGCTCTGCCGGGCGGGGGCCGACTGCGGCTCCGCCTCGCGCGCTTCCCTGGAGCGGCTTCCTGGGCCGGCGGGACTTTGACGCTGGCGGCACTTTGCCTTTCTCCCGCCCTCCCCACCCGGCTGATACCCCGGAGGCTGGGTCCCGGGGGTCCGGCTCCCGACAGAGGGCTGCGCTGGAGGAGCCGGGCACGCCCAGGCCGGGCGGCCGGTGGGCGAGGGATGCGGGCTGCGCTCCCACGGCGCGCGCCGGACACTTGGGGAGCGGAAACGGATCAGCGAGAGCGGCTTCTTGCTCGGGGCACCTCCGGTGCCTGGCACTAAGCGGGCGCGCAATAAATATTTGTTGAATGAATGAGCAGTTGACTTCTGCCTTCACCCCCTGGAGCTTGAACCCGCGCCGCGAGCGGGAGAAGCCGGACTCAGGGCAGACTGAATCTCCCGGGGCCACCGCTTAGAGCCTGGAAAGCAGAACTTTTATCACCGGAGAGCTGGTGCAAGGGAGGTGGGCTCCTCAGAAGTATCAGACCGTTTGCTAGGGGATCCTCTGCAGGGAAATTGTTTAGAAAGCCCTAATTTGGAAGTCCTGTATCCCCAAACTCCGGGGACCCCCCAACCTTAAGCTGAAGAAACTTAGACCCTCATGCCCAGACCTCCCTTTCCCAACCAGCCAGCAGCCCAGAGAGCATTCCCGTGGAGAAAGGGCCAAGGCGCATCCCCGTCTTTTCTCCGTCAACGACTGCCTTTTCTTGACGAAGATCCCAAAGGGGCTGCGCATTTGAACCGCCTTGGGCTCCAGGTGGCGCCCTCTCTGGAGCTCCCCTCTTGGAATTCATTTCTTCCTGGAGAGACTTGGAGAATGAAGATCCAGGGGTTTCTCCCTACCTTGTACCGAGAAGTAACATTGCAAGTAGAGTAAATGACCAGCTTAATTACGTTCACCTTCGAAGAAGATTCCTCTAGAGAGAAATTATATCCTCCTTGCAGCCTGTGAAGGTTTTCATGCGTTTTAGGAATATAAAAGAAAGGAAGACAAACATGTAGTAAAGATAGTAAAGACAGGTAGTTGGCCAGGCGTGGTGGCTCATGCCTGTAATCTCAGCACTTTGGGAGGCCGAGGCGGGTGGATCACCTGAGGTCACGAGTTCCAGACCAGCCTGGCCAACATGGTGAAACCCCTTCTCTACTAAAATACAAAAGTTAGCCAGACGTGCTGGTGTGCTCATGTAATCCCAGCTACCCAGGAGGCTGAGGCAGGAGAATCGCTGGAACCCGGGAGGCAGAGGCTATAAGTGAGCCGAGATCGCGCCACTGCACTCCAGCCTGGGCAACAGGGCAAAACTCCGTCTAAAAAAAAAAAAAAAAAAAAAAGACAGTAAAGATAGATAGGCAAACAAGGTAACAAGATAGTAAAGTTTCATTGGAGAATTAGTGCATTTTAACTTTGGTGGTTTTTTACCAAACGAGGTCTGAAATTTTTTTTAAGTCCTATTCACGGTGGGTAACTACTAGAGCTGGCTTTTTTTTTCTCCATCAACCAATAGGTATTTATTCACAATGTTTAACAATAATTTAAGAAATTCCTCTGTCACTTTAGACTTGACATCCAGAAAGAATTCCACCATCTTCCCTAAAATAATTTATCTTCCTCCATTAGTATATCATGATTCTAATTTCCCAGGTTAGGTAATTTCTTCTTCCTTCTTCACACACATATTAAATGCCTACACGTTAAGTGCCAGGCATCACTCTAAGAATGAGGGTGCAGCGGTGAATACAGTAGAATGTGTCCCTTCACAGAGCTTCTAGTCTAGACGGGGAGAGTAAGACAGTAAAGAAATGTACACCAAACGAGAGTAAACATTAGAGAAAAATCCAAAGCAGGGAGGATAGGGCGTGTAGGGTGCTGCTGTTTTTATGGAGTGGTCTGGGAATGCAGCTCTGCTAAGCTGAGGTTGAGGTGTAGACCTGAAGGAAGTGAAGATTCCGGGAGAAAGTATTCTGGAAAAGAGGAACAGCAAAGGCAAAGGACACCAAGCGTGTTTGGCAGGTTCCCAGGTCACCCAGAGATCCTAGGTAATGAGAGCTGAGTAACAGGTGAGAGGAAACTTGGTCTAAGAGGCAGAGGAATGCCAGATAGAGCAGAACCCTGGCAGGCATATGGACTTTATATATTACTACTACAAGCGAGGTTTGGAGGGCTTTGAGCCAACCTGGAACATATTGAACTTGCCTGCTGTGGTATGAATCCATTGTAAAGGGGCAAGGGAGGCCCACATGGATGGATGTTGGGGGCTATTTCAGTCATTCAGGCAAGACATGAAGGTAGTTGGGTCCAGGAGGATAAGGATGGAGGTGAAAAAGATGTTGGGTTCTTGACATACGTGAAAATAGAGCCTGGCCAGATGTGGTGGCTCACACCTGTAATCCCAGCATTTTGGGAGGCTGAGGTGGGAGGATTGCTTAAGGTCAGGAGTTCAAAATCAGCCTGGACAACATAGTGAGACCCTCCTCTACTATATATATATCCTGGGCATGGTGGCTGTGCCTGTGGCCCTATCTACTCAGGAGACTGAGGTGGGAGGATTGCTTGAGCCCAGGAGGTCGAGGCTAGCAGTGAGCTATGATTGCATCACAGCATGAAAAAGAACCAAGAGGAGGGCCACATGAACGGCAGGGGGATCTACTACTGTGAGGCTTCAATCTTTTTTGGAAAGTTTTCCCCCAGAAAGAGATATGCTTGTATTTTTCTTTTTTTTTTTAAAGAGCCCTACCCGTATCGTACACCCTTCAGGCCCCACACACCTTGGTTCTTGTCCCTGCATGTGAGATACAAGCTGGGTCAAGAATGACTCTAAAGCCAGCTAGGTCGCACATGCCTGTAGTCCCAGCTGCTAGGGAGGCTGAGGCAAGAGGATTGCTTGAGCCCAGGAGTTCCAGGCTGCAGTGAGCTATGCTGATCAGGTGTCTGCACTAAGTTCCGCATCAATATAGTGACATCCTGGGAGCAGGCGACCACCAGGTTGCCTAAGGAGGGGTGAACTGGTCCAGGTCAGAAATGGAGCGGGTCAATTATTTGGAAAGCCCTAATTTGGAAGTCCTATATCCCAAAACTTCGGTACTCCTCCTTAGCTGAAGAAATTCAGGCCCACATATCCAGGGGGAAATCTACCCCAAGACCTCCCTTTTCCAACCAGCCAGCAGCCCAGAGAGCATCCCTGTGTAGAAAGCAACTGGATGCATCCTTGTCTTTTCTCTGTCACTGACTGCATTATTGACAAAGATCCCGTAGCCGGGACTTCACATTTGAACTGCCTCAGGCTCCAGGTGGCACCCTCTCTTGAGCTCCCCTTCTGATCAATAATGGGATGGCACCTGTGAATTGGCACTGCATTTCAGCTTGGACAACATAGCAAGACCCTGTCTCTAAACAAATATTAATTCAAAACAAAAAGAGTGACTCTAAGGTTTGGGGCTTGAATAGCAAGGGAGTAGAGTTGCCATTGTCTTGGTCACCATTTATATCTATCTTGTCTTCACCCTTTCCTGTCCCAGTTGCTCTGTATCAAAGTTTTCCTTTCAATATTTCTTTAGGACCCACTTCTTCACGCCTTCCTCAGCAACTTCTCCATGTGGCCCCTTAGGAGCTAAAGCGCTCTGCACTGGATTATATGACTTGCCTGTTGTGGACTCAGGGCTTCTCAAAGTTACATGAATTCTCCGTGCTTAGGGAAATTGGATGACCTCTGTTCTCTGACCAAAGGTATATTTCAAATGTACCATACATCAGAATGTTAATGCTCTTATCCAGTGGAACTGGGTTTCTACCAAAGCGATTTCAACTGCCTCATCCCACTTTTGCATTGAAGTCTTCTTCTTCCAAAACTAGAGGTTTGAATTTGGGTGCCAGAGATTTCAAATTTGACAATGGCTTTAAGAGAGTTGGAGGAAAATGGAAAATTTTAATTACAGCTTTCAGTATGTTTATCATTTCCTTTTGAAAACTGAAATCCACTCACTTTGCTATATCAGATGGCTAAATCCTAGTGTGAATGTCCTTTTAAATCATAAAAGCAGAGCTTTTCAAAGTCTTTTATTAGAATGAGGCTTAAAATTAGACAGTTAACCAGACAGGCAGTTGGAATGACAGCGTGATGCCCAGAAATACCCTTTTTTTTTCCTCTGATATCTTTTCAGAAGAAACATTAAGCATATTCCACAGAGATCTTCAGACTCCAAAACCCACACAAATACAAACACACTTAAGCACGCACAGACACTCACAGGCTCTGCTTGAAGGAGCCATGGAGAAAGAAATGAGGGTAAGTGGCTTTGAGGGTTAGTTTGACATGAGTATTGTGACTAACCCTTACAATGCCTTAGAGAATAAATGGACAGGATGTGAAGAGAACTGGCAAGAGCCTCACCTCCCTGTTGATTACCAGGCTTGTTTTTGCCAAATCAGGCTGGTCTGATGGCTTCTCTATGAGATGCTGTGGAGTCGTTTAAAGTGTCTTTTTTCTCTCTCTCTCTAGATAAAAGAAGATTATTCTGTGATCCTATACGAGTCAGTGGCTAATGGAACTACCAAAAAAATGATAACAATGCAAATAATGTAATTGGTTCTAAGCAGTGCTTTGCAGGCTCCTAAGGATGGTTCTAAGTAAGCCAGGAGTAGGTGATACATTGTAATTCTGGGACCCATGAGCTTAGCAGGACAAAGGAAACCATGAATCACCCTAGTCCCAGAAGTACCTTTTCATAGGCCCCAGGGATTCCAACATCATTATTCACTCTCCACTCTGCAAGTGACTTAGGTCGTGAGCATCTCTGAGTCTGCACAGGCTCTGCCATGTGGCTGTGGGGGTCCGGCTTCTCTGATGGATGGGAAGATAATGCTCGGGGCTCCAATGCTATTATCTCCTCATCTCTGTCACAAGGAGATTTATACTTATGATTTACCCTTTTCATGAACATGGGAAAATTCTTTTTTCTAGTGTTGTTTCTGGAATGTTCTTTGCTGTGTCTAAATGAGCTGATTCCACTGTTGGGAGAGGTGGATGATGTGAGCAGTAAGAAGGCATTAGTTTCTTGAAAACTAGATCCATATTTAGGTGAGATGAAATCAAACTACCTGATTTTAAAAAAAACAAACTATGTTTATTTACCGTATGTCTTGATTCCTATATACATTGAAAAATTATATTCATAAAACTGTTTAAAATAAGAGATGATGGGCTGGACGCAGTGGCTCATGCCTGTAATCTCAGCACTTTGGGAGGCCAAGGCGGGCAGATCACTTGGGCCCAGGAGTTCGAGACCAGGCTGGGCAACACGGCAAAACCCTGTTTCTACAAAAAATGCAAAAATTACCAGGGTGTGGTGGTGTGTGTCTGTAGTATCAGCTACTCAGGAAGCTGAGGTAGGAGGATTCCTTGAGCCCAGGAGGTGGAGGTTACAGTGAGCTGATGTGGCACCATTGCATTCCAGCCTAGGTGACAGGGGGACCCTGTTCCCCCTGCCAAAAAAAAAAAAAAAAAAAAAAAAGAACAAAAAGAGAGATGATGAAAACTTAGAAGAAATGTGGAAAATGTATAATGTAGGCATAAATGAAAATAATTAGATTGTCTATGCCGCAAAATGATTGTAGCTATAGAAAGTCATAGATTTACAGGGAAAATGACCATAGAAGAACATGAATAAATGACAAATTTTATTCAACCTTCTTCAAAACAAAATAAAGAAAAATACTTGATTGCTGAAGTCTCTGGGCTATGTAGCAAGAGTAGGAAGTTATTTGCCTAAATCTGATCATTTTTTGTGACAAGAGTGAAGTTTCACTCTTCAGTTCCTTGGGCACACGGACACTATGACTATCTTGTTTAGACGACTGTCATATTCAGCAGATTTTTCTTCCTGTTTGTGGTCAGTTAAGAAAACAAGCATTTAATCCAGAACTTGTATTTAATACCAGAACGATTTTATTTTTTCACAGCCACCAACTGTAAAGTAACAATAATAACTGCGTATGAAGTAATGAGTACTGGCTCCAAATCACCTTGTTTAATCCCCATACAACCTAATGAGGTAAATATAACTCTCCGGTCATTCCCACCTCACAAATGTGGCTTAGGAGGTGTCCAGAAATTACCTACATAATTAATTAGTGGCAAAATAAAATCCAGACCCAGACAGCCTGACTCCAGGGTCCATGCTCTAAAGCAGAGGTCTGCAAGCTTTTGCTATAAAGGCCCCACTATGGATAGTTCCCAGGCTTTGCAGGCCATATGGCCTTGTTGCAACCACTCAACTCTGCAGTTGTAGCAGGGAAGCCTCTATGAGCAATACATACAATGAATTGAGTGTGGTTGTGTCCCAGTAAAACTTCATTAGTTGTGTTAGATCAAGTTTAGACTAAACCTGCCTCCTTACATATTTTAAGTTCAGCCTAAAGGTTTCTCTGTACATAGCGAACTATAATCTCAATGGAAGTGTAAACAGACCAAAACCTATTCTTGTGCCAATCACTGAGTTTTGGCCAATCAGAGGAGGCAAACTGTTAAAACTGTCTTCAAATAAGGTAAACGCCCAGCTGCTGAGCTGTAACCAATCCGCCTGTTTCTGTACCCCATTTCCGTTTTCTGTACCTCATTTCTGTTTTCTGTACATCACTTTCCTTCTTCTGTTATAAATCGTCTTCCACCACGTGGCTGCACTGGAGTTGCTGAGCCTACCCCGGCTCAGGAGGCTGCCTGATTCTCAAGTCGTTCTTTGCTCAATTAAAGTATGTTAAATTTAATTTGGCTATGGTCTTTCTTTTAACAGTAGATTTGAAATTTGAATTTCATGTATTTTTATGCATATGAAATATTATTCTGGCCAGGTGCAGTGGCTCACCCCTGTAATCCCAGCAGTTTGAATGGCCGAAGTGGGCAGATTGCTAAAGTCCAGGAGTTCAAGACCAGCCTGGGCAACATGAAGAAATCCTGTCACTACAAAAAACACAAAAATTAGATGTGTGTTGGCACACACATGTTGTTCCAGCTACTCAAGAGGCTGAGGTGAAAGGATCACTTGAGCCTGGGGAGGTTGACCTTGTAGTGAGCTGCGATTGTTGTGCCACTGCACTCTAGCCTGGGCGATAAGAGTGATACCTTATCTTAAAAAAAGGAAAGGAAAGAAAAGAAAAGGAAAGGAAAGAAAAGAAATATTATTGTTTATCCTTCTTTTGATGTTTTTCTTTATCATTTAAAAATGTAAAAAACATTCTTATCTTGGCCAGGCGTGGTGGCTCACCCCTGTAATGCCAGCACTTTGGGAGGCTGAGGCGGGCGGATCACGAGGTCAGAAGATCGAGACCATTCTGGCTAATATGGTGAAACCCCGTCTCTACTAAAAATACAAAAATTAGCTGTGTGTAATGGCATGTGCCTGTGGTCCCAGCTACTCAGGAGGCTGAGGCAGGAGAATGGCTTGAATCTGGGAGGCAGAGGTTGCCGTGAGCAGAGGTCACACCACTGCACTCCAGCCTGGTGACAGAGCGAGACTGTCTCAAAAAAAAAAAAAAAAATTCTTATCTTTATCTTATCTTTATCTTGCAGGCTGCGCAGGAGCAGGTGGTGAGGCAGAGTTGGCTCTTGGGCCTTAGTTTGCCAATCCCTGCTCTACACTATGACTGTCACCCCTTTAGGTGGGTGGGAAGGCTGGGGGCCTCCAGAAGGAGCAGCATAACTAAGGAAGCATGTGTGGTGCTTTCCCACTGGAAGTCTGTTTGCATAAGGATTTGTGAGAAGCCCTTGGAAAAAAAGTCATGGGAAGAGGAGGACTCCAATAGTAAAAGTTGCCATAGAAATCAGAGGATGGGGGCACTTCTGAGAGCAGTGAATATCGTGTGTTGGGGAATTGTCTACTGGCCTAGCCCTTTGAACTCTATTCCCAGTGATAAGAACTATAAATATAAAACTTGGCTGGTCACAATGGCTCATGCCTGTAATCCCAGCACTTTGGGAGACTGAGGCGGGAAGATTACCAGAGGTCAGGAGTTCGAGACCAGCCTGGCCAACATGGTGAAACCTCGTCTCTACTAAAAAGACAAGAATTAGCAGAGCATGGTGGCACACGCCTGTAGTTCCAGCTACTTGGGAGGCTGAGGCAGGAGAATCGCTTGAACATGGGAGGTGGAGGTTGCAGTGAGCGGAGACTGTACCGCTGCACTCCAGCCTGGGCGACAGAGTAAGAGTGTCTCAAAAAAAAATTTTGACTAAGCCCTGGTAAGATAGCAACACACAAACAATGCTTTGGTACCCACTGAACAAGCAGGCTTCTACAGAGGGGAGTGTGGCATTCTCATGGGTATCCCAATGGAAAAGACATGGGGCCTGCCTGAGATAAGGGTGCTAGAAGGAGGTATGACAACATCTATTAAAATATTTGCAAGGCCGAGTAGATATTGGTGATACCACCTGGTGAAGGTCAGAGCAGAAAAAAACAAAATAGCCCAACTGATTTGTGAGTACTCAGATATACACCCTGAGATCTTCCAGAAATACCTGAAGGAGGCTTGAAAAGGAGGTGGGGGTGATGAAATCGTAGAACCAGCTCCAGATGGATAATGTTCCTAAACACTTTCGTGTTCATTATCTCACTGAGATTGGGACAGCTATTTGTTGTCTCTAATTGGTCCTTGTCCTCAGAATTCATGTTTTTGAATGTCAGTCTTTACCCTCTTGGGAGAAACTACATTTAGTGTAGAATTGTTATAGCACCAATAAAAGTGACTTAAAGTTTTAGGGAATGTTCATTTGGATGGCCAGATTTTGAATTTCTTAGTAGATGTTTTGAAAGGCAGCATTTTAATTAAGCAACTATGTGATTGCAATACTCCCTCATAATAGCCAAACTACACATCTTTAATATTAAAATGTAGGCTATGCTATTACAGTTTGGGGTTTGGGTTTTTGTGTGTGTGTGTGTGTAATCTCCAATCTCAAAGTCTGGCTTCACCCCAGGGTTGTCTGTGTCATATTTGAGCAATATTTCTGAACTCACTTCATTCAAAATAACAAGGAATCTTTGAATACTTTGCAGCAATTACCTGGCTTGGCTGAATCAGGAAGACAGGGCCCTAGGGTTCATACTTACATAGTTTCTTAGTCATGTACTGTGGCATAAAGTTCCTATTTAAACAAGCCCTTCCCTCCCATGAAATTATGCCCCAGGGTTTTTTCCCCTGAATGACTTATAGCACATACGCAAAAAGTCTCATAAGAGGAGAGAAAACTCGCTTAGGTTCTTCCTGGATGCAAACTCCATTTAGAAATGATGTGATGATTAATGTCAGTCCTTGTTAACTTTGGGCTTGGCCCCCACAGCAAGAGCTGGGCAAACGCTGGCCCTGGAAGTTACATTTTTATTTCTCCTGTGAATTGCCAAAAAGGCCTCTCTTGAACACAGTCTTCTTATTTGTAAAATTGTTGTTGTGATGTGTTGCCTGGGTACAAATGTTAGAATTCTTCAGGATGGTGTATTATTTGAAGACAGGAAATTCCACCTCAGTTTACCTAGAATGTGAAAAATAGGAAAATTCAAATGACCATGTATTTTACTTAATATTCTGTAAGCTATTTGAGTAGAAACATAGCAATAAAATGAATATACTTTTAGTGAATCTAGTCAAGAATAAAAGAAAAACACAAATAGATGTAATTAATTAAAAGGGTATGGGACCATAGAAAAGCAACTTACGTAAGACTAGGATGTGCAGTATAGTTCTTACATAATAAATTGTAAAGATCACAATAAAAACAGAACTCATTAGGAAAATGTAAATAAACAAAATTGAGCCAAGAAATAGAAAACCTGAGCCAACGAAACAGCATAAAAGAAATTGAAAATGTGGTCAAAATACTATAGCTAAAAAATGTGCCAGGCCTAGCTATAAAGACAAATACTTTTGTACGTTCAGGGAACAGGTCAGCTAAATGTAATATAAACCGTTTCACAGAAAATGATAGAGTGAGGACGGGCGTGGTGACTCACATCTGTAATCCCAGCACTTTGGGAGGCCTATGTGGGTGGATCATTTTAGGTCAGGAGTTCAAGACCAGCATGGACAACATAGCAAAACCCTGTTTCTGCTGAAAATACAAAAAAAATTAGCTGGGTGTGGTGGCATGCGCTTGTAATTCCAGCTACTTGGGAGGCTGAGGCACGAGAATCACTTGAACCCAGGAGACGGAGTTTGCAGTGAGACGAGATCCACATTACTACACTCCAGCTTGGGTAATGAAGTGAGGCTCTGATTCAAAAAAAAAAAAAAGGAAAAGAAAAGTTTGTTTTATGAAACTAGCCTAACCCTGGCAGTAAAGAATGCTAAAATATGGAGCCGAAAATATAAACATGTATTTGTATAAATGTAATACAAATTCAGCTATAAACAGAGATGCAAAAGTAAAGAAAATATTAGTGAATCTCATATTGTTCTGCATGAAAAGAATGATACAGGATGACTAAATACGTTTTATTCTTTTTTTTTTTTTTTTTGAGATGGAGTCTCACTCTGTTGCCGAGGCTGGAGTGCAGTGGTGTGATCTCGGCTTATTGCAACCTCTGCTTCCCGGGTTCAAGTGATTCTCTTGCCTCAGCCTCTCCAGTAGCTGGGATTACAGGTGCCTGCCATCATGCCTGGCTAATTTTTGTATTTTTAGTAAAGACAGGGTTTC
This sequence comes from Homo sapiens, assembly GCF_000001405.40. Taxonomy (NCBI): domain Eukaryota; kingdom Metazoa; phylum Chordata; class Mammalia; order Primates; family Hominidae; genus Homo; species Homo sapiens. Next base: position 25,173,858 of record NC_000008.11, on the reverse strand, counting down.
ACCATGTTGGCCAGGTTGGTCTTGAACTCCTGACCACAGGTGATCCACCCTCCTCCACCTCCCAAAGTGTTGGGATTACAGGCGTGAGCCATGGCGCCCAGCTATAAGTTTTATTCTTAAAGTACAAGAGAAGTTCAATAATAGGAAACTTATCAATAGAATTCATTTCATCAAAAGGTCAGTAGAGAAAAGCCAAATGATTATCTGGATTGATACGTAAAAGGGATTTGAAAACACTCATTCTTGATCCAAACCCTTAGTAAACTAAGAACAGGCTATACCTCCTAAACATGATAGAGTATATATTACTAATAGAAACAAGCAGCCAGCATCACACTTAAACGTGAATTGCCATGAATTCCTATTAATCAGAAATAAGAGAAGAATGTCCTATCACAGCATAGTGAAAGCAGTATCCAGAGGTTGCTCTATCCCATGCAAGGAAATAAGAGACATTAATTGTCAATATTTGCTCATGACATAATTCGCTAGTAGAATCAACAGCGAATATTTTTGATTAGATCAGAATTCCTTTTTTTTTTTTGGACACAGGATCTCACTTTGTCACCCAGGCTGCAGTGCACTGGCACGATAATAGCTCACTGCAGCCTCAACCTCCCAGGTTCAAGCGGCCCTCCCACCTCAGTTTCCCTAGTAGCTGGAACTTCAGGCAAGAGGCACTATGTCCAGCTAATTATTTTTTAATTTTTTGTAGAGATGGGGTGTTGCTCTGTCTCCTAGGCTGCAGTGCAGTGGCATGATAATAGCTCACTGCAACCTTGAACTTCTGGCCTCAAGCAATCCCCTAACCTTGGCCTCTCAAAGCACAAGGACTACAGGCATGAGCCACTGTTCGTGGTTGAATAAATCAGAATTGTATCATGTTTAAATTTTTTCTCTTGTTTTGAAGTACATGTAAAGGGACTTCTCAGGCTATATATATAATATATTATAAAAAAATATTATATATAATACATTATATGTATTATATATTATATATAAATATATAATATATAATATATAATATATTTATATAATATATTTATATAATATATTTATATAATATATAATATATTATATAAATATATTATATATTATAAATATATAATATATAATATATGATATATAATATAAATACATATTTTATTTTATATAGTATATATTTATTATATAAAATATATATAATATATATTTATTTATATATTATATAATATATAAATATATATAATATAAATTATATAAATGTATATAATATAAATTATATGAATATATATAATACAAATTATATATAAATTATATAAAATATATATTATGTTATATATAACACATAATATATTATGATATATAACACATAATATATTATGTTATATAAAACATAATATATTACAACATATAACATACCATATAACATACCGTATAACATATTATATGTTATATATGAAATATATAACATATTGTCTGTTATATAGGAAATATATAACATATTGTCTGTTATATAGGAAATATATAACATATTGTCTGTTATATAGGAAATATATAACATATTGTCTGTTATATAGGAAATATATAACATATTGTCTGTTATATAGGAAATATATAACATATTGTCTGTTATATAGGAAATATATAACATATTGTCTGTTATATAGGAAATATATAACATTGTCTGTTATATAGGAAATATATAACATATTGTCTGTTATATAGGAAATATATAATATACGTTATATAGGAAATATATAATATACGTTATATAGGAAATATATAATATACGTTATATAGGAAATATATAACATATACGTTATATAGGAAATATATAACATATACGTTATATAGGAAATATATAACATATACGTTATATAGGAAATATATAACATATATACGTTATATAGGAAATATATAACATATAATATACATTATATATGAAATATATAACATAATATATAAAATATACTAATGTGATTCATTAAATTTACTAATTTGCTATTATTGTAATGTATGATATTTCAATTCTGCAAATTCCGTTTTCCTCTCTGAATTTATTCATCTTTAAACACAGAAGAGACTCTAACTTGCAAATAATTTGTTACGGAAAAGTTTAAATAGGTCAACCCGATTGTTGTTCTTCTGCTTGTCACTGGGGTACTCTCTGGGTGGAAATCAGTCTTTGCAGTGGGTTACATGGTGTCATACTGAACCCTTCCAGCAAGGCAGATGCCAAGGCCCCCATAAAAGGCATTTGGAGGACCTCACAGTTCACCTCCCAGCCCAGTGGCAGCTGACAGCCCTGCCCCTGTGGTTGGCATGGTGTTGCGGTCTCTGTCAACATTATCCTTTCTGCACTAACCACAGAAGTCTGGTTGCAATGGAGACTTTAGTGGTGGTGTTTGCACAAATATATTTCGCACAGAGCCCGTGTTTGCCTGAAGTTGACTCAAAATGAGCGTCTTACCCCTATTGACTGAGTTCAATCTTCTAGAGTGTCTCCAAACCTGTGGTACAAGGGAATCCCAAGCCATGTTATAGTCCAAGTCTGATCACACAAGTCAGTAAAAATCTGTGGCTTCCCAAGCGGGCCTAGAGAATGAACTATCATCAGTTGTAAAGGCAGCAGCGTATGAAATTAAATATATGAAGATACTTGTGAGAGCAACAAAAATATAATTGGAAAATATAATTACAATTGCTGCTAAATTAACCATAAGCATATCCATCAAGCAATTTAGGAGTGATTTCAGAGACATTGGTAGTTTTCCCGTCACGATACTCAAAGTCTTTTGAACATTCCTACTAACAAATGCATAACCTGTACTATCCTAGAAAAGGTTGCTTGACCATTCCAGATTTAAAAAAGGTCACAGACATGGAATATTCTTGTTTCAGTGGCCCATAGTAGAACAACACTATCTAATTTTAAAAAAACGAATTAGAAATCAGACAAAACTTCAATAAATTTTAAAATTTCATGAAATCAGTCCATGGCAATTCAATGCATTTTGAAATAGCAATAATGTATCATATACTACTGAAAATAGCTTATGAAACTATGTAAGAATAACAAAAACTAAAAAAGATCAGGGAGAAGTGCTGCTTTTCCTGAAAAAGAAAGCTAAAAAAAAAGCTTAAAAAAAAAAATTAAGACCACGCCTATAATCCCAGCACTTTGAGAGGCTGAGGCAGGAGGATCGCCTGAGCCCAGGAGTTCGAGGCCAGCCTGGGCAACATAGCAAGACCCCATCTTTAAAAACAAACAAACAAACAAACAAACAAACCCAACTACATATCAGCCAGGCATGGTGATGTGTGCTTGTGGTCCCAGCTACTTGGGAAGCTGAGGTGGGAGGATCACTTGAACGCAAGGAGGCTGAGGCTGCTGAGAGTCGTGATTGTGCCACTGGATGCCTGAGCAATAGAGGGAACAGAAGGAGACCCTGTCTCAAAAAAAAAAAAAAAAAAAGAAAAAAAATTGGTTCAAGGTAAAACTAGATAGATATGGTGCTAGTGCCACCTGCTGTTGTAGATACAAAGTGCAGCTATCTAATAGCTGGTTGCTCTGAATATTCAGTATTCTTTTAAAACCTGCCCCCTCATGGCGGGAACCATGAGTTTTATGTTGCTTTCACTATTTCCACTTATCCAAATCTTACTGCGTGCTAAGAATTATGGTGCCAAGAGCTTTACATAAATCCTCTCATTTAGATGTCATAACAACTCTACCAGGTAGGTAGCATTTTTGTCCCCATTATATATGTGAACAGAAGAGAGCTTGAGAGTTGCTAAATAACTTACCCCAGGACAGGGAGCTGGTGAGTGGCAGAGCCAGGGAGGCTGGCAGATCAGAATTCGGTATGTCCAGTCAGAATACAATCTCTGCCTTTCATGCTATGTTACTTTTCATTGAGATCTCCCTTTTTGGAGATCTTACAGGAAATTTATGTTTTTATCACTTCAGCCTCAGTTTTCTATATTCAAAAGGATTAATCTAGTGGAATGGATTATTAGGAAACATTACTAGACCCAACAAAGGTTCTGCAGGTTATTTGGGGTGGTCTTTTACATTTTGTGTGTGTGTGTGTGTGTGTGTGTGTGTGTGTGTGTAGACGAGGTCTTAGTATGTTGTCCAGGCTGATCTTGAACTCCTGGGCTCAAGCAATCCTCCTGCCGCAGCCTTCCAAAGTGCTAGGATTACAGATGTGGGCCATTGTGCCTGTTCTGTCTTTCACATTTTAATACAAAATTCTTGGCTGGGAGCGGTGGCTCACACCTGTAATCCCAGCACTTTGGGAGGGCAAGGTGGGTATGTCACTTGAGGCCAGGAGTTTGAGACCAGCCTGGACAACATGATCAAACCCCCTCTCTACTAAAAATACAAAAATTAGCTGTGCATAGTGGTCCATGCCTGTAATCCCAGCTACTTGGAAGGCTGAGGCACGAGAATCGCTTGAACCTGGGAGGTGGAAGTTGCAGTGAGCTGAGATTGCACCACTGCACTCCAGCCTGGACGACAGAGCCAGACTCTGTCTCCCAAACAAACAAACAAAAAACCAAAATTCTTATCAAATTTTAGGCCTTTATGTTCCTTCATGCTAATTTGCATTGCATAATGGACACTAATAACTTTTACTCCTATATTTTCAGAGTAACCTAGTTTAGAAGTGAGAAGATGAATTAGATTTCCCCTGAAAGGCACTCCCTTAGACTGAGGATGGTACAAACATTGTATTTCTATCAGGGTGACAAGAATGGCTTATCGGTCCTTATTTGGTATAATGTACACGGCTTGCTATAAGACATTTTTTGGTTATTGTATGCACATGCTAAGAACTCTTAGCACCATGTTCTAATGAGTCTAACGGTTTGTTGCTAAATGTGATATTTTGTGTCCAAGAATTGAAAGCACAAAACGGAGAGGGGATGAAGCAGATGGAAAAATACAGCAATAGCTGGAGTCCAGTAGGGCAGAGGGGCAAAACCAGGAGGGAGACATAGGCAGGTTAATAAATCCAAGTGGAAAAGAGCAGCAAAATCAGGAAAGTGTACCCAGGAGTCAGTTATTGGAAGAGTAGAAGTGGAGATGCAGTTCAAATAGTTGGAATCTTTCCTTGTTCTGGCAGATTTGAGGCAAGTGGTTGGGGACGCCACGGCAATGTGTGTTGTTTCTTAGGAGAACATCTCTGAAGGCAAGTGAGTCAACACCAGATACCATTAGGGTCCAGTCAGTTCAGTTGAATAAAGATTTATCCAGCGTCTTTGCTGTGGAAAACATTGTCGTTGCATGCTATGAGTAGTCAAAAATCTGCCTCATATCCTTTCCCTTTCTTCTCCTCCACGGATTTACCATTGACAGCACTTGATTCAATCCAGCTGTAAATAGTTAGAAACCTGGGTTGCTGAGTTTCAATCTGAACCCAAGAACCACAGCCCAATTACCTAGTTACAGCTGAGCTGTAGCTGTAAGCTGTAACAATAAGCTGTGCAATTGATTGCTGGGCCAGCATCCTACCTCTTGCCTGGAAAACCCTACTTCATACATGTGTGTGTGTGTTTGTGTGTGTGTGTTTGTGTGTGTGTGTGTGATATGTTGTAACTTTTTTTCCTTTTTAAAAATTTTCACAGCCAGGCGTGGTGGCTCATGCCTGTAATCCCAGCGCTTTGGGAGGCCGAGGCAAAAGGATAGCTAAGTCTTGGAGTTCAAGACCAGCCTGCGCAACATGGTGAAACCTTATCTCTACAAAACTATCAAAATTAGCAGGGCATGATGTTGCACACCCGTAGGCCCAGCTACTCAGTGGGGCTGAGGCAGGAGGATCTCTTAATCCCAGGAGACTGAGGCTGCAGTGAGCCAAGATTGTCCCAGCGCACTCCAGCCTGGATGACAGGGCGAGACCCTGTCTCTAAATAAATAAATAAATAAATTGTGGCAAAAATCGTAACATCTTATAGTTAAATAGTGTTTATTATATTCACATGGTTGTATAACAGATCTCTAAAACTTTTTCATCTTATGCAATAGAAACTCTATACTCATTAAACCTAATTCTTCCTCCCCCTTTCCACAGCCCTCGTTAATCATCTTTTAACTTTCTGTTTCTATGATTTTGACTACTCTAGATACTTCATATTAAGTGAAAGCATATGAGATTTGTCCTTTTGTGTGTAGCTTATTTTGTTTGGCCTAATACTCTTGAGGTTCATCCATGTTGTAGTGAGATATGATTCTCTTCCTTTTTAAGATGCATAATATACAATTGTATAGATATACCACATTTTGTTTATCCATTCATCTGTTGATGGACATTTGAGTTGCTCCCACCTCTTCGTTATTGTGAATAATATTGAGATGAATATGGGTTTTTGCTTTTACTTTTTGAAAATCAAAACTGCCATGGTAACTGGAAGTATAGCAGTCTAGGGAGAATGTATGAAAACTGAGGCAAAAAGTTGGTGCTGGGCAGTAGCAGGCTAAATATCTCAGGAAGCAGCTTGCGTGGGAGAATTCTTGGCTCACATCACCTGAACACTTGTACATCTCACTTAGGAAAAAGAGTTTGGCTTTTAGCATGACCTCTGGTTTATAGAAAGGCAACGTCTTGATCTGTTTCTGCTGCTGTAACAAAATACCTTAGGCTTGGCGTGGTGGCTCACACCTGTAATCCCACGTGGCTGAGGCAAGAGGCTGAGGCAGGAGGATTGCTTGGGCCCAGGAGTTCGAAACCAGCCTGGGCAAAACAGTAAGATCCTGTCTCTACAAAAAATACAAAAAAAAAATAGTTGGGTGTGGTGGCATGCACCTGTAATCCCAGCTGAGGCTGAGGTGGAAGGATGGCTTACACCCAGGAGGTCAAGCCTGCAGTCAGCCGTGATTGCACCACTGTACTTCAGGCTGGGCAACAGAGTGAGGCCCTGTCTCAATATACAAACAAACAAGCAAACAGAAAAAAACAAAGTACCTTAAACTGGGAAATTATTGATATAAACAATAGAAATGTATTGCTCACAGGTCTGGAGGTTGAGAAGTGGAGATAAGGCTCCCGCAGGTTCAGCATCTGGGTGATTGCTTCAAAAATGGTGCCTTCTTGCTGTGAGCATCCTCACATGGCAGAAAGGCCCAGGAAACTTCCTTGAGCCTCTTTCATAAGGACACAAATGTCATTCATGGGAGTGGAGCCCTCAAGACTCAACCATCTCCCAGAGGCTCCACCTCTTAATGTTATCCCATTGGGAATTAAGTTCCAGCTTATGAATTTTCGCAGGGAGTGGGGACACCAACATTCAGACTTTAGCAGACTATCTTGCCACAAAGGGGTGGATCTTTTTTCCAATGTTCCAACCATGTCACATAGCTCATATCTCCAGCATCGTTATATCTCACCCAGCGACTTTGTAGGAACCACTCACTTCCAACGTGGGGGTATGTGCTCTGCCAAACTGCCTGAAGGGAGGCCTAATGATGGGGAGGAAAGGGCACAGGTTCTGAACTCTGGACTCTGAAGACTTTAATTTTAGTCCTGACACTGCCATTGTTTTCAAACTTGGGTAAATAATTTAAGTTCTTTACATTTTAGCTTTCCTTTTTTTTTTTTTTGACAGAGTCTCGCTCTGTCGCCCAGGCTGGAGTGCAGTGGCGCGATCTCGGCTCACTGCAAGCTCCGCCTCTCGGGTTCACGGCATTCTCCTGCCTCAGCCTCCTGAGTAGCTGGGACTACAGGCACCCACCACCACACCCGGCTAATTTTTTTGTATTTTTAGTAGAGACGGGGTTTCACCCTGTTAGCCAGGTTGGTCTCGAGCTCCTGACCTCGTGATCCACCTGCCTCGGCCTCCCAAAGTGCTGGGATTACAGGCGTGAGCCACCGCGCCCGGCCTCCATTTGTTAAATGAGGATGATAATAAAGACTTTACACATGTTTGGTAAGGATTCAATGAGAATAACTGTAAACTTTAAAATAAGTGGTTTTTCTTTTTCTTTCTTTTTTTTTTTGAGACAGGGTCTCACACTGTGTCCGGAATTGGTGGGTTCTTGGTCTCACTGACTTCAAGAATGAAGCCGTGGACCCTCGCGGTGAGTGTTACAGCTCTTAAGGTGGCGTGTCCGGAGTCTGTCCCTTCTGATGTTCAGATGTGTTCGGAGTTTCTTCCTTCTGGTGGGTTCGTGGTCTCGCTGGCTCAGGAGTGAAGCTGCAAACCTTCGCGGTGAGTGTCACAGCTCTTAATGCAGTGCGTCTGGAGTTGTTCGTTCCTCCCAGTGGGCTCGTGGTCTCGCTGTGCTCAGGAGTGAAGCTGCAGATCTTCACGGTGAGTGTCACAGCTCATAATAGCAGCGTGGACCCAAAGAGTGAGCAGTAGCAAGATTTATTGCAAAGAGCGAAAGAACAAAGCTTCCACAGTGTGGAAGGGGACCCCAGCGCGTTGCCAATGCTGGCTCTGGCAGCCTGCTTTTATTCTCGTATCTGGCCCCACCCACATCCTGCTGATTGGTAGAGCCGAGTGGCCTGTTTTGTCAGGGCGCTGATTGGTGCGTTTACAATCCCTGAGCTAGATACAAAGGTTCTCCACGTCCCCATCAGATTAGTTAGATACAGAGTTTCCACACACAGGTTCTCCAAGGCCCCACCAGAGCAGCTAGATACAGAGTGTCGACTGGTGCATTCACAAACCTTGAGCTAAACACAAGGTGCTGATTGGTGTATTCACAAACCTTGAGCTAGATACAGAGTGCTGATTGGTGTATTTACAATCCCTGAGCTAGACATAAAGACTCTCCACGTCCTCACCAGAGCAGCTAGATACAGAGTGTCGATTGGTGCACTCACAAACCTTGAGCTAAACACAGGGTGCTGATTGGTGTATTTACAATTCCTGAGCTAGATATAGACTCTCCACGTCCCCACCAGACTCAGGAGCCCAGCTGGCTTCACCTAGTGGGTCCCGCACCGGGGCTGCAGGTGGAGCTGCCTGCCAGTCCCACGCCGTGCACTCGCATTCCTCAGCCCTTGGGTGGTCGATGGGATTGGGCGCCGTGGAGCAGGGGGTGGCGCTCGTCAGGGAGGCTCGGCCGCACAGGAGCCCATGGAGTGGGTGGGAGGCTCAGGCATGGCGGGCTGCACGTCCTGAGCCCTGCCCCGTGGGAAGGCAGCCAAGGCCTGGCGAGAAATCGAGCGCAGCACCGGTGGGCCAGCACTGCTGGAAGACTCAGTACACCCTCCGCAGCCACTGGCCCGGGTGCTAAGTCCCCCATTGCCCGGGGCCAGCAGGGCTGGCTGGCTGCTCCGAGTGCGGGGCCCACCAAGCCCACGCCCACCTGGAACTCCAGCTGGCCCGCCAGTGCTGCACACAGCCCCGGTTCCCGCTCGTGTCTCTCCCTCCACACCTCCCTGCAAGCTGAGGGAGTGGGCTCCGGCCTTGGCCAGCCCAGAAAGGGGCTCCCACCGTGCAGTGGTGGGCTGAAGGGCTCCTCAAATGCCACCAAAGTGGGAGCCCAGGCAGGGGAGGTGCCGAGAGCAAGCGAGGGCTCTGAGGACTGCCAGCACGCTGTCACCTCTCAACACTGTCAACCAGGCTGGGGTGCAGTGGCACCATCACGGCTTACGGCATCCTCGACCTCCTGGGCTTAGGTGATCCTCCCACCGCAGCCTCCTGAGTAGTTAGGACTACAGGCGCCCCCTACCATGCATGGCTAATTTTTATACTTTTTGTAGACATGGGGTTTTGCTATGTTGCCAAGGCTGGTCTCAAACTCCTGGGCTCAAGCCATCCATCTGCCTTGGCCTCCCAAAGTGCTGGGGTTACAGGCGTGAGCCACCACACCAGGCCAAAAGAAGTTTTACATACATAGTGTCTATATTAGTTTTAGTGATTATCATTGCATAGCATTTCTAATACATTTTTTATTCTACTTGTCTTTTATTAATAGCTGCTTCCTTTCTCTTCATAACTCTGTGCAAGTTTCTTTATCAGATCTCTCTAAGGAATCAGAAGGATAATTCTCCCCTCTCAATCCTAATGCAAAAAGGCCTGTGTCTTCCCTGGGGTTTACGGCTACCGTAAATACAAAGTGGTTACTCAAGATTTATTAATTAATGAGAACATTTGTGGGGTGTGCCAGAGATTGCTAGTTTTTCCTGAATGTCCATTCTCCTCCCTCCTTCCTTAGTAACAGAAATCCCGTTTTTTAGCTGGACACAAAGCTGTCAAGAATAAAGACTAGTACTTCCCCGCTTCCCGTGTGGCTAGAATGTGCTGAGCTCTGGCTATTGAAATGATATGTGTTTCCATATTTTTTTAAGGAAAAATAAAAAACAGAAAAGGTTAATCCAGGCAGTTAATTACCCCCTTTCAAAATATTTGAAGAAGCCAGGTGCAGTGGCTCATGCCTGTAGTCCCAGCACTTTGGGAGGCCAAGGCAGGTAGATCACCTGAGGTCAGGAGTTCGAGACCAGCCTGGCCAACATGGAGTAACCCTGTCTTTACTAAAAATACCAAATCAGCCGGGTGTGGTGGCACGCCCCTGTAATCCCAGCTACTCGGGAGGCTGAGGCAGGAAAATGGCTTGGTCACGGGAGGCGGAGGTTGCAGTGAGACGAGATTGCACCATTGCACTCCGGCCTGGGCAACAAGAGCGAAACTCTTTCTCTCTCTCTCTCTCTCTCTCTCTATATATATATATATATTTGAGGAATATATATATATTTGAGGGTTGAGGGGTAGTAGAAGCCTGCCACTTGAATTACCAAGTTCCAGAACACTTTGTCATTGCTGCTGTCCATCTTAGAACATGAAGTGGAAGCCAAGTGATGATCTGAGTCCCTAATGATTGGGGGGTTTTCAAATCAGCCCCCTGTGTCATTCATGTCTAGGCATGGTTTATGTGCAAGAGAAATAAAGTTCTTTCTTACTTATGCTACTGCTGCTTTATTTTTATTATGTATTTATTTCCTTTGAGACAGAGTCTTGCTCTGTTGCCCAGGTTGGTGTGCAGTGGTGCAATGTTGGCTCACTGTAAACTCAACCTCCTGGGTTCAAGACTATCTCCTGCCTCAGTTTCCCAAGTAGCTGGGACTACAGGTACACGCCACCATACCCAGCTACCACTGCTGCTTTAAATTTTCGTTCACTCAGAATGGAGCCACATGCATTTTTACTTATCTATCAATTTACTTATTTAATTTTTTTTTTTTTTTGAGACAGAGTCTTGCTGTCTCCCAGGCTGGATTGCAGTGGCACAATCTCGGCTCACTGAAAGCTCTGCCTCCTGGGTTCACGCCGTTCTGCTGCCTCAGCCTCCCGAGTAGCTGGGACTACAGGTGGCCGCCGCCATGCCCAGCTAATTTTTTATATTTTTAGTAGAGACAGGGCTTCACCGTGTTAGCCAGGATGGTCTCGATCTCCTGACCTCGTGATCCGCCCTCCTCGGCCTCCCAGAGTGCTGGGATTACAGGCGTGAGCCACTGCGCCCGGCCTAATTTTTTTTTTAAGATGAGGTCTTACTCTGTCACCCAGGCTGGAGTGTAATGACACCATTATAGCTCACTGCAGCCACGAACTCCTGGGCTCGAGTGATCCTTTTGCCTCAGCCTCCCAAGTGACTGGAACTATGGGCGTGCACCACCACGGCAGCTCAGAATGGAACCAAATCCCAACCGATATAAGATCATCTTCATAATTATTTCTCACATGCTATTTTTACTTACACTACTTTTTAAAAATCCACAGCACACATTATTTTCTGTGTCTAGCATATCCTAAAACATAGAAAGGGTCCAAAACTTGATGAGGTAGAGATTATTGGCTTAACTAAGAAACAGAAACCACTTGAGCATTTAAACAGAGAGATGCCAGTGCAGGGACTGTGTACTCAGAGGATGGAAAAGCCGAACAGAACAGCAAGTTCACCTAGAGATAATAACCAGCTGCTACCACTGCTAAGCTAAAGGGAGAGAGGGAAGAGGTTGTATGGATTGTATTCGTTTATTTCCCCCAATTTCTTTCTTTCTTTCTTTTTTGAGAAAGTGTCTCACTCTATCACCAAGGCTGAGTGCAGTAGCGTGTTCGCTACTCACTGCAGCCTCAACCTCCTGGACTCAAGTGATCCTCCTGCTTCAGCCATCTGAGTAGCTGGGACTACAGGCATGTATCGCCAAGCCTGGCTAATGTTTTATTTTTTGTAGAGAGGGGGTTTCACTATGTTGCCCAGGCTGGTATTGCCTGTAATGACTCACTACCATCCCAGTAAGAGAAGTATATATCATATGTTGTTGATATGTGGCTTGCTTTGATTAATAACATGTGAGAAGTGATATACATTACTTCTTTTTTTTTGAGTTGGAGTCTTGCTCTGTCCCCCAGGCTGGAGTGCAGTGGCGCGATCTCGGCTCACTGCAAGCTCTGCCTCCCAGATTCACACCATTCTCCTGCCTCAGCCTCCCGAGTAGCTGGGACTACAGGCACCCGCCACCATGCCTGGCTAGTTTTTTGTATTTTTAGTAGAGACAGGGTTTCACCGGATATACATTACTTCTATGTTGAGTCATATGATATAGAGGTAAGGCAACTGGTATCCACAAAGGTTCCTAACAGGTAGGCAGCTTGACCAGGAAGGAAGCCCAGGGCTTGGAATCAGGACATCTGGATTCAGTTCCTGGCTCTGCCACTTACTACCTGACAGGCCTGGGGCCAGTTGTTGGGTTTCATGGTGTCAGTGTCTTCATTGGGAGAATGGGCTCAAATGATGGATTTATACTGATGTCACACTGTCTTTTCATCTTGCTGTAGTATACCATGGATCAACCACGCAATAATAATCTCTTAAAAGAGAACTCTTTGTCCTTAAATTGAGTCCTTTTTTGCTTGTATATGTTCTGTTGATTAAATTTTGTGTTTGTCCCAGTACTTATTCATTAAGTTGGGTTTTTTCCCCCTAAAAATGAATATTCCTTCCATGAACCAAAGCAGTGAAAAATCTACTCATTCTATTTTTTTTTTTTGATACAGAGTCTCGCTCTGTCGCCCAGGCTGGAGTGCAGTGGTTCGATCTCGGCTTACTGCAAGCTCTGCCTTCCGGGTTCACGCCATTCTCCTGCCTCAGCCTCCTGAGTAGCTGGGAGAACAATTCCATTGGCTGAAAAAAAAAAAAAGAATGCTGTTTCAGGAGAGACTTGGGAGGTACAGGAGAAACATCAACACCTCAGGATGTTGGATAAAATGCAAACCCTTTTGAGTGTGTTGAGGGTTTTGATGGAGAAATTTTGTAAAAGGAGCTGCAATGCACTATTTTAGTTCCCCCTTAACTCCTCTATGCTACATTTCAGAGCTCCCAATTGAGCTCCTCACCTGCCCTGGTCACTTTCTTTTCCTTTTTCCGTGGGAGAAAGATTGTATTTCACTTGAGTTATACCAACCAGATTTCCTGAGCTAAGACCACCAAGGATGTAGTTGTGATAAAAAGTGAGAAGGCTAGGGGTGAGGGTGCCTTTATAAATGGCCACTAGTCAGACCAAGAGTTGTAGTGCCTTCAAAATCATTACATAGGCTGGGTGCAGTGGCTTACACCTGTAATTCCAGCTCTTTGGGAAGCCAAGGCAGGAGAATTGCTTGAGCCAAAGTAGTGAGACCTGGTCTCAACAAAAAATCAGAAAATTAGGTAGGCATGATGGCCTGCACCTGTGGTCCCAGCTGCCCAGAAGGCTGAGGTGGGAGGATTATTCGAGCCTGGGAGGTAGAGGCAGCAGTGAGCTGTGATCATGCCACTGCAATCCAGCCTGGGTGACAAAGCGAGACCCTGCCTCAAAAAAAAAAAAAAGTTGCCATATTGCTCTAAATTAGTGATGTGCCTGGAAGTCACTCTGCTGGACACTTCTTCTAAAGGGTAAAGTTCTGGCATTGGGAGAAAAAAAAAAAGACCCCTCCCCGCTGAGAATGGTGACTTGGAGCCGTGATACAAGAAGCGAGGCCCCAATCTGCCTGGCTAAAATAGTGCCATGTCCTGGATTTCCTAGGCAATGTCCTGTGACCTCTTAGCAATCTCTCTGACTGATGGTGACATCAATTTCATAATGGATGGCCACGACAGGGTCAGGTGGGAGGGCTAGGGAGGGCTAGCCTCTAGACTTCTCAGAGCTGTCCTTCTATAAGGACATTGCTTTGCTTCCTAGGTCAGCTGCAGGTGGGTAGGATGGCAAAAAATTCTTCTATGTTGAAGTCTTTCAGGACAGAACTGTGTCTGATAATTTAGTATTTGGGCCTTCAGGGACATAAGGGATAGTCCTGAAGTTTTGCTGGCTGGTTAAAGCTTTTTAAGCTAATACATATAAAATGAAAATATGCCCCTTCCTACCTTCACCAAGGAAAAAGAGTAGGACTCCATTCCATTTCCCACAAATTTAGTGGCTTCAAACAACATAAATTTATTGTCTTAAAATATTATTTTTATTATTAACTTTTAAAGATGGGAACTCTGTCACCCAGGCTGGAGTACAGTGGTGCAATCATGGCTCACTGCAACCTTGAACTTCTGGATTCAGGCAATTCTCCTGCTTCAGCCTCCCATGTAGCTGAGATTTAGGCATGAGCTGCCATGCCATGCAAATTTATTATCTTGAAGTTGTGGAGGTCAGGTGTCCAAAATGAGTCTTTAGGGATAAAATCAAAATGTTGGCAAAGCTTTGTTTTTTCTGGAGTCTTTATGGGAGAATCATTTTCATACCTTTTCCAGCTTCTAGAAGTTACCCAAATTCCTTGGCTCATGGCCTTTTCCTCCATCTTCAAAGTGCATCACTTCAATCTGCTTCCATTGTCTCATCTCCTCTTTGACTCTCACGTTCCTGCCTCCCTCTTGTAAGGACCCTTGTAATTGCATTGAGCCCATCCAGAGACTCTAGGATAATCTCCCCATCTCACAATCTTAGCCTAATCACATCCACAAAATCTCTTTTACTATGTAAGGTGACATATTTATGGGTTCCTAGGACTAGGACATGGACATCTTTGGAACCGTTATTCTGTCTCCCATACTTACTAAAAAAATAATAGTAGCACAGAGATATAAAGTAAAAAGTGAATTCACCTCCAATAATTTTGACTGCTTCTATTATCTAGTTCTTTGGCTTATTTGACATGAAATGCTAGATAACTTGCTTCTATATCTCTATTTCTTAATTCATCAGCTTAAAAAAATATATATTAACTTTCTGTGACAGAAACAACCAATGGGGAAAGGACTCCCTATTCAATAAATGGTGCTGGGATAACTGGCTAGTTACATGCAGAAGACTGAAACTGGACCCCTTCCTTACACCATATGTAAAAATTAACTCAAGATGGATTAAAGACTCAAATGTAAACCCTGTAAACCCTGGAAGAAAACCTAGGAAATACCATTCTGGTCATAAGCCCTGGCAAAGATTTCATGACAAAGATGCCAAAAGCAATTGCAACAAAACCAAAAATTGACAAGTGGGACCTAATTAAACTAAAGAACTTCTGCACAGCAAAAGAAACTATCAACAGAGTAAACAGACAACCTACAGAATGGGAGAATATATTTGCGAACTATGGCATCTGACAAAGGTCTGATATCCAGAATCTGTAAGGAACTTAAATCAACAAGCAAAAAACAAACAAACAAAAAACAAAAACAAAAAAACATTAAAAAGTGAGCAAAGGACATGAACACTTTTCAAAAGAAGACATACACACAGCCAACGGGCATATGAAAAAATGCTCAACATCACTAATCATTAGAAAAATGCAAATCAAAACCACAGTGAAATACCATCTCACACCAGTCAGATTAGCTATTATTAAAAAGTCGAAAAACAACAGATGCGGCTGGATGCAATGGCTCACGCCTGTAATCCCATTACTTTGGGAGGCCGAGGCGGGCGGATCACCTGATGTCAGGAGTTCAAGACCAGCCTGGCCAACATGGTGAAAATACATCTCTACTAAAAATACAGAAGTTAGCCAAGCGTGGTGGTGCATGCCTATAATCCCAGCTACTTGGGAGGCTGAGGCATGAAAATCGCTTGAACCTGGGAGGTAGAGGTTGCAGTGAGCCAAGATCGTGCCACTGCACTCCAGCCTGGACATCAGAGTGAGATTCCGTCTAAAACGACGACAACAACAACAACAACAACAGCAGATGCTGGTGAGGTTGCACAGAAAAGGGAACACTTATACACTGCTAGTAGGAATATAAATTAGTTCAGCCACTGTGGAAAGCAGTTTGGCAATTCCTCAAATAACTTAAAACAGAACTACCATTTGACCCAGCAATCCTATTATGTATATACCCGAAGTAATATAAATAATTCTACCATAAAAAACACATACATGCATATGTTCATTGCATTCAATAGCAAAGACATAGAATCAACCTACATGCCTATCAACAATAGACTGGATAAAGAAAATGTGGCACATATACACCATGGGATACTACACAGCCATTAAAAATTAGTTCATGTCCTTTGCAACAGCACAGATGCAGCTGGAGGCCATTATTCTAAGTGAACTAACACAGGAACAGAAAATCAAATACCGCAGGTTCTCACTTATAAGTGAGAGCTACACACTGAATACACGTGAATACAAAGAAGGGAACAACAGATACCAGAGCCTACTAGAGGGTGGAGGATGGGAGGAGGGTGAAGATTGAAAAACTAATTACTGGGTGACAAAATAATCTGTACACCAAACCCCCATGATATGCAATTTACCTATATGACAAACTTACACATGTACCTCTGAACCTAAAATAAAAGTTTAAAAAGTATCTATTGAATCTCTGAACTTAACACACCTGCCTCCCTTCTCTTGCCCCTTGACACTTCCTTACTTCTTTAACTTAGTTATATTTTAAATAACTTTTTTTTTTTTGGACAGAGTTTCACTCTTGTTGTCCAGGCTGGAGTACAATGGCATGATCTCAGCTCACCGCAGCCTCCGCCTCCTGGGTTCAAGCAATTCTCCTGCCTCAGCCTCCCGAGTAGCTGGGATTACAGGCATGCGCCACCATACCCGGGTAATTTTGTATTTTTAGTATAGATGGGGTTTCGCCATGTTGGTCAGGCTGGTCTCGAACTCCTGACCTCGTGACCTGCCTGCCTTGGCCTCCCAAAGTGCTAGGATTACAGACATGAGCCACCATGCCTGGCTTAAATAACTTTTTTTCCCCTTTTTTAATGTGTAGAATAGAGATGTTGTCTCACCATGTTGCCGAGACTGGTTTCAGGCCCCTGGTCTCAAGTGATCCTCCCACTTCAGCCTCCTAAAGTGCTGGGATGATAGGCATGAACCACCACACCCAGCCTTATATAACTTTTGACATTGACTTTCAGCACTCTTTATTGATTGCCCACACATAAGATGTGAACGTTATTGTACCTGTACTTTCCTCCATTTTCCCTCTGACTCCTCTATGTTTGGCTTCTGTCTATGATATCATTAGTTGTACATTGTTAAGGATTACTTTTCTGTAATTATAATTAAACCTTTCATGTGCGTTGTGTATAGATTTATTCTAAAATTGAACATTAATCAGTGGGACTTTCACTATAATGATGATGAAGATATTAACCACTGAAGAATCAAGTGAGTTTTAGGCCTGTAGAAAAGAAAATAACAATCCTACATCACTGAAACTGTACTGCTTGGGAAAAAAAAATATCGTAAGCATCAAAATCAAATGGAATCTTTTTCCCCTTGAGCAACTACTCATTATCAGTCTACATTTTAATTTGCCTCATACAGACCCATGACTTTCTTGGATAGCTTTTGTTTTACTGGGTACTCTATTGCTTTTTTCTTTTTTTTTTGACTGTCATGTTCAAGGAAGAGAAGAAAAAAGCCTTAGTGTCCTATTCAAACTGTATGTTTTGTAAACGCCACTTAAAAAGAAAGTTATTCATGTTATATTCGTGTTCATTCTTGGATTCCATTTTCATTTTGCTGGAATAACACCTGAAGTAATTTTTTCAGAAATGGTTCATTGGAGGTTAACTTTTCGGGTCTTTGCTTCTTTGGAAATGTTGATAATTGTTTGGCTAGATATGGAATACTTGGTGAGAAATTAATTCTCTCAGAAATTTGAAGTTGTCATTTAATTTTCCTCTCACATTCATTGCTGCTACTCAATACTCTGATGCCAACAGATGTTCCTGATAGCTGATGATGAGAATGGAAACTATTTGCATTTTCAGCAGACGTTTGTGAGTATGCTGATTTCTCTACAGTCTTACTGATAGGATGTGCTGCCAAATATATGGATTTTTGTCAAATTCAAAGGTTGAAAATGATATTCAGTTTAGTTTAGTTCATATTTACATGATTATTATTATTATTTTTAGAGATGGGGTCTCTCTGTGTTGCCAAGCCTGGTCTTGAACTCCTGGGCTCAAACAATCCTCCCATCTCAGCCTTCCAAAGTGCTGGGGTTGCAAATGTGAGCCACTGCTCCTAGCCTCTTTTTGCTTTCTTATTTACTTACATACACTTTTGATTCAGTTTCTTCCAGAAGTCTACTATATAAACAAGTTTTTCATTTTTACTTATCGCTTTTTTTGTTGTCTTGGTTTTGTTTGTTTGTTCTGTTTTTGAGACAGGGTGTCTGTCACTCAGCCTGGAGTGCAGTGGCACAATCTTGGCTCACTGCAGCCTGGACCTCCTGGGCGCAAGTGATTCTCCCATTTCAGCCTCCTCAGCATCTGGGACCACAGGCGCCCACCGCCACACCTGGCTAATTTTTATATTTGTAGAGATGCGGTTTTGCCATGTTGCTCAGGCTGGTCTTGAACTCCTGCGCTCAAGCAATCTGCCTCCTCAGCCTCCCAAAGTGCTGGGATTACAGGTGTGAGCCACTATACCCAGTCTTTTTCTTCAGGACTTAGACACTCTAATATACTCTTCCTTTTTTAATGATATAAGTATTGTCACAAGACCAAACCTACACACCTTACTTTCTTCCTTAGGATAAGTGTACCCTAGGAGACTCTCTGGACTCTGACATGACCTTTCTTGCAGAGGCCTTGTGGTCTCCACTCTGATTCCTACCACTGTCACAGCTGAAGCTCAAGCTGGCCTTGATGACATGTTCATTCTTCCTTTCAGTATTGGTTAGTGCCTCCTCAAATATCCAGGAATAACACAAATCTAATGAGAAATAAAAATTATAACCCTACTCTCACTAAAATGGCCATAATCAAAAAATTAAAAAATAATAGATGTTGGTGTGGATGCAGTGAAAAGGGAACACTTCTACACTGCTGGTGGGAATGTAAACTAGTACAACCACTATGGAAAACAATGGAGATTCCTTAAAGAACTAAAAATAGAACTACCATTTGATCCAGCAATCCCACTACTGGGTATCTAGCCAGAGAAAAAGACATCATCATACGAAAAAGATACTTGCACATGCATGTTTATAGCAGCACAATTTGCAATTGCAAAAATATGGAAGCAGCCCAAATGCCCATCCATCAATGAGTGGATAAAGAAACTGTGATATATATATATATATATATATATATATATATATATGATGGAATACTACTCAGAATACTAAAAGGGAATGAATTAATGGCATTTGCAGCAACCTGGATGGGATTGGAGACTATTATTCTAAGTGAAGTTACTCAGGAATGGAAAACCAAACATCATATGTTCTCACTCATAAGTGGGAGCTAAATTATGACCATGCAAAGGCATAAGAATGATACAATGGACTTTGGGGACTTGGGGAGAAAGGTGGAAAGGGGGTGAGGGATAAAAGACTATAAATTGAGTTAAGCGCATACTGCTCTGGTGAAGGGTGCACCAAAATCTCACAAATCACTGCTAAAGAACTTACTCATGTAACCAAATACCACCTGTTCCCTCAAAACCTATAGAAATAAAAACTTTAAAAAACAAAAATAAAACAAGAAATAAAAATTGTAAAACTTTTCTGAAGGAAATATATGAAGGCACATGAATTAAAAGAGATACTATGTTCCTGAAAGGGAAAATTTAATGATATTTCTCTCTAAATTAATTATTTGTTACATTCCAATAAAAGTAAAAATGTAATCCTTTTCCAAGTTGAAAAGGTATTTTATTTTATTTTATTTTATTTTATTTTTAAGACAGTGTCTTGCTCTCTTGCCCAGGCTGGAGTGCAGTGTCATGATCTTGGCTCACTGCAGCCTCCGCCCCCGGGTTCAAGTGATTCTCCTGCCTCAGCCTCCCAAGTAGCTGGGACTACAGGTGTCTGCCACCATGCCTGGCTAATTTTTGTATTTTTAGTAGAGATGGGGTTTCATCTTCTTGACCAGGCTGGTGTTGAACTCCTAGCCTCAAGTGATCTGCCTGCCTTGGCCTCCCAAAGTGCTGGAATTACAGGCGTGAGCCACTGCTCCTGGCCTAAAAAGGTATTTTAGAGGTCATCAGGGAGATTTCTGAAAATCTTGTAATGAAGAGTAGTACGTAAACCATTATCTAAAGTTGTAGTAACTAAACCAACATGATGCCAGTGAAGACTAGTGGAATAAAATATCAGACCCAGAACAAGGCCAAGTACATATGAGAATTTAATTTATGGTAAAATGACATTTCAAATTAGATGGAAAACTCTAAAATATTTAACAAAGGGTAGCATGAGCCGCTTCAGCGAAAGTACCAAAAATGCAGCCTAAAATGGTGCTACTCTAAGTGTGGTTTACACACTGATGTTGATCCACAGCCTGTTCAAGGGCCATGATGAGGTAGTTTCTAAAATTGAGTGTAAGCATCTAGAAACTTTTAGAGCAATTTACATTGCTGTGACCTCCACGTGTGTGGTTGTTGGGCCAGTCTTGCTGAGCAGTGTACGTTGCCGTCTGGATGCTGAGAACATGTGTGGTGCGGTGATGGTCATGGGGCCTACATAGGCTAGTCATGGGCAGTAGGACTCTTTTACAATTAAGAACTGAATGCAAAAATACTGAGTTTAGTCTGGGATAATGTAACCGCATTTTAAACATTTTTAAACATGCTACTTTTAATGATGATTTTATTTTTAATCAATTCTATTTGAAATTCACAGTTTAACATTATTAGTTCAATTTGATAATTACATTTTTATTGCTTATTTTTTAGCTTTGTATTTTGAAATACTTTCAGGCCCACAGAAAAGTTATGAGAAAATGTAAAACACCCTTGTATAATCTTTAGCCATATTTTGTGGTTGTTACTTTTAATATTTTATCACATTTGTGTTATTTTCCCTTTCTTTCTCTGTATGTACATACATGGCTGATGGTACTTTCTGAGAATGGCCACAGCGTTAGCCATTGTCCCACAGGCTTTTCTAGAATCTTGCCTCTCCCCATCAAGAGATGCATCTATAGCCCCTCCTCTTGGATTTGATACTGCTACAACAAATAGAATATGGCTGCAGTGAGGTTACACAACTTCTGAGGTTAGGTCCTAGAAAGGATACAACTTCTGCCTCGTTACCACTCCTGAGACACTCACCCTAGGAGCCCAAATGCCATTTAATGAGGAAACCCAGGCCATATGGGGAGGCCACAGGTAGGTTTTCTAGTCAAAAGCATCAGCATTGGTTTGGCGGACAGCCAGCATTCACCACCAGACAAGGGAGTGGTGATTCCATGCTCAACCCTTTGTGTCTTCCAGCTGAGGCCCCAGGTATCACGGAGCAGACAGAAGCCTCCCATGCTGTTTTCTGTCCAAATTCCTGATACACAGAAACCACAAGCATAGTAACTGGTTGTTATAAGCCACTGCATTTTTGGGGTAGTTACTCAGCCATATTAACTAGAACAACACATTAATAATCTTTTTTCTTTCTTTCTTTCTTTTTTTCTGAGCCATTAAGGGAATTCATTAGGGATACGATGCTCATTACCTCTTAATGTTTGTTAAAAGCCAGGAGAGTTTCCTGCATAACCACAGAGCAGCCATCAAAATCAGGAAATCAACATTGAGACAATACCACCTTCAAATCCATGGATCCCACTCACGTTGTCCCAACAGTGTCCCATCCAGCTCTAAGCTCCGATCCAGATCACATGTAGCACTTGGTTGTCATGTGTCTTGAGTTTCTTCCAATCTGGAACTCAGCCTCCATCTGGCTGTTATAACCTTAGCAATTTTGAAGAACACAGGCAATTTACTCTGTAGAATGTCCCTCAGTTTGGATTTGTCTGACATTTGTTCATGGATATTTCTTTATTTCCTCACAGGTTTCCTCAGGTTATGTATTTTTTTCAGAAGTTTTATTGAAGTGATTCTGTGTTCTTCTTAGGGCATTAAATTAGGAGGCACGTGATTTTACTGTTTATCGCTTGGTTAAAATTGTGCCTGCTAAGTTCTCAGCTGTAAGGTTAATAAACATTGTACTTATTATTTTGTGTAAATTTTGTGTTCTTTATCAGAATCTCACCCACTAGTTTTAGTGTCCATTTGTGATTCTTTGCTTTAATCAGCTGTTACTATAGTGGTTGCTAAATATTGATTTTTAAATTTCATTATTCCATCCACATTATTTATTTATTTATTTTTTGGTAGAGACGGGATCTCACCATGTTGCCCAGGCAGGTCTTGAACTTCTGGCTTTAAGTGGTCCTCCTGCCTTAGCTTCCCAAAATGTTGGGATTACAGCTGTGAGTGACCACGCCCAGCCCCATCCACATTTATCAGTTGGCATTCTACCATAAGTTAGCATTTCCCTTTTTTGTATGTATATATATATATGTCTCAAGATTCCTATTTCAATCAATGCACTATAATGTTACTTTTTTTTATTTTCTGAGACAAGGTCTCATTCTGTTGCCCAGGCTGGAATGTAGTAGCACAATCACCGCTCATTGCAGCCTCCACCCCCTGGGCTTGAGTGATCCTCCTGCTTCAGCCTACCAAGTATCTGGCCCTGCAGGTGCATGTCACTATGTTTGGCTAATTTTTTTTAAAAATTTTTATAGAGATGAGGTCTTGAGCATCTTTTCATATGTTCATCAGCCATTTGCATATCTTTTTTCGTAGAGTGTATGTTCAGCTTTTTTAATGTGGTCATTTGTCTTTTTATTATTGAGTTGTAAGACATATATCCTGACATAAGCCTTTTGTTAGATATATATTATATATATTATAAATAAATATATTTTATATTTAATTATATAAATATATAAAAATATATTTATATATTATAAATAAATAGATTTATATATTATAAATAAATAGATTTATATATAATATATGTAAATATATATCTATTATAAATAAATAGATTTATATATAATATATATAAATATATATCCATTATAAATAAGTTTATATTTATATTATAAACAATCTATTATAAATAAATTTATCTATTATAAATAAATATATTATAAATAAATTAAATAAAGACATATATTATGAATAATTATAAATAACTCTCCCATCCTGTGGCTTGTCTTTTGATTTTCTTAATGATGACTTTTGAAAAGAAAATAATTATATTTTTTATAGTTTGAGTTTTTTGTGTCCCATATGAGACAACTTTGCATACTTTAATGTTATAAAGATTTTCTCTACTATGTTTTCATTTAAAAGTTTTGTAATTGCTGTTTTTCCATTTAGGTTTACAATATATTTCTAGTTTTTGTGATTGTGTGAGGTAAGGATTAATGATCTTTTTTTCCTATACAGAACAATATACAATTGTTCGAGCGCAATTTCTGGAAAAGACTTTCCTTTCTTCATTGAATTGCCCTGGTACATTTGTAGAAAATGAATTGACCATATGTAAATGGGTCTATTTCTAAGTTCACTATTCTGTACATTGATCTTTTTGCTTTCACCAATACTACATTGTCTTAATTTTTGTAGCTTTATAGTAAATCTTGAAATCAGATGTTTTCCTTCAATTTCTTTTTTGTTTCTTTTTGAAACAGGATCTCACTCTGTCACCCAGGCTGCATTGCAGTGGCACAATGATGACTCACTGCAGCCTCAGTCACCTGGTTTCAAGTGATCCTCCTGCCTCAGCCTCCTGAGTAGCTGGGACTACAGGTATGTGCCACCATGCCTGGCTGATTTTTTAAATTTTTAGTAGGGATGAGGTCTTGCTATGTTACCCAGGCTGGTCACGAACTCCTGAGCTTAAGCAATCCTACACACTTCAGCCTTCCAAAATGTTGGGATTACAGGTGTAAGCCACCATGCCTGGCCTCTCCAACTTTATATTTTTAAAAATGAGTTTTGCGTTCTACGTCTGCAGGAATTCCCATCATAAATTTTAGAATTAGCTTGTGAATTTCAACAAAGATACTAGCAGGAATTTTGATGGGGATTCCATTGACTCCATAAATCAATTTGGGAAGAACTGAGAATATCGAGTTTTCCCATCCTCGAACATGCTATATTGCTCCATTTACTAAGGTCTTCTTTAATTTTTTTCAACAATATTCTATTCTTTTCAGTGAAGAAGTCTGCATGTCTTTTGGTAAATTTAATGTAGCCAATTTAAAAAATTTTTCTATATTATTTGTTATTATATTTATTGAAATATAATCTTACTAATGATAAAATATTATTTGACTAATAATAAAATATTACTGACTAATAATAAAATAATAAAAAAATCTGTTTTTTGTCTATTTCATGATTTCTAACCATTTTATAATATGTCTCAAAAGTGTGAGTTAATGAGAGATTGTCCTTCATCACAGATAGCTTGGAAAACACTTGTCTAGAGATAGAAAGTCTAGGTCTGGTAAGTGCTTTCAGCTCTCATCATCTTCCAAGCATTAAGAAAGGGACAAAAAGAGCCAGAACAGTGCATGCTCAACTCTTTTGGATAAATTATTTGGGAATGGCACATATCAATCCTGTTTATATCCCATGCCATACCTAGCTGCAAGGGAGGCTGGAAAATGTAGCTTTACTTGGCTTACTTGGATCCAGTAACAGCTATTACTGTGGAAGAAGGGAAACATGGAGATGGTGGGGAACTATTAGCAGTCTGCCATTGTTGTTCTCTCTGGACACTTAAAAATTAATGCACTGTTCCCTTCCACTGTACAGAACACACTGATACCTCCTTCAGTGAGACACCTCAAAATCTCATCCAGTTTAATGGCTAGGATCTCAAGGTGATGTGCATTCTTCTCCACCAAGTTTGGAGATGCTACGCACGGTCTTATGACCTATAAAAAAATCACATCATCTGTATCTTTTCCTTTGTATGCAGTATGAAATGGTGGACTAGGACCAGTACAACTGTTACAAAAACACTTACTTGGAAAAGCAAAGAATGTGAAGTCACCACAGCCAGTGGTCCATAGCAATGATCAAATCTGGAAGCATTGGATTGTGAAGACTCCCTGCCCTAGCTAGCAATGGAGTGATGCTTTGGTTGGACTCTGGTTCTACTCTTCGGGAAGAATCACCTTGTCTGTTGTTCTCTGTGGCCCCTAATTCTGCAGTTACACTAGACACTAGAGAGTCTGGCCCATTTGAAGTCTGTGTAGCTTTCACCACCTATGTCGTCTCGTTGCAGGATACACTCAGCTCTTCCCCGGGGAGGCAATCAAAAGTCTTAACAAACTATTGTATCTGGTTCAAAGTCCAGGATCTCAGGTTGATGCACTGTCTTTTCAATGATGTGTTGGAGGCTTTATAGTCGATTCTAGGAACTAGCACTCACCATTTCTTCTCCCAATTCATTGGCCAGAACTTTACACTTGGCCATACCCGACTGCAAGTGTAGGAAATGTAGACTTCAACTAGATGGGTTTGTCCTTGGCTAAAACTTAAGGAACCTCTTATTAGATAAAGGATACTCATGAATAGTCAGTTTCTGTCACACCAGGGCAGGCTGTCTCTCTCCGACACCACACTGGCCCAAACATGGACCTCAGCATGATTCCATGATTCACATACACACATAAATGCATACACACACAAAGCTTTTGTTGGTGATAATAGACTATTAAGTTTGGGGAAATTGATGGCATTATGTAACACATGATTAAAGTTATAATATTAGAACTTTTAGAAACAGTTTTATTGGGATATAATTTCTTTCTTTTTTTGTTTTTGAGATGAGATCTCATTCTGTTGCCCAGGCTGGAATGCAGTGGCACAATCACGGCTCACTGCAGCCTCAGCCTTCTCAGGTTCAGGTAATTCCCCCACCTCAGTTTTTGTATTTCTAGTAGGGACAGGGTTTTACCATGTTGCCCAGGCTGGATTTGAACTCCCAGACTTAAGCAGTCCTCCTGCCTTGGCCTCCCAAAGTGCTGGGATTACAGGTGTGAGCTACCGCACCTGGCCTGGGGTATGATTGATATACATAAAAACTGCACTAATTTAATGTATATAATTTGATAAGTTTGGACATCACATGCACCAGTGATACCAACACTACAGTCAAGGTAATAAACAATCACCTCTAAACGTTTCCTTATGTCCCTTTGCCGTGTGTGTGTGTGTGTG
This sequence comes from Homo sapiens, assembly GCF_000001405.40. NCBI lineage: Eukaryota > Metazoa > Chordata > Mammalia > Primates > Hominidae > Homo > Homo sapiens. The sequence goes on along the minus strand of NC_000008.11, from coordinate 25,147,398 downwards.
TGTGTGTGTGTGTGTGTTAAGGACACTTATGAAATCTTCACTTTTAACAACTGTTTAAGTGTACAGCACTGTATTGTTAACTATAGGCACAATGTTGTACAGCAGATCTCTAGAACTTACTTATTTTATGTTAACTGTAATTTTATACCCATTGAACAGCTCCCCATTCTTCCCTTGGCCCATCTGCTGGAAAGCATCATCTTATTTTCTGCTTCTATGTTTTACTATTTTAGGTACCTTACATAAATGGAATCATGTTGTGTCTGTCCTTTTGTGCCTGGCTTATTTCATTTAGCATAATGTCTTCTAGTCCATACCTGTTGTTGCAAATGGCAGGATTTCCTTCTTTTTTAAGGCTGAATAACATTCATGTGTGTGTGTGTGTGTGTGTGTGCGTGTGTGTGCGTGTGTGTGTGCATGTGCCACATTTTTTTAAGCTACTCATCTCTCGATGGAGGTTTGTGTTGTTTCTGTATCTTGGCTACTGCAGATAGTGCTGTAATGAGCATGGGAGTGCATATATCTCTTCAAGGTCCTGATTTCAATTCTTCTGGATAAATTCCCAGAAGTGGGACTGCTGGATCATATGGCAGTAATGATCCAGGACTTTCTTTTTCTTTAAAGATCCTCAGCCATTTCATTATATTTTTTAACTCCCTTTCTGCTTTCTCTTTACTTTTCTCACTCTGTATTTACAGATTATTGCTCATTCCGAATGCTGAGTGGCTTAGCTTTCTTTCTGTGTTCTTAACTACTTATTACGCCCTTACAGTCTCACTTTCCACCCAAGTGATTTTTTTAAGGAATTTTACTAAAGGGAAATTGTTCTCCTCTAAAAGGAAATCAATGGCCAAATTTTAAAATTATGATTTTCTTTTACCCTGATCTGAGTTTGTGCATGGTAAAGAAGAGATTGGAAAGAAAAATCTAATATTAGGTTGGTGCAAAAATAATTGCGGTTTTTGCCATTACTTTCAATGGCAAAAACCTGCGATTACTTTTCCATCAACCTAATATAAAAATATAAAGTACACGTAATTGCAGAGTAAGATTATGAACATTTTACTTTTTTCTCTTTTACAAATTTATTATTATAAAAATGTATTTCCTTGATCATAGGAAAAATATAACAGATGTATTAAAAAAGCAATATTTTTTTCCCTGAAAATCAGCAAAACTTTGGCATAAATTACATTCAACCTACCGTCCTGTCTGCATTTCCATATGTAAGAAAATAGAAAAGATCAAATGAGAATAGCTAAAATTCATTGGGTGCTGACTATGTGCTAGGCAATTCACTAGATACTGTATATGAATTAACTAACTCAATATTTATAACAACCCTATAGAGCAGGTACTGTTTTTATTTTCATTTTATAGATACGAAACAAAAGCACAGAGAGCTTGTTACTTGCGTGAGCTCACACAGGTAATAACAATAATAATCAAAACAAATGCATAGAGCACTTACTGTATTAGAGCGCTTCTCTAAGTGCTTTATGTATAATAATGCCATTTAATTCTCACATGAACCCTGTGTGATAGACAATATTATGGCCCCCATTTATAGATGAGTAAATTGAGGCCCAGGAAGGTTCAGAAACTTGTCTCAGGCTGCTCAGCTAGTAAGTGGTGATATGGCTTGATCTGTGGTTCTGCCCAAATCTCATGTTGAATTGTAATCTCCAGTGTTGGAGGTGGGGCCTGGTGGGAGGTGACGGGCTCATAGGGGTGGATTTTTCATGAATGGTTAGCACTGCCCACTTGGTGCTATTCTTGTGATAGTGAGTGAGTTCTTATGAGATCTTGTTCTTTTTTTTTTTTTTTTTTTTTTTTTTGCGACGGAGTGTCACTCTGTCGCCAGGCTGGAGTGCAATGGCATGATCTCGGCTCACTGCAACCTCCACCTTCTGGGTTCATGCCATTCTCCTGCCTCAGCCTCCCGAGTAGCTGGGACTACAGGCACTCGCCACCACGCCCTGATAATTTGTGTGTGTGTGTGTGTTTTTCGTAGAGATGGAGTTTCACAGTGTTAGCCAGGATGGTTTCGATCTCCTGATCTTGTGATCCGTCCGCCTTGGCCTCCCAAAGTGCTGGGATTACAGGCGTGAGCCACCGTGCCGGGCCCGAGATCTTGTTCTTTACAAGTGTGTTGTAATGTCAGAATAGCCTTGCTCTGTCCTGCCCCTGCTTTCACCATGTAAACTGCTTGCTTTACCTTCCACCAAGAGTAAAAACTCCCTGAAGCCTCCCCAGAAGCAAATGCTGTCATGCTTCCTGTACAGCCTGCAGAACTGTGAGCCAGTTAAACCTCTTTCCTTTATAAATTACCCAGTCTCGGGTATTTCTTTACAGCAATACAAGAATGGACTAACACAAGTGGCAAGGCTGGATTTGAATCTGGACATTTTGGGTGCAGGTCCACGCTCCTAAGCTTTGCACTCCTAAACATTAACATGCACTGCATGAGCTTGAATCATAAAGTTAACAAGTTTATCCTGTCAAATATGAGGGTTCTTGCAGAGACTACCTTTGAGAATACCAGTATCAGGGATGTAAACCCTGGTGAATAAGCCTGCTACTGCTTGGTCATTATGTGTGTTAAGTTGGCGGAATTGAATTTCCATGGAATCTAGTTGGGTGCATCCATTCACAGCAGGGCAGGAGGACTCCTAGGAGGGCAGGGTTTGAATTACAGCAACCTAGAAATGAAGTGAGACCCTTGCCTGGAAAGTAAACACCAGAATGCTTATTCAAAAAGCAAAGCCTGGATTTGTTAGGCTCTCTTGAGAGATGCCATAATTATGAAAGGCCTTATCCCTGCTGGCTTCCTGTGCACAGCAAAGCCTAATGATGCTGACAGGTCATATAAGCTTGCACTAATGGGCTCATGTTTTATTTATTCAGGTGCTGATTTGACATTGCCCAGCCCCAGTGAATCTATGGATTTGGAAATAACTGGGTTCTCTCTCCATACTGTGATGTTATCTCCAAAAATGAAGGAAATGAGAAACAGGAAAGGCCTTGGATTCCCTGCAGATAGCTCCCATAGTTTACAATAAGAATTCAAATACTACAAAAAGCATTAGGCAACATTTAAAACACAAATCAACAGTGTTTAATATGATATATTGCAAAGAAATTTTTGGCACCGTAAGTCTCTCTTTAAGCAACACTTCCACCCAGTGCCAACTAAATAATGTAACAGCATCTGGACTCTTTCTAAATTGAGCATGAAATTATGTATTTCTCCCATGACACAGATGATACCAAAAGGCAACATTTCCTAAAATAAAAAATGAAGGGTAAATTAAGCAGGCTAAGGAAGACTCTCTTGTGCCTTCTTTGTTTTATTTTTAAATAACTTTTATTGTTGAAATAAAACATACCTACAAGAGTAAAAAATCATGGATGTATATCTGGGCACATTTTTATACATACCCAGGTAGATCCTACATATGTTAAAAGTATAATAAGCAAAAATTATGAATAACTATATGCTAATAAGTTTGAAAATTTAGACAAAGTTGGAAATTTTTTTGAAAAACACAAATTACAATTTATACTAATCTTAAGTGAAAGTAAATACGTGAGTTCATAATGATGCTTTAAAAATTTGGCTCTCTTTGAAGGGTGATAGGGAATCAACTCATTGTTTTTAATATTGTTTTTCTTAAAAATGAAAATAAGCATTTTTCCTGGCTTCCTTATAGAAATTGTACTAGATATTGTTAATTCCATCTACATGAGTATTTGAACAAGCTCCCCTGTCCTCTGCATTTCCTATAAAATGGCGTTTGGACTAGGCACAGTGGCTAAAGCCTGTAATCCCAGGACTTTGGGAAGCTGAGGTCCACCTAGACTTTGTCAATGACTTACTACTTTCTGTTACTATGGATTTGCCTATTCTGGACATTTTATATAAATGAAATCTTATATGACCTTTGTAACTAGCGTTTTCCAGGTTTATCCATCTTATGGAATGTGTCAATAGTTCATTAATTTTTACTGGTAAATACTATTCCATTGTATGAATATACCACATTTTGTTTACTCATTTACCAATACAAGAACATTTGGATTGTTTCTGCTTTTGAGCTATTATAAATAATTCCTCTGTGAACATTTATATGCAAGTTTTTGTGTATACATATGTTTTTTTTTCTCTCTGATATATACCTAAGAATGGACTGGGTCTAGATAACTCTGATTTTTTTTTGTTTTTTGGGACAGAGTTTCGCTCTTGTTGCCCAGGCTGGAGTGCAATGGCGTGATCTCGGCTCACTGCAACCTCCGCCTCCTGGATTCAAACGATTCTCCTGCCTGAGTCTCCCTAGTAGCTGGGATTACAGGCACCCACCACAATGCCCAGCTAATAACTCCGAAAATTTTGAGGGTCTAGATAACTGTGAAAATTTTTCAGAACTACCAAACTGTTTTCCATAATGACTACACCATTTTAAAATTCCATCTGCAATAAATGAGGGTCCTGATTTCTCCACATCCTCACCAACACTTGTCTGTCTTTTTTTATTATAGCCAGTCTGGTGAATATGAAATGGTATGTTACTGTGATTTTTATTTGCATTTCTCTGATGGCTAATAATCTTGAGAATGTGTTTGTGTGCTTACTGGTCATTTTTCTGTCTCCTTTAGTAGTGAAATGTCTGTTCAAGTCATTTTTTTTTTTAAATGTAGGGTCTCACTCTTTCCTAGGGTGTAGTGTGGCGGCCAGATCACAGCTCACTGCAGCCTCCACCTCCCTTGCTCGAGTGATCATCCCATCTCAGCGCCCCTCTCCTTATCCCTAGAAGCTGGGACTACAGGTGTGTTCCATCATGCCCAGCTAATTTTTGTATTTTTTGTAGAGATGGGATTTTGCCATGTTGCCCAGGCTGCCATCCATTTTTTAAATTGAGTCGTTTGGGTTTTGTTGTTGATTTCTAGGAGTTCTTTATATATTCTGAATATTAATCCCCTCTCAGGTATGATTTGCAAATATTCTCTCCGATTCCCCGGGTTGCCTTCTCACTCTGTTGATGGTTCCTTTGATGCACAAAAGTTTTTAATTTTAATTAAGTTCTATTCATCTATTTTTAATATTGTCAGTTGTGCTTTCGGTGTCATATCTAAAAAAAATCATTGCCTAACCCCAAGTCACAAGTATTTACTCCTATGTTTTCTTCTAACAATTTTATATTTTAGCTCTCATGTTTGGGTTTATGATTCATTTTGAGTTAATCTTTAAATATGGTGTAAGGTAGAGGTTCCAATTCATTCTTTTCCATGTAGATATTCACTTGTCCCAGCACCGTTTGTTGTATTCTTCCCCTATTGTAGTGTCTTAACATTCTTATTTATTTCTTTAATTTCTCCAACTTTTTATTTTATTTTATTTCCAACATATTTTAGGTTTAAGGGGTACATGTACAGGTTTGTTACATGGGTAAATTTCATGGCCATTCATTGAAAATCAGATGGTCACCAGGTTGTGTACCAGCAGAGCAACAGTTGCATCAGCTGTGCCCCATTCTCCTAGGATAGTCTGAACCAGCACATGCAGTGCTGGATGAGAGGACGGTGTAATAATTCCCTGCAAGAGATTATTTGAATATATTTTGCTCCGTAAGGATGGAGTGATGTTTCAGACTGAGAAAGCTACCAAGCAGTGCTCAAAGATGACTCTGACAGAGCCCTAGGAGCCTCCTGACATTCCACAGAACTCCACCTTTGAAGATCAATACTCTACTGGGGGCCCCCAGGTGCAGACCACTGTCCAGGTGTCATCGGACAGAAAGTCAGCCAGATCCTAGGAAATCTGGATTGGCATCTATACAGTCAAGGATTGTTGCCCTGTCCGGGAAGCATTTATCAAAAATTACAGTGTGATATTGTCCGTGTGATTTTTTGACACATGGCTGGGCTTTAAAGATCCCTTGGTGTTTACCCCTCCGAGCACATGCCAGATGGCCCAGGCACAGAAGAAGAGCAAGAATTGTTCCTCGTGAGACTGTGAACACACAGAAGTTATAGCATTGGATGTCAGTTGCCAATGGATTCTGCTGGAGATGGTTTTGAGGCTAGTTGGGATAAGAATCTTTATTTGAGATAAATATAATTCTAGGAAGATACACATTGCTGTGGGTTTTTTGGTATGTTTGATTTTGACTACTCAAGATATGTTTACAGAAGAAAATTGAATGGAGAGGATGTGGTAACATGGGCTGGCTAGATGGCTAATATGAACACTTCACATATTTCCAGTGCCTATTTGGGTCTGGGTTTTCTGCATGTGCAGGTATATATGCAGTGTAGTGCAATGCCATACAAAGAAGGGAGAGGTCAGTAGGAGCAGTTTACCTTGGCAGGAAGGAGTAGTTTTTTTACCAACATTGTTCCACATTGTTGGTGATAATAAAAAGCAGAATGATTTTGGTCAAAAATAAAAGGAAGTCAATTGACTATGACTATGAATGTTTAGAATTTATTTCTGGATTCTTGATTCTCACTCATTGATCTATATGTTTTTTTTTTTTTTTTTTTTGAGACAGAGTTTCACTCTTGTCAGCCAAGCTGGAGTGCAATGGTGCAGTCTCGGCTCACTGCAACTTCTGCCTCAGCCTCCCCAGTAGCTAGGATTACAGGCGCGTGCCACCAGGCCTCGCTAACTTTTATATTTTTAGTAGAGATGGGGTTTCATCATGTTGGCCATGCTGGTCTTGAACTCCTAACCTCACGCGATCCACCCACCTCAGCCTCCCAAAGTGCTGGGATTACAGGTGTGAGCAACCATGCCCAGCTGTAATACATTTTCAAATGAAGAAGTGTAAGCTGGGTATGGTGGTTCACACCTGTAAACTCAGCACTTTGAGAAGCTGAGGTGGAAGAACTGCTTGAGCCCAGGAGTTTGTGGTTGCAGTGAGCCGTGATTACACTACTATACTCCAGCTTGGGTGATAGAGCGAGACCCTGTCTCAAACAAACAAACAACAACAACAAAAAGGTGTGAGTCTTCCAATTTTGTTCTTAATTTTAAAGATTGTTTTGGCTAGTCTGGGTCTCTTGCATTTCTATATGAGTTTTAGGATCAGCTTCTCCGTGTCTGCAAAAATGTCAGTTGGGATTTTAATAGCAACTGCATTGAATCTGTAGATAAATTTGGGGAGTGTTACCATCTTAATAATACTGAGACTTCTGATCCATAAAAATGGGACATCTTTCCATATATTTAGGTCTTCTTTAATTTCTTTCAACATTTTATAATTGTTAGTATAAGCTTTGCACTTATTTTGTTAAATTTATTTATTTTATTATTTCGATGTTATTGTAAATGCACTTGTTTTCATTTTTGATTGTTAATATGGCTTGGCTGTGTCCCCACTTAAATCTCATCTTGAATTGCAGTTCCCATAATCCCCAGGTGTCATGGGAGGGACCCAGCGGGAGGTAATTGGATCATGGGGGTGGTTACCTCCATGCTGTTCTCCTGATAGTGAATTCTCGTGAGATCTGATGGTTTTATAAGAGGCTTCCCTCTCAAGCTCTGCTTTGCTCTGCACTTCCTGCTCCTGCTGCAATTGTAAATTTCTTGAGGCCTTCCCCAGCCCTGCAGAACTGTGAGTCAATTAAACTTCTTTCCTTTATAAATTACCCAGTCTTGGGTATTTCTTCATAGGAGCATGAGAACGGACTAATACAGTTGTCCTTTGCTAGTGCATAGAAATATAATTCATTTTCTTATGTTGATTTTGTATCCTGAAAACGGATAAATTCATTTATTGGTTCTAATAGATTTTTGTGAATTACTTAGGAGTTTCAAGACACAGTCTGGAAATAGAGATAGTTTTACTTCTTCCTTTCCAATCAAAGGGCTGTTTATTTCTTTTTCTTGTCTAATTACCTCCATTAGAATATTGAATAGAAGTGCTGAAATTGGACATCCTTGTCATGTTCCTCATCTAAGGAGAGATCTGTCAATATTTCAGCATTAAGTATAATGTTAGCTGTGGCTTTTTCACAGAAGTCTTTTATAAGGTTGCAGAAGTTACCTTCTGTTTTTAGTTTATTGAGTGTTTGTATTATGAAATGTTGGATTTTGTCAGACTCTGTGTCTATTGGGATGATTATGTGGGTTTTTGCTTTATTTATTAATATGGATTATTATATAGATTAATTTTCATATGTTGAACCAACCTTGCAGTCCTGTGATAAATCACACTTAATCAAAGGGTATAATCCTTTTTATATGTTGTTGGATTTGGTTTGCTAGTATTTTGTGGATAAATTTTGCAAATATATTCATAAGTGATATTTGTTTGCAGTTTTCTTGTGATTTCTTTTGCTTTCAAGGTGATACAAACCTCTTAGAATAAGTTGAGAAGTGTTACCTCTTCTTCTATTATTTGGAAGTTTGAGAAGCATTGGTGTTAGCTATTCTTTAACCATATAGTAAAATTTACCAGTAAAGCTATTTAGGCCTGGTCCTTACTAATTCATTTTTTAAAATTAATACTTGTTACAGGTCTATTCAGATTTTAGATTTTCTCTTTGGTCCATTTCAGGACTTTCTGGCTTTCTAGGAATTTCTCCTTTCATTTAGGTTATCTAATTTGTTGGCATACCATAGTTCAAAATATTCTTTTATATTTCTTTTTATTTCTGTAAGGTCAATAGTAATGTCTCTTCTTTCATTTCTGGAATTAGTAATTTGAGTCTTCTTTTTTTTCCCTTGGTCAGTATAGCTAAAAGATTGTCAGTTTTGTTGTTCTTTTTAATAAAATACTTTTTGTTTTATTGATTTTCCCTGTTTTTCTATTTTCTGTCTCATTTATTGCAACTCGAATTTTTATTTTCTTTCTTCTGCTTTTAATTTAGCTTCCTCTTATTTTTCAAGTTTCTTAAAATAGAACATTAGGTTGTTGATATGAGGTGTTTATTCTTTTTTAATATAGGAATTTATACCTACAAATTTCTCTCTAAGCACTGCTGTAGCTGTGTCCCATAGGTTTTGGTATGATGTATCTTCATTTTCATTAATCTCAAATTTTCTAATTTCCCTTATGATTTTCTTCAGTTCATTAGTCATTTAATTGTATATTGTTTAATTTCAATGTGTGTGCATTTCCCAAATTTCTTTGTATTGTTTTTTTCTTTTATTCCACTGTGGTTAGAAAGCATACTTTGTATGATTTCAACTTTCCTAAATGTATTGAGGCTTGGTTTATGACCTAGCATATAGTCTATCCTGGAGAATCATCCATGTGAACTCGAGAAGAATTTGTGTTCTATCTTTTTGAGTACATTGTTCTATAGATGTCTGTTAGGTAGGATTAGTTTATAGTTTTTTTTTTAGTCATCTTATTGCTCTTCAGCCTGCTTTCGACCCACTATTGAAAATGGGATATTGGCTGGGTGTGGTGGCTCATGCTTATAGTCCCAGCACTTTGGGAGGCTGAGGTGGGTGGATCACTTGAGGTCAGGAATTCGAGACTAGCCTGGCTAACATGGTGAAACCCCGTCTGTACTAAAAATACAAAAATTAGCCTGGCGTGGTGGCAGGCGCCTGCAGTCCCAGCTACTCTGGAGGCTGAGGCACAAGAATTGCTTTAACTTGGGAGGCAGAGTTTGCAGTGAGCTGAGTTTACACCACTGCACTCCAGCCTGGGTGGCAGAGCAAGACTCCATCTCAAAAAAAAAAAAAAAAAGAAAAAGAAAATGGGATATTGATAACTCCAACTATTACTTTTGAATTACCTATTTTCTCCTTCAAAATTTTCCTTCTCTACTCTCAGTCTTCACATCTTTCAAGTCCTTTCAATTACGCTATTGGACGCCATACGGAATCTGTTCTTTGAACACTCATTGATGTCTTTAATGTTTTCATTTACCACAATTTGGATAATCTGGGCCATCCATTACATCTTTCTGAAGATCCTTGAGAGACATTTCTGGCCTGATTTGGCTCGATAATGACTGGTCCAGTCTGTGCAGATATTTTGCTCTGTGAATGCAAGTTTCCAAAAAGATTTCCCAAAGGCAGGTAGAGCAAGTAGAAAACCACGAAGGCAACTGCCCTCCATATTGAAAGATCCCATCTGGGTTGCTATGGCCAAGTGAGAGAGAGATCAATGACACTCTTTCTGGGCCATTCCTGAATAAGAAATCATGTCAAGTTGCCCTCAAACAAATACTTTCTATAATGAAGCTTTCCTGAAATTTGAGTTATTTTCTTGGTGGTTGTCCTGGATTACCACTAGCATGCTTACAGGAATCTAGTTTGAATTCATGTTTATTTAAACTAAAAAGCTTTGGCACAGCAAAAGAAACTATCAACAGAGTATACAGAAAACCTACAGAATGGGGGAAAATGTTTGCAAACTGTGCATCTGACAAAGGTCTAATATCCAGAATCTATAAGGAACTTAAACCATTCAACAAACATAAAACCAATAACCCCATTAAAAATGGGCAAAAGACATGAACACACACTTCTAGAAGACATACAAGTTGCCAATGAACATATGAAAAAATGCCCAACATCATAATCATCAGAGGAATGCAAATCAAAACCACAATGAGATACCATCTCACATCAGTCAAAATGGCTACTATTAAAAGTAAAAAAATAACAGGTACTGGTGAGGATGGACAGAAAAGGGAACAGTTATACACTACCGGTGGGGAAGTAAATTAGTTTAGCTACTGTGGAAAGCAGTGGGGAGATTTCTCAAAGAACTTAAAACAAAACTACCATTTGACGGAGCAATTCCAGTACTGGGTATATACATGAAACCAGATAAATTGTTCTATCAAAAAGAGGCATGCACTCATATGCTCATCATAGCACTATTCACGATAGCAAAGACAAAGAATCAACCTAGATGCCCATCAATGATAGGCTGGGTAATGAAAATGTGGTACATACACACCATGGAATACTATACAGCCATAGAAAAGAACCAAATTATGTCCTTTGCAGCAGCTGGAGGTCATTATCCTAAGCAAACTAATGCAGGAACAGGAAACCAAATACTAGATGGTTCTTTGTCATGGGGGCTTTCCTGTAGGTTATAAGATGTTTAGTAGTATTCTTGGCCTCTACCTACTAGATACCAGCAGTACTCTCTGTTGTAACAATTAGTAATATCTCCAGACATTGGCAAATCACCTCCAAATGAGAAGCATTGGATTAGAGGTTTATCACTTTCACGGATCTTTGAAAAATATTGGCATTTGACTATTGATATGAATTTTTTTGTCTTCTGAATCTGTGTTTAGTATGTTGATTCTTTAACTTTTTGGACTTATAGAATACAGTTATAACTATTCTTGTATTCTTGTCTGCCAATTCTAATACCTGTGCCAAGGCTGGGTTGGTTTTGATGGATTTATTTTCCTCCTCATTATGGGTCGTATTTTCCTGCTTCTTTGCTTACTTAGTAAATTTTGACTGGATACCAAACCTTGTGAATTGTACTTTCTTGCTGGATATGTTTGCATTTCTAGAAACGTTTTTGAGTTTTATTCTGATAGACTATTAAATTACATGGAAATTGTTTGATTCTTTTGGTTCTTGCTTTTAAGATTTATTAGGTAGGATGAGAGCAGTGTTTAATCTGGAGTTAATCATTTTCCACTATGAAAGCAAGACTCTTCTGAATGCTCTACCTAATGTACCATGAATTATGAGGCTCTCCTGACTGGCTGGTGGTAACAGGCACAATTCCCAGCCCTGTGTGAGCTCTGCACACTGTTCCCTTTATTCATTTTGGGACATTCTTTCTTTGGCCTGGGGTAGTTTTCTCACATATTTAGGCCCATCTATGCTTTGCTAGTGGACAGTTTGCAGATCTCTGGAGTTCTCTCTCGTGTGCTCCTAGTCTCTCCTCTCTGGTACTCTGCCCATAAACTGTAGCCACCTTGGTCTCCCTGGACTCAGCTCTACCTTCTAAACTCTGAGAGTCCCCTACACTCCACATGGGATTTTCCACCCTGTGCTGCATCCTGGAAGTTCTCTCAAGGCCATAATCTGGTCAGTCATAATGTTCATATTGTTAGTTTTCTATCTCTGTGGGGTCACTCCTCTTTGTTGTCTGATGTTCAATGTGTTACAAACTTTGTTTCATATATTTTGCTACTTATTAACAATCATTTCATGTAACCATTTATTTTATATTGGTCAGAAATATAAGGCTATATAAATATATTTTTAAAATCTTCAGAAATGGGGTATGTTTTTAGGAAAATATAACTTACCAAATTTAACTAAAGAACTAGAAAATATGAAGAGATATGTAACTACAAAATAAATTGAAACTGAAGTCTGTGCAGAAATTAACATCAAGATCAGGCAGATTTACAGTCAATGTCTATAAATTCTTCAAGGAACAGATAACTCTAGTCTCATACAAAATATTCTAGAGAACAAAAGATGAAGGAATTTTCTCAGCTTCATTTTATGATGCTAATAAACTTTGTCAACAAAACCATTCAAGGCAATAAGAGGAAAGTTTTAAGCTAATCTTGCCATGAACACAGATACATAAAATCTAAATCTAGCAATGTATATTTTTTGAAAATATTAAATCTAATCATGACCATCCCCTAATTTGGGTTCTTCAGCGGTTTGTCATATGTAGAATAAAATCAGAATGCCTTACCATGGCTCTACCAGGCTTTACACCATTTGTTCTATACTTGGCTGTCTGATTCCTCCTACCCTCTTCCCTTCTCTTTCCACGCTTGTGTTTCACTGTCCATTACATATAACTTGCTTTTTTTTTTTAAAAACAACTCAGGGCTTTCATACTTGCTCTTCCCCACCTCCACGCCCCTTTACCACCCAGATCCATAAGGCATGCATGCACCTAACCTACCTATCATTTAGATTCAACCTCAAGCCTCACCTTTTTAGAAAGTCCTTCCCTGTCCACCTTTCCCATATAGCTCCATTCCTTTTGTCCCTCTGTCATCTTTCCTTGCTTTATCTTCTTCATGGCACTTATTAGTGTGTGATTATTCATCACTATGGGATTGCTATTATCTTTTATTTGTTACTAGTACTCTCCTTCCTAGTATATAGATTCTAGGAGGAAGAGGACTTAATTTGACTCACCTCTGTATTAGCATCTAGGACTATGCTTGATTCATCATAAGGGCTCTATAAATATAGGTTGAATTAATGGATATCATATCTTCCAAGTATCTGTTTTAAGATTAAATGTCTTCATGCTATATTTTTCCTTTAATGAAACGAATAAATATTTTGGAGTATAAGTTGGTTAAGTAGATAATTTAATTGTAACTTACAGTAAACACTTATTCATTAGAATTAATTGGAATAAACAGTTACATTTTTATCATAAAATTCTTCAAACATACACAAATAGAGAGCTGTAAAATAAACCTTTTTACATGCTTTATACAGATTCAGTTATTCTCACAATTTGCCCCACTAGCTTTATCTATTTTCCCCTTTTCCATATGATTCAATAAGTCATGTCATTCTCCTTTCCAGAGTTAGGTGTGGATCTAAAATATGGATATTTTCTGAACTAACTATGACATTATTCGTGTTTAGCAAAATTACTAACAACTCTTTTATGTCTTTTGGTATCCAGATCACAACCAGAAGCTTTCAATGGCCTTCAAAAGTATTTTTATATTTAGTTTGTCTAAAACAGAATCCCAGAAGAACTCTACACATTATATTTTGTTGTTTAGTGTTCTTAAGTTAAGCAAAAACTCTAGAACAATTATCTCCTCACCTTTTTTTCCACGCTACTTACTTGTTTCAGAAACTGGGTCAGTTGTCGTACAGAACATGCCATGTTTTGAATTTGTTTTTTTTCTGGGGCTGCCACCTAATTTGTTCTTCTATTCCTCATATTTCTCGTACACAGAAGTTAGCCACAGAGCTTGCTTAAGTTCAGTTTCTGCTTTCTTGACCAATTTCATTGGTGATGCTTTGTGTTTTTATTGTGTCATAATAGAAGGCACACAAATGTCTGCTTGTTCAGCCTTTAGTGATGCTAAGATTCGTCGCTTGTTTTAATGGGCGATGGCTTGAAACTTGCATTATAAGTTCCCCATCAATGTATCTTTTTTTTTTTTTTTTTTTTTTGAGATGGTGTTTCACTCTTGCTGCCCAGGCTAGACTGCAGTGGCACAATCTTGTCTCACTGCAACCTCCGCCTCCCGGGTTCAAGCGATTCTCCTGCCTCAGTCTCCCAAGTAGCCAGGATTACAGGCATATGCCACCACACCCGGGTAATTTTTGTATTTTTAGTAGAGACAGGGTTTCACCATGTTGGCCAGGCTGGTCTCGAACTCCTGACCTCAGGTGATCTACCCGCTTTGGCCTCCCAAAGTGCTGGGATTACAGGCGTGAGCCACTGTGCCCGGCCCTCAGTTTATCCTTTAATTGTTTTCCCTACTGATGATATTTCACTAGGGGTTGCAAAATGATGGTTTAGAAAAGTTATTACATTTCTTCACGGATTAGCTCAATGTTTTCTGAGAAGAGAGACATTTTCTCATCCACCAGAGCTATTTGGTTTTCCTAAAATTAGGTTAAGCAATGAATCTTTGTATTTAAATTACAAATCTTCAGAGTAAAAAGTTAGTTTCCTGGTCTTTCCTACTGGTTTCCCGTGGGTCAGGTTTTTGTTTTTGATGTTGCCCTTATTTGACTTTCTCTTTCTTTTCTTCCTTTTTTGGTATAATTATACAAAAAACCGGCTATTTAAAAATAAGTCAATATGTTCAAATTAATTGCTTTTACTAACTGTTTTGATGCACAAATTGTTCCATTCTTGGTCAAAGAAGTTACTGAAGGCTGGTTTTGGTGCCATTTGAAGATTATCTTTTAGTTTTGTCATTTTTATCTTTGAAAGACTTCTTGATTTCTGTCATGAAAAACCATTCTGATTTTGAGAAACATTTACTTATAGATTTTTCATGAAGTTTCTTCCTTCCAAGTGTACATAGAGACTTGGATTAACTGAAAAAAATGCTGCCAAAATGTCCCTCTGGATTTCTTGTAGTAACTCATCTGTATACCAGCAATAAATGTATTATTTTAAAACCCTTTTTTTCTTCTGTGTTCAATCTTTAATACAGCAAGTATGTATTGAGTGGTTAATATATTCAATATAGTATTCCACTTTCTGAATAAACAACAATAACCAAGCAAATCAAAGCTCCTGCTGACATGAAACTTACAGTCTAGTAGGGGAGATAGAAAAGAAACAAGATAAATAAGTGAGTATAATATGTTTTTTAGTGATAATTGCTAAGAAAAATGTATGTGTACATTGTAAGGATGAGTAACGAAGTATTGGACTTTTAGACGGGGTGGCTAGGGCAGACTTCACTGAGAAGGTGATATTGGAGTAAAGACCTGGAGGAAGTGAATGAACAAATCATGGGGTATCTGGGAGAAGAAAATTTAGGTGTGGTAATGTGTACAAAGGCTCTGCAGGGGAATATGCCTACTGTTGTCAAGGATTGCCAAGGTCAGTGTGGCTGGAAAAAAGGGTTCAAGAGGAAGAAGGTTAGGGCATCAAAAGACAGTGGTGGATGCATATTATGTAAGGCTTTTGGGGTGGCAATGAGAATATACTTTGTGGACCTCCTACTACAGAGAGTGTAATTGACGATGCACTCCAGTTACTGCATTCTGAAACCCACCAATATTTCTCAGAACTGCTTTTAGCTTATAACTAAGTATGGCAGGAATACTACAGTAGACCCATTTCTGGGAGACAATGGGGATTTCTCTAATGGGTGACATTGGCAAATGTACTTGCTAAACCTTCCTTAGATTGCATGGAGGTCTAGGATCCTTCCATCCAAACTTTTTTCCTCTCTCCCTTTCTTAGGTTCAGACTAGCTCCATGGTGATGGCTCTCTCAAATTCTTCCAGTCTCTACCCATTCTCTCTCACAGATATGCCCCAATAAATAATAATGTCCTTTGCAAACAGAGATAATCTGATTTCTTCCTTTCCAATTTGGAAGCCTTTTATTTATCTTCCTTGCATAATTGCTCTGGGTAGGACTTCAGTAACATGTTCATGATCTTAGAGGAAAAGCTTTTTTGGTCTTTTATCCTTGAGTTTGCTGTTAGTTTTGGCTTTTTCATTTATGGACTTCATTATGTTGGGGTGGTTTCCTTCTATTCCTAGCTTATTGAGTGTTTTTTTAATCATAAAAAGGCAGTAATTTCGTCAAAATTTTTTGCATTGTTTGAGATAATAATGAGTTTTTACCCTTCATTCTACTAATGTGGTGTTTTTCATTGACTGATTTTTTTGACTTTTTAATAATGGCCATACTCCCTGTTAGATGGTATTTCATTGTGGTTTTTATTTGCATTTCTCTGATTCGTGATATTGAACCCTTTTTCATATGTTTCTTGGCCATTTGTTATCTACTGAGAAGTGTCTGTTCATGTTCTTTGGCCACCCTTTAATGAGGTTATCGTTTTTTACTTGTTGCATTGTTTAGTTCCCCATTGAGTCTGTATATTAGACCTTTGTCGAATGCATAGTTTGTAAATATTTTCTTCCATTCTGTAGGTTGTCTGTTTACTCTGTCGATAGTTTCTTTTGCTGTGCAGAAGCTCTTTAGTTTAGTTTCCACTTGTCAGTTTCTGTTACAATTGCTTTTGAAGACTTAATCATAAATTCTTTATCAAGGTTGATGTCCAGAATAGTATTTTCTACTAGAGATATTATAGTTTGAGGTCTTGCATTTAAATCTTTAATCCATCTTGAGCTGATTTTTATATATTTTAAAAGGTAAGGATTCAGTTTCATTCTTCTCCATATGGCTAGCCAGCTATTCCAGCTATTCCCTATTTATTGAATAGGGAGTCCTTTCTCCATTGTTTACTTTTGACAACTTTGTCAAAGATCAGGTGGCTATAACTGTTTAATAGTCTCTGAGGATTTTTTATATTTGTATTTCTGTGGGATAAATTGAAATGTCACCTTTGTCATTTCTGATTGTGCTTATTTGGATATTCTCTTTTTCTTTGTTAATCTAGTTAATGATCTATTGCTCTTGTTTATTCTTTCAAAAAACCAACTTTTGGTTTTTTTGATCCTTTGTATAGGTTTTTAGGTCTTAAGTTCATTTAGGTCTGCTCTGATTTTGGTAATTTTTTTCTTCTTCTAGCTTTCAGGTTAGTTTTTTTTTTTTTTCTAGTTCCTCTAGGTGTAATGTTAGATCTGAATTTGAGATCTTTCTAACTTCTTGATATAGGTATTTAGCACTATAAACTTTCCTCAGCACTGCTTTTGTTGCATCCTAGAGATTTTGGTATGTTGTATCTCTATTTTCATCTATTTCAAAGAATGTTTTGATTTCTGCCTTAATTTCATTATTTACCCAGAAGACATTCAGAAGCAAGTTGTTTAATTCCCATGTAATTGTGTAGTTTTGGAAGATCTTCTTGGTATTGATTTCTATTTTTATTCCATTGTGGACTGACAGTATGGTTGGTATGATTTCTATATTCTTGGATTTATTGATACTTATTTTATGGTCAAGCATGTGGTCGATCTTAGAGTTTGTTCCATGTCCAGGTGAGAAGAATGTGGTTGATGGATGGAGGAGTATTCTGTAGATGTCAATTAGGTCCAATTTTTCCAGCGTCAAATTTAAGTCCTGAATTTCTTTGTTAGTTTTCTGCCTCAATAATCCACCTAATGCTGTCAGTGTAGTGGTTTAAGTCTCCCACTATTATTGTGTGGCTAAATCTTTTTGTAGGTCTAAAAGTACTTGCTTTATGAATCTGTGTGCTCCAATGTTTGGTGTGTATATATTTAGGATTGTTAAGTTTTATTGGATTGAATCCCTTGTCATTACATAATGCCCTTCTTTCACATTTTTGATCATTGTTGGCTTAAAGTCTGTTTTATCTGAATCTAAGTGTCTTTGAAGTGTCTTTGAAGGTCTTTAAGAACTTGCTTTATGAACCTGGGAGCTCCTGTGTTGGAGCACCTTAATAATGTGCTTATTAATAATATCTCCTTAATAATAAAATAAAGAAGAAATCAAGAAATCAATTCCTAAGACCTAAGTAGTGGATGCTGGGGTGCCTTCTTCCATGCTGGTGTTCACTCACAGTGGCAGAGGCAGCATGCCTTGGGGGTTGGGCTGGGGGGGTCTTGCTGGTGCGGTTGCGCTGGTGGCGGTGTGGTGTTAGCTTGGGGGTGGGGGGCTGGCAGGTGCAGGTCTGTGTATGCTTTTTGTGTACAGCAGGCAAGGGTGGTTGCTTAGGGCAGGGGGATGGTCGGCTGTTCTCTCTGCCTAGTTTCACTCTTGCAGCAGTGTTGGTGCAAGGGTGGGGCACTGGTGGGGCTGGCTCCAACTGCAATGGCTTCCATGTGGGGGTGCCAGAGTGTACTCCTGCTGCAGCAGTGGCAGGGCGGGGTGCATGCACACACACATGCTGGCGGGGCAAGGAAGGCAAAACCCGCCTGTGCACAAAAGTGCCAGCAAAGCGATGTGGGGGCTTGCTGTGGGCCCAGGGAAGTCTGTAGTGTGGGGAGGGAGCTGGCAGGCTGGTGTGCGGCTGTGGGGGCTGCCCGGCTGGAGCTCCCCATCAGTCAGGCAGGCTCCATCAGCACAGGAGCTATGGTGTGGGCCCCTAGGGCACCCAAGGCTACCCTGTAAGCAGGCACAGCCAGGCTGGACCCCTGGGAGAGGCCAGCAGACCAAGGAGTCCTCAGGTTGGATGGCCCTATCTGATGGGCAAGACCACCTTGCAGAATTCAGGTTGGACAGTTCCCCTAGGGCTAAAGTCTCCTAAGGGAGCAAGTTGAGCTTTGGGAAATGGGTGTTCCTAGCTGTGGTGGGCTACAGACGCACCAGCACCAAATCCTGGACTAGGTATCAGCTGGGCTGCTGCCCTTACCACTTCTCTAAGCAGCAGTTCAGAGTAGACTCCAGACCCACGACCTCAGAGTGGCAATATCTGTCACACTGGAACGAAGTCCATGAAATCCACGCTGCCGGACACAGCGTGGATTTCACGGAGAAGACAGCTTGCACCACACTCCCTCCTGTCCCGGGGCCAGTTTTCACTCCCAAAGTACGCATTTCTCAATCGTGTTCCCCAGAGTCCACCCGCTGGTCAATCAGTCAGGAATCTAGTTCGGTGAATCCCTGAGCATCCACATCTGACCTCTAAGATCGGAGTCCGCACACTACACATCGCTCCATGCAGTGTCACGTAGTGGAGCAGGTCAACTCATGGTCGAAGGGTCTCCCG
This sequence comes from Homo sapiens, assembly GCF_000001405.40. Classification (NCBI taxonomy): domain Eukaryota; kingdom Metazoa; phylum Chordata; class Mammalia; order Primates; family Hominidae; genus Homo; species Homo sapiens. The sequence continues at coordinate 25,128,117 of NC_000008.11, read as the reverse complement.
CCGAGATTTCAGAATCTCGGCTCCTGGTGAGAGCGGGTTGCTCCTTGCCAGTTCAATTCATCCATTTCTCCAGATTAGTTGGGTGGGGGCCAGAAATGAGTCCTGGTGCATGGCAGCCCCATGCAGGGTTCCCAGCTTCCTCCCCCTTCAGCCCAGCTTCTGTGTCTTCCTTCTGCCCACTCTGTGACTTCCCTCTGAAGATGTTAGGAGTGTGCCAGTCCTCTTCGTTTCTGCGTGGAAGCTCTTACACATGGCTGTGTCCCGTGGGCCATCTTATTTTTTAATTTTGTTAAAATTATTAAATTAATAAATTAAATAAAATTAAAATTAATTTAATTAAAAATTAAATAAAATTATAAAATTTATTGACTTTAATTTTATTAAAATTATAAATTTTTTACTGACTTGAAACTCACAAATTCACGGATTCTTTCTTCTGCCTGTTTCAAGTGAGCTGTTGAAACTCTCTAGTGAATTTTCCTGTTCAGTTATGTTTTTTCAGCTCTAGAATATCTGTTTGGTTCTTTTTATAATTTTCTCTCTGAGAGAGAAAAAATTCTCTCTCATTTTTTTCGTAAGTCATTTTCCTGATTTCCTTCAGCTCTTTGTTCATGTTTTCCTTGAGGTCTTTAAGCATATTTAAGACAGTTGTTTTACCCTTCCTTCTCTCCCTCCCTCCCTCCCTTTCTTCCTTCCCCCCTTCCCCTCTTCCCCTTCCCCTCTTCCCCTCTTCCTCTTCCCCTCTTTCTTTTCTTTTTCTCTTTCTTTCTCTCTCATTCATTCATTCATTCTGTCTGTCTGTCTCGCTGTTATCCATGCTTGTCTCAAGCTCCTGGGCTCCACCAATCCTCTATCTCAGCTTCCTGAGTATCTGGGATTACAGGCATGCATTACCATACCTGGCTAAGATGGTTGTTTTAAAGCCTTTGTCAAACAAGTCTGATGCCTGTGTTTCTTCATGGACAGTTTCTGAAAATTTATTTATTTCCTCCTTTGCATGTGTAGTAGTTTTCTGGTTTTTTTTTTTTTTTTTTTTGTATACCTTGTGACTTTCTGTTGAAAGTTGGGCATTTGGGGAAACAGCCACCTTCACTAGTCTTTGCAGACTGACTCCTTTTAAGAGAAGACATTCAGCGATTGGCGTAGCACAAAGGCTTAAGGTCTTCTCAAGAAATTTTTGGGCATGCATCTTCCATGGGCCATGTGTATGCTTTTCCCCCCTCCAATTCCCCTATATTCATGGCTACTTTTAAATGTCTTAATTTGCCTAAGAGTCTCACCCCTGATTCTTCTCAGGGCCTTTGCCGTTTTATTGTATTCCTCAATCAGTAATCTCTTGCCCAAGTGTCTGTGGTTCTATAGTCCTCTTATAGTTTTCAGGAACCATGCTCACTGCTTACCACTGCTTGTTCTAGCCAGAAATCTGAGTTGTTTTTGGCTGTCTGGGCTCTGAGTCAGTACAAAGAACAATACTTCAGGCAGTCCACAGACAGGCTAGAAAGGTGAAAATTTGGTTAATGGGAGAGGGTTGGGAACCAGGTCACCATTTCCTCCAGACTGCACCACACTGGGAAGGGGGAAGAACAAGAGGAGTAAAACACCATGAAATTTCCCTACTGTTTTGCATCTAGCTTTTCCTTGATTTGTTATTTCCTTGGTTGCTGTAGATCTTTCATTGGTTTCCAAGAATCCTAGAAAGTCTTTTCTTTTCTTTGCTTTTTTTTTTTTTTTGAGAGAGAGTTTTCTCTGTTGCCCAGGCTGGAGGGCAGAGGCACGATCTCGGCTCACTGCAACCTCTACCTCTCGGGTTCAAGCGATTCTCCTGCCTCAGCCTCCTGAGTAGCTGGAATTACAGGCATGTGCCACCACGCCCGGCTGAGTTTTGTATTTTTAGTAGAGACAGGGTTTCACCATGTTGACCAGGCTGGCCTCAAACTTCTGACCTCAGGTGATCCACCCACCTCAGCCTCCCAAAGTTCTGGGATTACAAGCGTGAGCCACCATGCCCTGCCAAAAATTAATTTTATTGAGGTTCTGTTTATTTTTTTCTCAGTAGAAATGAGTGCTTGGATCTCCCCAGTTTGCCATTTTGTTGATGTAACTTCTATATTTGTAATTTTAATCCCATCTTTGCATCTACTTCTCTAAGACCACAGACGAATATAGACTTAAAAGAATTTAAAAGTATTTTGCTTTTTCTCTGATTGAAATTAGAGGCTCTGAAGGTTTGGAGCAGAGGAATGACATGATATAATTTATACTTTGAAAGGATTTTGGATAGATGATTTCTTGAGAGTGGGCTTGACTGGTGTCAAGGGAAAAAAATAAGCAGAGCAGTTATAAGAATGTTGCAATAGTCCAGGCAGGAGGTAATGGTGGCTTGGACCAGGGTTGTAGCAGCAGATGTCAGATTCTAAATATATTTTATAGGCAGAATTGATGGAATCTACTGACAAATAGGATATTAAGGATAAAGAGGCAACTGGGAGATTGGAATTGCCAGTGGCTGAAAAGAGGGAGAGTCAGTGTGCAAATACCAGGAGCTCAGTTTTAGAAAAAATAATTTTGAAATGTTCATGAGGCTTATAAGTGGGAATGTGTGCTTAAAGTCTAAGGAAATGTCTGTGCTGGGAAAGTAAATTTTGGATGGCAAAAAGATGGTAATTAAACCTATGGGACTTGATGCAAGTACAAAGAGAGTGAGTGTAGATAGAAACAAAAATTGGTCCAAAGTTAAAACACTGGAATACTCCAACATTTAGAGATCAAGGAGATGAGTAACCCACAAGGAAATGTTAATAAAAGTAATTACATAAAGACAGTCACAAGAATCTTACTTATATAATTTATTTTCTAGAGAAAACTAAGCTGGAATAGGTCCAATAATTATGGATGAATTCTGTGAGGTAGTATATTCACATAGCTAGTTAACAGTCATTTTAGCAGTTATAAGATTAAAACCTGCCAAATGAGTAAATTATAAAAACACCACTTATATTTGACAGATCTAGAGACATAATATTTCTAGCCACCACAGTGACTTAAAAATCTTTATTAATATTATGTTTAAATTATGCGTATGTGTATATATATGTACAAATACATACATATTCATACATATATACCCATACATAGATATGTATGTATATGAGGATTCTCCAGAGAAACAGAACATATATATATATATATATGCATATGCGTGTGTTTGTGTGTGTATAAGATATATGTATGGCTGGGTGCAGTGACTCACGCCTGTAATCCCAACACTTTGGGAGGCTGAGGCGGGTGGATCATGAGGTCAGGAGTTCGAGACCAGCCTGGCCAAGATGGTGAAACCCCGCCTCTACTAAAAAAACAAAAATTAGCCTGGTGTGGTGGCACATGCCTGTAATCCTAGTTAGCTACTAGAGGGGCTGAGGCAGGAGAATCACTTGAACCCAGGAGGCAGAGGTTGCAGTGAGCTGAGATAGCACCATTGCACTCCAGCCTGGGCAACAAGAGTGAAACTCCTTCTTAAAAAAGAAAAAAAAATTAAAAAATATATATGTATATATGGGGGTGGGGGGCAGAGAGAGAGAGAGCACGCAAGTGAGTGCTGATGGTATAGTTCCAGTACAAAAGCCAGCAGGCTCAAAATTCAGGAAGAGCCAATGTTTCAGTTCAAGTCCAAAGGTAGGAGAAAACCCAACTGATTAACCGAAGGCATCATGCAGAAGACGTTCCCTCTTACTCAGCCCTTTTGTTCTACTCAGGCCTCCAGCTGATTGGATGGGGCCCACCCTCTGTTTATTCAATCTGATTCTAACGTTAATCTCATCCCAAAACACCCTCATAGACACATCCAAAATTGTGTTTGACCAAATACCTAAGTACTCTGTACCCTGTGGCCCAATCGAGTTGATACAAACTTTATCCATCACAGGCTCAACCCTTGTCAACTTGGCACCCATATACATCTACTTAACCCATACTTAATCTCCAAATGAAGACAATAACAATGTCATAATTCTGCCTAACCTGACACAACTATTTTGTGTACAAATGAAAATACAGTAACTCCTTCCCCCAAAGGGGAGGTGGAGCCTTTAAGTAATATTGACTTTTCTTTTTGATACGCAATAACCTAAAATACTGTAATGTAAAATTAACACTTAAATACTGATATAAAGTCAATACATCTTCTTTTACATAACATCATGCTGACTGGTCATCCTATCCACTAGATTATTAAAATCCTCCTGTGCTGAGGATACCCATGTCTGGCCAGTTTTCCTTCCAAGCAAAGTAAACAACCAAGTGCAGTGCTCAAAGTTCTTCCCACTGGGAGGATTTTCCTTCACTATTGTCCTTTAGGGATCTCCTGGAAAGTGGATGCAATGTTGCAACCGCCTACTTTTGAGTAGTGCCATCTATAAACCAGTTCCAAATCTTTTCTTGCTCTGTCAACTGATTGTAGGGAACTCCTCATTAGGGCATAGGTGCAGGCTGAGAGAGAGAAGGCATTGTAGCTGGACAGGGTATCATGGGTATTTGGGCTACCTCTTCATGCAACTTACTTGTGACTTGAAGGCTTGCTTGGGCCTCTCTCTCTCTCTCTCTCTCTCTCCATATATATATATATATAGTGTTGTAATTTAGCTAGTCATTGGGATGAGATTCTGATTCTGATTTTCAGCAATCTCAGCCCTGCAGCTACAGGATAGAAGGGTCTCCTTCAGGCATGCATAGAAGATTTCAGATCATTTATGTGGTTTTTGAGCTGGGAATTAAAATCTCTGACCTCATATTTTTCTTTCCCCACTTTGTCCAGTGACATTAGGAGCAACCAGTCAATTTTATTGTATGCATTAGTTTGCTAGAAATGTTTGAAATATACAGTCACCCAGAGAGTTGCTTCTTATAAGTGATAAATTAGGAATATCCAATGATATTATTTTGTGTATCTTTATTGCCAGATCATTACCACTATCAGTGCTCTCTTTACTACTGGAAATTGAGTCATTAATGTCTTTAAACATGATCAGATTAGCCAATTTCAGAAACCCAAGAAATAGTTCAGAGAACTCATTCTTAAAATTCTATTCCTCTAGAACCCCTCTCACTACCAAATATGGATTAGTCAGGTTTCTCCAGAGAAACAGAATAAATAGTATATATAAAGAAATAAAACAAATAAAATATATAAGTATAAAAAAACTTATTATAATGGCTCTTGTGATTATGGATGCAGACAGGTCCCTAGATCTGCAGTTGACAACATGGAGACCCAGGAAACGAAATGGTGTAGTTCTTTGTCTGAAAGCTGGCAGATTTGAGACCTAGGAAGAGCCAATGTTTTAGTTTGAGTCCAAAAGAAGAAAAAAATCCCATGTCCCTGAATGAAGGCAGTCAGGCAGAAGAAATTCCCTCTTAGCCTTATTCAGTTCTATTCAAGGCTTCAAATGATTGGATGAGACTCTCCCTTGTTAGAGGGCAATCTACAGATTCAAATGTTAATCTCATCCAGAAATATCCTCACAGACATACCCAGAATAATGTTTAACCAAATATCTGGGCACCTCATGGCCCAGTCATACATATATTTTTTTCTATATCTGTATATTTTACAATTAATGTCAGCACTACCCGGAATACATGTAGAAACTTTACTTGCTCTGAAAGTAAGGGCTTACACGTGAAGCAGATTCATATCACTGAATGCCTTTATGTGTTGGGATATAAAGAAATGATGATGCGGCCGGGCGCGGTGGCTCACGCCTGTAATCCCAGCACTTTGGGAGGCCGAGGCGGGCGGATCACGAGGTCAGGAGATCGAGACCATCTCGGCTAAAACGGTGAAACCCCGTCTCTACTAAAAATACAAAAAAAATTAGCCGGGCGTAGTGGCGGGCGCCTGTAGTCCCAGCTACTTGGGAGGCTGAGGCAGGAGAATGGCGTGAACCCGGGAGGCGGAGCTTGCAGTGAGCCGAGATCCCGCCACTGCACTCCAGCCTGGGCGACAGAGCGAGACTCCGTCTCAAAAAAAAAAAAAAAAAAAAAAAAGAAAAAAAGAAATGATGATGCATGTACAGCAAGATTTAACACTTCAGAGTTAATGTCTCACTTAATTGTTCTGTATCTAATTATCTAATTAATTGTAGAATATAGATTTCTAAGTAACCTAAATCCTAAGATATTTGCACAGAGTAACTTTTCCCTAGCATCGAGTTTGGCAATAAGGAATGTGTCACATGAAGGGATTTAAGTGAGAAATAAACTGTGGTCAGTTGGGGAGCTGGGTGCATGCTCTACTGTTAATTTTTTGATGTCAGAATATAACTTAGGTCAGTGAGAGCCATGTGAAAAACTGTGGTAGACCTCTAATACAGGGATGATTATTCCCATTTTATAGGTAGGAAATTAAGTTGTGTGAATTTACATAAGGGTATTATTCTATAAGTCAATGACAGAAGGATATAACTTGGTAGCCTGGGCAAACATTCCACTGCAGTTCAGATATGTTCCTAGCTCTGATTTAATTACTTTGACCTAATGTTCAGTGAAAAATCTTGGCTTAGTTAATAATCCCTACAGAGACCCTTTCACGATGCCAATTAAAGTTTTCCTGGTCATGTTTTTGTTCTCCTTCCTTTCTTAATAAAACTTTCCACATCAATTGCCTGGAAGAGATTCATTCAAGTTGTATGCAGATGCTCCAGGTGTTACACAGCTGTTGAAACTCACTAGCTACAAGTTCTCAGGGAGCATGCTGTGGCTCTCCTTCTGCTGAGAAACTGCAGGAACCAATATGTCTGCATTAAGAGTTTTGTTAACAATGTTTTTTCCCTGATTATGAAAGGAATGCATGCTCATTGTAGAAAATGATGAAAGCACAAAGATAATAATACAAATTAATTTAAATCACCAAAACGGATGCCATCCTTAAAGTTTTTCATTCTTTTTTCTACGTGTATTTTAAACATATATCGACAAGAATGAGCATATACACAGATACACACACACACACGCACACACACAAAATAATACCTACCCTATACTGAATGTATGTACTTATTGTATAACAAACCTCACACTAGAAGGTAAGCTGCCAAGGGTTAAAGATATTTTCCATTTTATTCATTTTTATTATCTGTGTCCTAGGATAATGTCTGGCTTTTAGTAGATGCCTAACAAATGTCTATTGAATGAACAACTTAGTAAAAATTTTAAAATTTAAAACAATGTTAATATTTCCCCATATTAAATATTCTTTATAGCATCCCTTTAAAATATTTAAGGTATAATTTACGTACAGAAATTGTACATATATTAAATATACATCTCAATACATGTTTACATCTGTGTGCATCTATTAGCCCCACCCTAATCAGCACACAGAACATTCCATCACTCCACAGGCGCTTTTGAGTCCCTTCCCATTCAACATCCTGATAGGTGGCTCTATTCTGACTTTTCTCACCAGAGATTATTTTGCCTACTCTTGAATTTTGTATAAACAGATTTTTTCTTTAAAAAGTACACTTTTGGATCTGCCTTTTTTTTACTCAACATAATTTTTAAAAGAGATTCATCTATGTTGTTGCATGTTCAATGGTTCATTCTTCTTCGTTGTTGCTGTTAGTATTCTAGTGTACAAATATACCACATTTGCTTTATTCATTCTCCTATTGACAAATACTTGGGTTGTTTTCATTTGCTGTACCAATTATGAATAAAGCTACTGTGGACATTCTTGTATAAGTCTTTTCGTGGACATATGTTGTCATTTCTCTTGCATACCTAGGAAGAACATATCTCAGGGTAGGTGTATGTTTCAATTGACACTCTCACCAGTGGTGTAGGAGAGTTCCAATTTTTCCACATCCTCACCAACATTTGGTATTCTCAGTTTGTTAAATTGCAACTATTCTAGTGGGTATGTGGTGGTATCATTGCCATTTTCATGAGTATGCCCTTGATGAGTAATGATGTCGTACTTCTTTCATGTTTACTGGCTGTTTAAACATCCTCTATTGTGAAGTGCCATCTTTTTGTGATGCCTTTTGGTAAACAGAATTTTTTAACTTTAATGAAGTCCAATTTATCAATTCCTTTTCTTTTGTAGTTAAAGCTTTTAGTTTCCAGTTTAAGAAAGTTTTACCGGCCAGGCATGGTGGCTCAAACCTGTAATCCCAGCACTTGGAGGGGCAGAGGCGGGTGGATCTCCTGAGGTCAGGAGTTTGAGACCAACCTGCCCAACATGGTGAAACCCTGTCTCTACTAAAAATACCAAAAATTAGCTGGGTGTAGTGGCAGATGCCTGTAATCTCAGCTACTCAGGAGGGTGAGACAAGAGAATTGCTTGAACCCAGGAGGTGGAGGTTGCAGTGAGCCAAGATCACCCCATTGCACTCCAGCCTGGGCAACAAGAGCAGAAAAAAAAAAAAAGTTATACCTACCCCAAGGTCATAAAGCCATTCATCTATGTTTTCTTCTAGAGGCTTGAAAGTTTTACATTTTAGTCTATGATCCATCATAAATTAATGTTTGTGTATGGTGTGAGCTAGAGATCAAAGTTCATTTTTTCCATATAATATCCAGTTGCTCCAGCACCATTTATTGAAAAGATCATCCTTTCCTCGGTGAATTTCACTGGTGCCTTTGTTGTAAGTCAGGTGTATGTGTGGGTCTATTATTTTTCTCTGTTCTGTTGGTCTATTCATCTATCTTTGTGCCATTATAGCATTGTTTTTAATGATTTCAAAGCTCATTGGTTTAATTTCTCCCATTGTTATGTAGTTTGTTACTAAACTTTCTCTTTTGTAGGCATGAATATCCCTAGAAATAGGCTTTTATGCAGATCCATGACTTTTTTCCCCATAGGGTAAATTATAGAACTAGAATTGCTGAATCTAAGGGATGTACATGTTGTAAGTGTTCCTATACTTTTTCTAATTGCTGTCAGAAATATACCAAGTTAAGTGTCTGCCGATATTACATGACAGTGCATCTTTACACCAATGCTTATACATTTCTTTAAAATTATCTGTAAATTTATGTTTGGGCTAAGGTCAAACTATGTCTCTCCATTTTGTTTTTGCTTTTTAATTTACTAGTGTGCCAAAGGTGGATTAAAATATATATATTTTTTCAATATATATTCAAAAATATATATATTCAATAATTCAATGGCAATTTGGTTTTTACTTTTGTGAATTATGTGCTTGTATACCTTTTCTATTTTCTACTGGGGTGTTTGTCTTTTTAGGTACTAGAAATAACTCTTTTGAATATTTAATATATTCACATTTGTCTCATATTTATTGAAAATTTTCGTAGTTTTTTAAATTTAAAATATTTTAGGTTATTTTTAAACTTGCAGTGTAATTTTTAGTGTTTATATTTTTCAATTTATTATCTTTCAACTTAATCTCTTCATTACAAGTTTGTCTCTAGCATCATGATTATACAATCCTTTTCCATTCTGAGGTGGTTCTATATATTCACATATATTTTCTTTGATTTACTTTAGGATTCTTACTATAAATTCTAAGAAATTATAAATCTTATCCTAGTTCAAATTTATTGGCATGAACATTTTATATTACTATTTTATACTTAAAAAATCTCTATTCTACTTGTATGTTTTTGTTTTCATTTTTGAGAGAGATTATCTCTTTTTTTCTTTTTCTAGGTCAGTAATCAGTGTTTTTCTATTTTATCTTCTCAAAAAACAGCTTTTCTTATACTCATGTTTCTTTAATTTCTTCTCTTTATTACTTTTTCTTCTACTTTCTTAGGATTTATACTGAAGAATTTCAAATTTGATGTTTCGTTCATGATTTCAATTGTTTTTCTAAAATATGCATGTAGTGTGTATATTTTTCTCCAATCTGCTTAAGCTTTATATTAATGCTTTTTATATGCATTTTTATTTTTAAATTTTCATGCATTTCTTCAATTACTCTTGAATTATTTGGAAGTATATTCTCTAATATCCAATTATACACATTTTGGAATTGTCCTTTATTCATTTCTTCTGAATTTCAGGATATTGTGGTCAGAGAATTTTGTTGGTAGAATATTAGCCTCGTGCATCATCCGTATTTGTAAACAATTCACACACCTGTGGGAGGTTTTATAATTTCTCACCATTGGCTTCAGGGTTCTATCCTTGTGTCACTTAGATAAAGGTTGCTAGTTGTGGTCTACAACTATATTCTTAGTAATCTTTTGTCTGCCTAATGTATCACTTACAGAGAATTGTGTTAAAATCTCTTACCACAATAAATGCATTTATCATTTTCTTCTCATAATCTGAAAAGTTTTATATACTTGGAACATATATAGTTAGGCATATATGTGTTTAAATCTGTTAAATCTTCATGGTGAATTGTTCTTTTTTCTTTCTTTTTTTTTCTTTTTTTGAGACGGAGTGTCTCTCTCTTGCCCAGGCTGGAGTGCAGTGGCGCGATCTTGGCTCACTGCAAGCTCCGTCTCCCGGGTTCATGCCATTCTCCTGCCTCAGCCTCCCGAGTAGCTGGGACTACAGGCGCCCGCCACCGCGCCTGGCTAATTTTTTGTATATATATATATATATATATATATATTTTTTTTTTTTTTTAGCAGAGATGGGGTTTCACCGTGTTAGCCAGGATGGTCTCGATCTCCTGACCCCGTGATCCGCCCGCCTCGGCCTCCCAAAGTGCTGGGATTATAGGCATGAGCCACATTAAGTAGTGATTAACTTTATCTCTAATAATGCTTTTTTTCCCAGTTAGAGCAGCATCAGTTGTCTTTTGGGTACCATTTGCCTGGTGTATGTGTTTCGTGTGTGTGAGTGTGCATGTGTGTGTCTGTGCATATGCTGATTGATTTACTTTCTATCTCTACATACTATTAGGTTTTAATTATGTCTCTTGTAAATAATACCTACCTAATATAGATAGAAAGCTTTATATGCTTTTATTCCATTTGAAAAAGTTGTATCTTTTTCTTTATTCTTATTTTTGCCAAGATAAAGTCCTGTGTTAAAAAATATGTTAAAATCCCAGCCTCTTGAGCCAGGTCCAGAAGAGGAGGCTACTCCAGCACTGGTAGAAAGTGCCCAGGAAGGGGCTTCTGTCACCAAACAACTTCCTAGGAACCATAAATAGAATAAATATTCACAGAAGTCCAGGGAGAAGCCAGATCCTTCTTCTTTCCATGGAAGAGGAAGGGACTTTGGGTCCAGCCCTGCTCTTACACCAGGGCAGGGGACTCCCAGAAGTGATACTTTAAGTGGTAAACTTCTTGAACCTGTTCTATTCTCTTATGTTTATTAGTAGATTCAAGCATTTACCTTTGAAACCATAGACATTTCAAATTCTTTTAAAAGAATTCCCAGCTGGGCATGGTGGTGCATGCCTGTAGTCCCATCTAATTGGAAGCCTGAGGCAGGAGACTCACTTGAACCCAGGAGTTTACAATAGTTTATCTGTTAGCCTTAAATTTTAGATTTTGGTATTTTTTTCCAGGATCTTTGAGATTAATTTGAGAGAAGTAGAGAAAGACTGTATTAGGTCATGTTAACCAGATGGCATTTGAAACTGAACTTGAAATCATTTTTTAGGCTTTTAAAGAGTATGTAGAGAAAGTTAGGTGGCCTCCTCAGCCTCATAAAAATCTTGAGGTTTTATGCAGCCATAATTCTAAGCAAATTGTTAGAACAATAATATAAGCCATGTTCTCATACTTAGGCTATTGTTTTGTTATGATAATTATGAATAATTATTATCTATTTATTATAGCATCATTGCTATCCATAATAGTTTCCTAGCCTGCTGGAACAAATTATGCCAACTAGGTGGCTTAAAACAACAGAATTGTACTCTTTCACTGTTCTGGAGGCCAGAAGTCTGATGCCAGGTGTAGGCAGGGCTGCACTCCCTCCGAAGGCTCCGAGGGGAAATACATTCCTTTGCTTCTTCCTGAAGCCAGCGGCTCTATGCTTTCCTTAGCTTGTGGTTACATCAGTCCAGTGCCTGCCTCTGTGGTCACATTGTTCCTCCTCTTCTCTCTGTGTGTCTCTGAAAACTCCCTCTGTCTCCTCCTTTTTTTTTTTTTCTTCTTCTTTGAGATGGAATTTCGCTCTTGTTGCCCAGGCTGAAGTGCAATGGCATGATCTCTGCTCACTGCAAGCTCTGCCTCCTGGGTTCAGGCGATTCTCCTGCCTCCGCCTCCCGAATAGCTGAGATTACAGGCGCTTGTCACCACACCTGGCTAATTTTTTGTATGTTTAGTTTAGAGATGATATTTCGCCATGTTGGGCAGGCTGGTCTTGAACTCCTGACCTCAGGTGATCCACCCGCCTTGGCCTCCCAAAGTGCTGGGATTGCGGGTGTGAGCCACCATGCCCGGCCTCTGCCTCCTCCTTCTAAGGATACATATGATGGCATTTAGGGCCCACCCAGATAATTCAGGATGAGCACCTCCTTTCAGGATCCTTAATTTAATCACATAAATTTTGCTATATTAAGTAACATCAACTCTTTTGCCTTATAAAGTGATGATCACGGGTCCTGGAGACTAGGATGCGTGTGTATCTTTTTGAGGCCACCATTTAGCTCCCTGCACTACCTAACATGTTGGCAGCCTTGTTTAAATTACTGCACATCAAAATAATGAGAATCAATTTTTAAAATTTCAAACTAAGGATTAAAATATCAAAGTTACCTACTTTCTTCAGATGATTTATAATTTTTCAGAGATAATTGAGTGAGATATAAATAATCTCTATTCCCTTCCCTTCTCCTCACTGTTGTCTCCCACCCCAAACTTTGCTTATGGAAATGGACTAATGTCTTTAATTTTTGTCCTAATCTTAATAAAAGTACCACAGATACACAATGAGTGTTTCTATTTCTTAGCACCATTAATATGTTACATTTCAAAAAAAAAGTTTGTCTTTTTCTTAGTTGTGCAAAATAATTGCTTATAATTTACAAGCATTGCTAGGGGGTATTTGGTTTGCTTTGTTTGGCTTTCTTCTCATTTTTCACATTCCAGCCAGGCTAGGCCATCACAGAGAAGAGAAGCAGCTGTCTGTAGAGTGTAGACGGTGCTGGAGAGGAGGTTAGTAGCTGAAGGTACCTTAGCATTCATTATCTCCAATCTCTTCACCTTGGAGATGCAGAAACTGAAGTCCAGAGAAGGAGTGACCTGGCCAAGGTTGTGGGAAGTTCTGGAAGAAATGGAACGAGACCCTGCTCTCCTTTTCTCCTCCACAGCACAGTGATTCCCACTGTTCTCATCCCCACCGACCATGAAGGCAGTAGGACAATGTGACATCAGGGGCTCTAAAGCTATGCAGTGGAATAAAAGTCAACATACCTTTAAAGTTTTGTCTCAAGATGGTGCTTTTGAAGGATCATTTCCAAAAGGGAAAATGCGTTTGGAATTATTTAATGCTCTCCTCACTTTTTAAAGCTGCTAATGACACTTGTGGAAATGCCTCTGAAGGATGAGGTGTGTGGGACGTAGAGGTCTAAGTGGTTTGCTTGCATGGATGGAAGAGAGGACTAGAAATCGGGTTCTGGCATCTTGTCAACTCTTCTGTTTGTTATTTGAGCCTCTCTGCTCTGCAAATGGACACATTTGTCCATTTGCAAAAAATAAAAAATTGATATAGGCCTGAGAAAACCTAGCAAGAAAAGGAAACGTAATATCCGTCTGGCAGCTTTTTCACTCTGGGGGTTAGGAGTAAGGGTCTCCGAATGTGAAGAGGTTATGATGGTTTCAACACAGGCTCTGTGTTCTTAGACTCGTTCTGAAGGCAGTACCAGGCTTGTCTGTGAGCATAGAAGTCTGAGCTCATCTGTGCCAGTGCCATCCCCCTAATGTTTCCTTCCTTCCCTGCTGGCCGACAGCTGAAAGGGAGCATGCTAATACTCTGGACAGGTCATGCTCATTGAAATGTGTGCTGCAGAATAAATAATGGATATTGTCTCTTTTGCTGTAAGCAAACTCTGTTAAGGAGGAGATCCAGGAAGAGGTTATAGTCCCAGTGAAGGAAAGAGTTTGGAGAAAACCAACCTATATTTTCTTGGGTTTTCATTTTTGCTTAAGGCCGGTACCGGGAAGAAGGGGAAGATCTCCAAGGGCAGGGAAGGAGCAATTGAGCCTACACCAGCCTTTTGGCCAAATAGAACTTGGGGGACTTGATGTGCATTTGAAAATGCTTGGCAGCTGGATGTGGTGGCTCACCCAGCATTTTGGGAGGCCGAGGAAGGCAGATCACCTGAGGCCAGGAGTTTGAGACCAGCCTAGCCAACGTGGCGAAAACCTGTCTCTACCAAAATTACAAACAATAGCTGGGTGTGGTGGTGTGTGCCTGTAATCCCAGCTACTCAGGAGGCTGAGGCAGGAGAATTGCTTGAGTCTGGGAGACAGAGGCTGCAGTGAGCCAAGATCACACCACTGCACTCCAGCCTGGGTGACAGAGCAAGACTCTGTCTCAGAAGAAAAAAAAAAAAAAAAAAAGAAATGCTTGGCAAGGTAGTTACTGAAGATCCCCTGAGATGCCCGTCAGTCTGGACTCAGAAGCCATTTACATCTGTCTAGTAAAGACAATGAAGATGTTTAATGAGTATTGCACTTCCACAAGTGACTGTCTGAAATGTGTTACCACTCCCTCAATGATTTGTGAGGCCTTTTTTGCTGAAGCTGAAGAGCCTGAGTAAACTTAGATTATGATGTCAGGCGAAGTTTACACTTACAGCCAAATCTCAAATCAAAAGTGTCTGCCTGCATGCAGGAAAAATGACTTGATATGCTTCCCAGAAACTAGTTTGTTTGTTTGCTTTCCTAGGACTTAAAAACCAAGGCTTTCCCATCTCCCAATGTGGTTGATTAATGGGCAATAACGGAGTTGAATGAGTTAGGTTGGCATAGGCTAGCAAACTGAAGCATGACATGAATTTCCAGCCTTAAGAAGGACAGTGCCAGGGATGTTTGAAGATCTCGGGAGCAGATGCAAGCCAGTTCTTTCTTTTGGGAGTAGCAGAAAGCCTTTCATAACTCAGTTTTTAGACATATGTTACCTATTTGTAACATACCAAGTGGGGACAAGAGGCTCTGGGACAACCTTTGATGGCGGTGACATCAGAACCATCAAAAATAGGGAAGGGTTAGTTCTCCAAAGAAAATAAGAGATGCTGAGTAGATAAAAGCAGCCAATGTCTCCTTGAAAGGTAAGGGAGGGAAATCTGTTTTCTGAACCCCTTGGAGGAGATAACATATTTTACTTGAAATGAGGAGGGAAACAGGGGGACACAGTCACAAAGTAGGAATTAGGGGACCTCGACTGACTACCTCTGACTCTCTGTGCTATCTTGGGAAAGTGAGGGACCTTGTGTCTGTGCTTTGATTCCTGTACCCTTATCCCCTCACTTATCCACTGAGCTTCTCAGATTCAGACAAAAGAATGGATGTGAGAGTGTTTTGCAGAGTAGTTTGAATATAGAGGATCATACCACGCAGATATTTTAAATTCCAAAGTGGCTGTGCTTGAAAGCATCACAGACAGTAGCTTACAAAGCTGAACACACCAGGAAACAGACTTCCAAGTTCACAGTGAAGAGTTTTGTTGCACTCAGGGTAGATGAAGACGACAGCTGTGTAAAATTGCCCTAGAGAGGTTTTATCAGTAACTTCTGACCAGAGACCAAATCTCTATCCATGGTTTTGGTTCTTTTCCTGTTTTTGCTTCCTTGGAGTCCAACTCCTTGCTTACCTCCGGGACCCTTCAGAAGGCAATGCTGCTGCATTGTATATTCCATATTGGATTTGATTCTTGATGAAAAGAACATGACTGGTCCTGATGAGATGGTTCCTCCTCTCTCTATTTGCCTTCTGAATGGCAACATGCATCCCAGATTATTTACTCAGCAGTTTGTTTTGCAAAAAGTCTTGCCAAACATTCTTGAATGATCTCTTCTAACAGTGTTCTGAGGTGTGTCCTTAGTATTTTCATGTTTGAAGAAATACAGCCACTGCAGGCTGAGGCTCTGCTTGCAAATATGTCAAATAAGGGGCTGTACCAGGGAACACAAGACTTCATTGCGGAGGTGTGGATGTGACCGCTTTTTCTTCCCTCAAACTTCTTGTCAGATTTTTGGCAATTGTTGTAAAAGAGTGCTTAACAGAAGTATTTTAAAGTAATATTTTAATGTACTTATTGAAAATTCAGACATGTTTGAGGGGGATGGTTGGTTGGGGAGCTGATTATTGCAAGTCAGCAAAAATGTTTCTTAAATGGCACAGTGTAGCTGGCTTAATGCAGTCTGTTGAGACACAGGGTTTGGCATGAACCACATATACCATAGTCCCATCTGTGGGGACTCAATTACTTATAGGATCTTACAATAATGGAACTTTACAGAGCCACAGTCCTAAGGTACACTGAGGACTGCATAGTCATCATTCAGAAGTGGTATCAGCATCATTTGCAGGGGTAGGACCATCAGACAGCACAAGAGGCCAGAACCTGAGACTCAGAAATGTTCTGAGCAACCAGGAAAGCAAGCTAAAGCCAGATTCTAGAGATTAGCGGGAGTGACAGGTCAAGAACTGGGTAGTTGGCAGATGAGATCAAAGATGACGTGAACACTGAGAAACCCCAGTAGGCAGCTGGGCACGGGGATAACTATGGAACAGGAGGAGTAAGACCAGGTGAGCTAGAGGTGAAAGGCCCAGCACTGTCAGCCCCTGATAAGGTCTCTCTCCACTCCGACTGTTACATATGTAATAGATGTCTGCAGTAGATGTTGGTCATTCTCTTTGGTTGCCCATTGATTGAGTCCCATTCCAGTGTCTCCAGTGTGCAGAACTCTGCCTTATGAATGTTGTGGTGGGAGTGAGTTCACCTACCATGATGGAAGCAAAGATCGGCAGGCACTCACTTTCCCACCCTCTCTTGCAGTGAGGCCATGATCATGCAACCTGGGCTTTGCCAACCTCACACACTCCTTGACTTTGAACCAGGATCTGGGAACACACAGAAGCAAGTCCTGCAGTGAATCCTCTGGTGGTGGCAGTGGCTGCAGCATGACCATCTCCCCACTGCAGCAGTGGCTGCGGGACTAATGGTTACAGGATACAATAAGATGAAGATTCCACAGTAGCGGTGATAGGAGTGCAGCCTGTGGTTTCTACTCCTGGGGGTAAGTGGATGAAGAATGAAGGAGAAAGGACTGCTAACTTGGAGTTGGGAACCAGTTCTGCTGTGGGTTTTTGGGTCCTGTTCCTGGTCTGGCTCTCTAGATTTCCTAGTAATTCTATGAGCTACCTAATACCTTTTTAAAACATCACTCTTCCCGCTTAAGTTAGCCAGATTTGATATCTGTTGCTTGCTACCCAAAATCTTGCCTAATGTATTGTTATGTTCTATGTAGCAAAAAGACAAAACAAATGAACAAGCAAGCCAACAAATAAACCAACCCCAAAACCTAGTGTCTGAAAGGCCACTATATAACAATAGCTCTTGCTTGTTGAAAATATTTGCTTTGTGCTGTGCTGAGCTATAAGGCAAAGTCTCCATAAAGCTGCCATGTTTTAGACCACCCTTTCCCTCACAGTACAACTTCTATGGAGGCCAGCTTGTCACCAGGTCCTGTTGGGTGAGGTGCTCAGAGTGGGGGGACTTCCTGAAGGTACTGGGGCCAGGTTGACTTGAGAGTGGAGTCCCGCCTTGCACTGTACCCAAGAGCGGGGGTCTGGGGTTCTCCTTGGTCTCTTCCAGAGTCATTTGCAAGTCTTGACCTTGCTTCTTGCCCTCCCTTGACTTGTAGATATAATTCTTGCAATGACCTGGACTCTGCCTGATGTTCTAATAATTTCTGCCTTTCACTTGCAAAGTTGGGACTTCCTCCCAAACTTCCCCCTTACCCCCCTGCCCTGCTCCCAGCCCCTGGCTGGTCAGCTGACTTGGTGCTGGCCTAGAATTAGGGCTGAATAGGCCGCAGCCCTGCTTGGACTTGCTCATTGCTTCTCTGTTTCGCCTCAAGATTCCTCTGCTTCTGCTGCCATGTCCCTCCCCTCAGTAGTGTCCCTGTGTTCACAAGAACGCCGCCACGTGGCAGCATACCCTGCCCACCGCAGAGCAAATTGCGACAAATGCCAAGGAGAGCTTGATTCTGAGATGCAGCATTGTCCCCGCCAGAATCTTTGTGTGCTTCCCACTGTGACAAATGCCCACCCTGTAGGCAGAAATCTGAACAGAGTCTAAATTAAGAGTGGAGCCCAACAGCTGTGGTTTTCCTCAGGCTACCTAATAGGAAATTTTGTTTCAGGCAGTAGAAAAAAGGAATAATGCAAGTAGAGAAGAAACATCAAAGACAAATCAGATATATCAGATACTCAATATCAAACAGCCAATCTACTACAGCAATGACATCCAGAACCCCCTGAGAAGCTTACTAGTTTTTAATTTTGTTATTATACAAAATAAATGAAAAGTAAAACTTCAACTAAAAGGAAGTGGTGAAAGCTTTGGTAGTTGGAAACAGAAATCTGGTTTAATCATTTATGTTTGTAATCAAAGTAATCAGCACTGATTTGCCCACTGTGATCAGCTCATGGCCTGCAATGCAATTCTTTTTATATTTACCTTTGGGTCTAACCCCTTCATCTAATTAGCGGTTACATTAGGCAGGAAATACGTGAATGTGCTTAACCAGTATTCCACTCTCTTTGCAAAGAGAGGCTCCTCTGCTAAGTTGGCAATTACACCAGCCTCATATCCTGTATTATTTGAAGTGCGTTGACTGTAGGAGTCTCTGCATGTGTTTAGTTCAGATGAATTTAGTCTAATGAGGTAAGGCCAAGAAACTCTAATTAGTTTGTGCGAAAATGTAGAAGTCTCATGCCGTTTTGTGTGGGTTTATCTCTGAGAGAAAGAGCAATTCATCTTTTTTTTTCCTGAGTTTTCTGATTACCCCACTCTTGCGGCCACATTATTTCTTACCTACTTATCAATTCAGTAAGAAAAAGTTGGATGGCTTCACTAGCAGGTGTTGTAAAACTCTCAAAATTAGGATTGCTGAAATTCAATACAGCAGCAAATTAGGCCCTGTGGTGCTAGAAAGTTTTGAATGTTCCCCTCCAAAATTGTTCCCAAATTGTCTTTGTTTTCTGGAATCCACCAAAGCCAATTTGTCCCTGACACACTCAATATGAAAGGGACCCTTGGGCTTCTATCTGATGGAACACATGAGGCCGAGAATAAATTACTTCTCAAAACTTGGCTAAGCTTTGCAGTCTAGAAGCAATCTAAGTTTTAAAGTTGTTTGGCCTCTGCAAGACACTGCACAGAGTTGGCTTCAAGAACTAGCCAAGCAAATCAAAAAGGTATTCTATTCCTAACCAAGCAGATCTTGATTCAGGGAATGTTTTAAGTCTGCTGTTGAAAAGTCCACACGACCTTCACAAAGCCTCAGGGACAAAAGAAAAAGAATTACTTGTGGATTATTTTGCATTTGTATTTTAATTGGTTCCAAATCAAGTTTGTGTCCAGCTTTATTACTCAATGCTTGTTATGTTCAATTCTCCATGATTCTTCTGGCCTAGAATTTTACTTCAATTTCAATGCTCAGAGCCAGGGAAGGTGTGATATTGAAGCTTCTTAGTTGCAGATAGAGGTCATTTCTGGTTAGTTTAAGCAGAAATGGAATTTATTAGAAGGGTATCAGAAAACTTACAGAAAGGACAGGGAGCTGGAGAAAACAGAAATCATGCAGTAGTCAAAGGAGACCAGGGGGTCAGTGGCCTTGAGGATGCCCCAGGAAGAGGCTGGCTGGGGTATCTCCACTGCTTTTGCAGAGTATGGGCCTGGGCCCAGCGCTGCTATAGCCAGGAGAAGCTAAATGCCATTTCCAGGCTTCTGCTGACACTGCCACCAGGGAAACTTCTTGGGAATTCACTGATAGCTTGCATCACTTAATCCAGAGCAAATTCCCGGGGTTGGCGGGGGGGTTGGGGGAGGGCATCTAGGTGGCTGAGGCCTCATCCCAGGCCCAAGTTACAGCTTCCAGGGTCTGAGAAAACAACTGTCCAAATTTGGGGTTTCCAAGGTGAGAAGGCATCTGACCAACCACCAAAAGTCACACAATGAGAGTCCTCAGACACAGAAAGGGGGTTCAGATGATGAACAGTCAATCAATCAATCAATCAATCATCAATGTCTCTCTGGGCAATATGGAAGGGAGAGTGGCTGTAAGGTTTAAGGTAGGTGTTCGACTCTGAAGGGGACCCAAAGGAGCCAGGCAGTCCAGAATGCTCCCTGTACATTATTTCCAAAATGGACTTGACTTTTGTGACACAACAGAAGGGGCACTAGGGAGACATGACTTTAGAATGAAGATGAGATTCTCATTGGGCTGAGGGGTGTGGAGACTAATTTGGCTGCCAAGGAGTTGACACGGGAAGCTGAGAGCACAGGGCCCAACAGCATGGCAAGAACTTGTCAGGCCTTCCAGGGAACAATGGGAGCCAGTGGTGGTGGATGTTTAAGCCTCATTCTTGCCCCTCTTGGTGGATTTTCCCTTTGACTTTATTAATTTTCAAACAGGTAGTGAGCTTGAACTTTGTTGTCCCAACAGTCTCCTGCTTGACATCTGTGTGTGTGTGTCCTCTAATTCTTTCTTAGACTCTGATTTTTTTAATTTTAATTTTTTTTTAGAGATAGGGTCTTGCTCTGTCACCCAGGCTGTAGGGCAGTGGAGTGATCACAGTCTCACTGCAACCTCGAGCTTGTGGGCTCAAGTGATCCTCCCTCCTCAGCCTTCTGAGTAGCTGGGACCCCAGGTACATACTACTATGCCTGGCTCATTTAAAAATTTTTTAAAATTTTTTCTAGAGATGGCCTATCACCATGTTTCCCAGGCTGGTCTTGAGCTCCTGGTGTCAAGTGATCCTACTGCTTCAGCCTCCCAAAGTGCTGGGATTATTGGTGTGAACCACCATGTCCTGCCCTGGATTCAGATTTTTATTCTGACCTTTATCCAGTAACTTGGAGTAACTTCTAGTGGATCCATTTGCTTGACAGTTTGGCCTATTTTTTACTTTAACCTATTTGTTGACTCCATTGGAAATGACTTTACTGTTCAGGAGGAAGGCAGCTATCGTCTAAATGTGTGTGTCCTCCCCAAATTCTTATGTTGAAACCCTAACACCAATGTGACTGTATTAGTCAGTTCTCACATTGCTATAAAGTCTCTATATTCGAGACTGGGTAATTTATAAGAAAAGAGATTTAATTGACTCATGGTTCTGCATGTTGTACAGGAAGCATAGCAGTATCTGCTTCTGGGGAAGCCTCAGGAAACTGACAATCATGGTGGAAGGCAAAGAGGAAGCAGGCATCTCTTACATGGCTAGAGCAGGAGGAAAGGGTGGGGGAGGTGTGCTGCACACTTTTAAACAACCAGATCTTGTGAGAACTCACCACGAGAATGGCACTGAGGATGGTGTTAAACCATTGATGAAGGATCCACACCCATGATCCAATCACTGCCCACCAGGCCCCATCTGGTGTAAACCTCCAACATTGAGGATTACAATTGAACATGAGATTTGGGTGAGGACACAGATGCAAACCATATCAGTGACTGTATTTGGAGACAGGGCCCATGAGGAGATGATAAAGGTTAAATTAGGTTGTAAGGGTGGGGCTGTAATCCGATAAGTCTGATCCCTTATAGGAAAAAGAGATGCCAGAGCTCACCCAGTCCATCCATGCTCAGAGGAAGGGCCAGGAGAGGACAGGGCCACCAGCAGGCCAGGGAGACAGCCTTCGCCAGAAACTGAACCCTGTCTAAATCTTGATGTTGGACTTTTTAGCCTCCTTTTGGAGAAAATTTCTGTAGTATTTTGTTAGGGCAGCCCAAGATGACTCATACAGCACAGAAGCCATCCTTACCCAACATATTATTATTATTGAGACGGAGTCTCGTTCTGTCACCCAGGCTGGAGTGCAGTGGCGTGATCTTGGCTCACTGCAGCCTCTGCCTCTCAGATCCAAGTGATTATCCTGTCTCAGCCTCCCAAGTAGCTGGGATTACAGGTGTGCACCACCGTGCCTGGCTGATTTTTGTGTTTTTAGTAGAGATAGGGTTTCACCCTGTTGGCCAGGCTGGTTTCTAACTCCTGACCTCAGGTGATCTGCCCGCCCTGGCCTCCCAAAGTGCTGGGATTACAGGCATGAGCCACAGCACCCGGCCCCAACATTTATTTTTTGGAAGCATTTTCCATCTGCTGGTCCATTGGTTTCCTTGTGGTCACTTGACTTGTTGAGAAATTATTCCACTGTTGTCTTTCATGACATTCTAGTGTTTGTTTACCAATGACAAATGTTTTTCTGACTCTGTGAGCCTTTATTCATTATAAACCTTCAGTGGTGTAATTGGATGTGATAAAATCACTGGGAAACTCATTCCAGAGGAACATCTTCTTAAATGAAACTGTAATTAAGTAATGACAGCAAAATCTCAGGGGAAGATCACTGAAGCGTGTTTGCCCTTAAAGGCACAGGTAACGTATGTGCTATATAAAATGTTATGATCCATTAAAAAAAAAAAAGCAAAACCAGAATCTGAACACTACAATGGCTTTTTTTTCTTTTAATGTAGAAACTTGGGGAGCTAACATTTGTGTTATACCCAGGATGCAAAATATCTTGAAACTTTCATTCTGGAATTTTTTTTTTGGTAATGAAGCCTATTTTTTGGAGCATTCATATACGCTTGTCTTTGATGATAGCTATTAAAAATGGAAAACATTCAAAAGTCACTTGGAACCCACTGAGGTGTGTAAATGTTCTATGGTGGCAAAAAGCAAGATTGAGAAGAAAGTGATTAAATAGATTGTTTTATGGTTGTGGGTCATTTAAAGTGGCTTCAAAAAGATTCAGAATGGTCCCCAAACACTTGTATAATGGCAGCATCATTGAAATAGGTTATCCTCTCCATGGTGCCTATTTTGAAGGACACCATGTATTTGCGTTGTCATTTTACTGTCACTCCTTCTGAGATGTCTTGGCCATTTTAGGGTTTCTGTCCTTTAATATACTTGTTTTCCAGAGTTATTAACAGCAGTTGAGAAGGATTTTAAAATGCATGCCCGTCAGGATGGCTGTTAATACTACTGGTTGCCCAAAAAAGATACCATGATTGAGAGATACCATAATTGAGATAGCTTTTTTTTTTTTTTTTTGAGACGGAGGCTCGCTCTGTTGCCCAGGCTGGAGTGCAGTGGTGCAATCTCAGCTCACTGCAAGCTCCGTCTCCTGGGTTCATACCATTCTCCTGCCTCAGCCTCTCGAGTAGCTGGGACTACAGGCTCCCGCCACCATGCCCTGCTAATTTTTGTTTTCTTTTTTTTTTTTTTTTTTTTTTTTTAGTAGAGATGGGGTTCCACCTTGTTAGCCAGGATGGTCTCGATCTCCTGACCTTGTGATCCATGTGCCTCAGCCTCCCAAAGTGCTGGGATTACAGGTATGAGCCACCGTGCCCGGCCAAGATTTGAGAACTTTTCTCAACAAAATTTGTGAACTTTTCTCTCTCCCATGACCTCTCAGTCTCTAGGAACTAACTGTTAATACTGGAACTAAAGTATTTCGTGCCATAGACGTGAAGTATAAAGAAAGGCTGAGTGGATCCAAGCCCAGAGATAGCTCATTTCTCATAAAATCCAAAGAGTCCTGGAGCCAAATGATCTGACATTTTAAGGTTAAGTAACCCCTTTTTTCCCCCACGGAAACCAGGCATTGAAATAAAATGAGTTTTGAGAGGCACTATTTGGCTAATCAAAACAAAAGTTGCCAGATTTGGGACTCTTGAAATCGATGTCTTTCTTTTTCCAGTTTGCACAAATATTTATCATCTGTTTTTCATTTTTGAGTCATAGAAATGAGCACTTTTGAAAGAATGAATGTATTTATTATGGGTTTTTATGTGTTTCAAAATCTTTGCATCAGAACAGTCTTTGAAACAATGGGTTGCTGTAGAAAGATTTTGCACATTTATAAAACAAAGAATTAAACTGGAAATAGCATTATTTCTGATATTCTAATATAGTAACTGAAATTACATATTTTCCATGAATATATTCAGTGTTGCAAAAATTTCGGATTTAGTTTCATAGCCTGAAATAATTTTACCTTGCCAGTACTAACAAGGATATAAGAAAATGTGTCCAAATATAGATTTTTTTAAAAATTTTTTTAGTATTTATTGATCATTCTTGGGTGTTTCTCGGAGAGGGGGATTTAGCAGGGTCATAGGACAATAGTGGAGGGAAGGTCAGCAGATAAACATGTGAACAAAGGTCTCTGGTTTTCCTAGGCAGAGGGTCCTGCCGCCTTCCGCAGTGTTTGTGTCCCTGGGTACTTGAGATTAGGGAGTGGTGATGACTCTTAACGAGTATGCTGCCTTCAAGCATCTGTTTAACAAAGCACATCTTGCACCGCCCTTAATCCATTTAACCCTTAGTGGACACAGCACATGTTTCAGAGAGCACGGGGTTGGGGGTAAGGTTATAGATTAACAGCATCCCAAGGCAGAAGAATTTTTCTTAGTACATAACAAAATGGAGTCTCCTATGTCTACTTCTTTCTACACAGACACATTAACAATCTGATCTCTCTTTCTTTTCCCCACATTTCCCCCTTTTCTATTCGACAAAACCGCCATCGTCATCATGGCCCGTTCTCAATGAGCTGTTGGGTACTCCTCCCAGACGGGGTGGCGGCCGGGCAGAGGGGCTCCTCACTTCCCAGACGGGGCGGCCGGGCAGAGGCGCCCCCCACCTCCCAGACGGGGTGGCGGCCGGGCAGAGGGGCTCCTCACTTCCCAGATGGGGCAGCCGGGCAGAGGCACCCCCCTACCTCCCAGATGGGGTGGCGGCCGGGCTGGCCCTGCCCCCCACCTCCCGCACGGGGCGGCTGCCCGGCGGAGACACTCCTTACTTCCCAAACGGGGCGGCTGCCGGGCGGAGGGGCTCCTCACTTCTCAGACGGGGTGGCGGCCGGGCAGAGGCGCTCTTCACATCTCAGACGAGGCGGCAGGGCAGAGGCGCTCCCCACATCCCAGACGATGGGCGGCCGGGCAGAGACGCTCCTCACTTCCTAGATGGGATGACGGCCGGGAAGAGGCGCTCCTCACTTCCCAGACTGGGCGGCCGGGCAGAGGGGCTCCTCACATCCCAGACGATGGGCGGCCAGGCAGAGACACTCCTCACTTCCTAGACGGGGTGGTGGCCGGGCAGAGGCTGCAATCTCGGCACTTTGGGAGGCCAAGGCAGGCGGCTGGGAGGTGGAGGTGGTAGCGAGCCGAGATCATGCCACTGCACTCCAGCCTGGTCAACATCAAGCACTGAGTGAGCGACACTCCGTCTGCAATCCTGGCACCTCGGGAGGCCGAGGCTGGCAGATCACTTGCGGTCAGGAGCTGGAGACCAGCCCAGCCAACATGGTGAAACTCTGTCTCCACCAAAAAATACGAAAACCAGTCAGGCGTGGTGGCACGCACCTGCAATCCCAGGCACTTGGCAGGCTGAGGCAGGAGAATCAGGTAGGGAGGTTGCAGTGAGCCGAGATGGCGGCAGTAGAGTCCAGCCTCGGCTGGGCATCAGAGGGAGACCGTGCAAAGAGGGGGAGGGAGAGGCCAAAGATAGATTTTTAAAAATACAAATTAGCTTCCATGCTAGGTTAAAAAAATCATAATACTAAAATAGAAAACAATGCTGGGAAGCCAAATTATAATTTATTTATGTGTTTATTTAATTTTTGAGATGGAGTCTCGCTCTGTGCACAGGCTGGAGTGCAATGGTGCAATCTCAGCTCACTACAACTTCCATCTCCCAGGTTCAAGCAATTCTTCTGCCTCAGCCTCCTGAGTAGCTGGGATTACAGGCATCCACCACCACGCCTGGGTAATTTTTGTATTTTTAGTAGAGATGGCGTTTCACCATGTTGGCCAGGCTGGTCTTGAACTCCGGACCTCAGATGATCCGCCTGCCTCGGCCTCCCAAAGTGCTGGGATTACAGGTATGAGCCACCGTGCCTGGCCCTAATTGTAAATATTAAAGGGTATGTTGGCCATTATCTTCTGTGGTTCTTGCCTCCCAGTGTTTACAATATGACCGTTCCAATCAGCCACCTTGAGTCGAGCCTCACCTCATTTTGTATTCATGTGAAATTTGTCTTGGTTAGGGTTGGAGTGTGCAAACTAGATATCCTGGATTCTGTTTTGTCTGGTGTCCTGTTACATGGTAACATGTTACCAAGTAGAGCTCCAGTGGGAGACGGGAAAGCAGGAGGAGGGGAGACGTCCTGTTTCTAGCTTCCTTTAGCATCCTGCCAGCAGCACATGCCAGGCTCCCAGCTTCTTTCAGTACTTCTGGAACCTGCTGTGTGGTGCCCACCCTTCAAAAGTCTTTCCTTCCAGCAGCTGTGCAATGCACCACCCCTCAGAAATCTAAGCACTGGCGAATCTAACCAGAAATCTAACCACCTACCCTTCGAGCTCCTAAGTTG
Organism: Homo sapiens; assembly: GCF_000001405.40. Taxonomy (NCBI): domain Eukaryota; kingdom Metazoa; phylum Chordata; class Mammalia; order Primates; family Hominidae; genus Homo; species Homo sapiens. The sequence goes on along the minus strand of NC_000008.11, from coordinate 25,101,569 downwards.
TGGTAATTCTCTTCACTTTGTTCCTCCAACCTGGAGTGGGAACTGCTTCCTGCAGTTATTAATATCTGAGTTGCCTCAACCTTCCAACACCATATAACCAATTCCCTGTATTAAATGCCCTCTATTTGTAAAGCCTAATGTGGCTTCTAATTTCCCAACTTGACTCAGACTAATATAGTACTATTATGTCCAGGTGATAAGGTTTGGCTGTGTTCCCATCCAAATCTCAACTTGAATTGTATCTCCCAGAATTCACACGTGTTGTAGAACGGTCCTGGGGGAGGTAATCAAATCATGGGGGCTGGTCTTTCCCATGCTATTCTCATGATAGTGAATAAGTCTCACGAGATCTGATGGGCTTATCAGGGCCTTCCGATTTTGCTTCTTCCTCATTTTTCTCTTGCTGCCGCCATGTAAGAAGTGCCTTTTGCCTCCTGCCATGATTCTGAGGCCTCCCCAGCCATGTGGAAATGTATGTCCAATTAAAAACCTCTTTTTCTTCCCAGTCTCAGGTATGTCTTTATCAGCAGCATGAAAATGAACTAATATACCAGGGATTGGTCTTATTAAAATTAGCACAGTTATGACTTCAGTACACATTTTAAAATGATAATGGAGAGATGATTTTCTTGCACTAATTGATGTTAGGACGGTATGTATGATAAATAAGTATTTTGTTTTCATCCCTGGTTCCTGGCACACAGATCCCAAATCCCTTGGAATATCCTGGGTGATAGGACCATCTTTTGATATAACGAGGCTACTCTTAGATCAAAAGAGTAGACTCCTAGATAGCTTCAGGGTAGGGGCTAGTTGCCAGAAGGAACAAGGTATGATAAGAGGGTTGGAACTTTCAGCTGAAACTCCAGACCTCTAGGGAGAAAAGAGGGTCTGGAAATTGAGCTAATCACCAGTGGCCAATGATTTAATAAATCATGCGTATGTAATGGTACCTCCAAAAAAACCCGTAAATGATGAAGTTTGAAAAGCTTCCAGGTTGGTGAATGCATTGACGTGCTGATAGGGTGGTGCACTCCAACTCCATGGGGACAGAAGCTTCTGTGCTCAGATGGGATGGAGATGGAGATGGAGCCCAAGAATGGGCAGGGAAAACACCATTCATTTCAAGAGCACGGGTGGGAGATGTGGGAAGGGAAGGATCAGGTCTGAGGTGAGTGGGATGAACTATGGCCTCAGTGAGAAGTATTATACGCTTACATGGTAAGGATAACCTGGCTTTGATTTTTAAGTCAAAAAAAAAAAAGTCTGAAAGCTAGAAAGAAAAGAATTAAAATCATGTCTATCTGGGATATGGAGGTGGCAAAGATGGAGCAAGCAAGCAGGTTCTCATCAACATCCTGGGGCAGGCATAGGATCCCTCATAGATGCCAGTGTCCTGGTGGGTGCCTGCATGCATGTGTGGGTGTTCATCTATATGCACATGGTTGTGTGTGTGCACTTGCTCATGTGTATATGTGTGTCTCTGTGCATGTGTGTGCATTTGCTCCCGTGTGTGCATGTATGTGTATGTAGGGAGTTAAAGCAGCGGAAAATATAAGGATGGGGAAATTCCAGGTATTTTCCTTAAATAATAGAACCAGTAGATTTTTGCCCTTACAGAGATAATTGAGGGACAGTATGAAGGACGGTTATCCAGTGATGCTCTGTGAATTGTGGCACTAGAGCCCTCAGACATATATCAGAATAACATGTCCACTCTTTTTTTTTTTTTTTTTTTTTGGAGACGAAGTCTCACTCTTGTCCCCTGGGCTGAAGTCCGAAGTCCAAGTCCAGTGGGAAATCTCGGCTCATTGCAACCTTTGCCTCTCAGGTTCAAGAGATTCTCCTGCCTCAGCCTCCGGAGTAGCTGGGATTACAGGTGCCTGCCACCATGCCCGGCTAATTTTTGTACTTCTGGTAGAGACGTGGTTTCACCATGTTGGCCAGGCTGGCCTCAAACTCCAGACGTCAGGTGATCTGCCCGCCCTGGCCTCCCAAAGTGCTGGGATTACAGGAATGAGCCACTGCGACCAGCCAATATGTCCACTCTTATAGATACAGCAATAGCAACTACAGTTATAAACATTGATTATTAGAACAAAGTAATAAGGACAGGTCTGATATAATTTGTTGGCAATATTTTCCTTATCTTAGTAACTGTAATAACTAGTTAGATGGAGCCTCCATGCTGTTTTAATAACCTGGTGCCATTCATTTACAAAGATCACTTAATCTTTGTAATCTATTTTCTCTCTCTTCATATCATCCTAAATTAGCTGCTGTCAGAATCGTCTTTCTAAACAGAGCTCTGATCATATTACTTGTCTCCTCAGAAAAGGTCTGTGATGAACACTCAATTCCCTGTTAATGAATAAAATCCAAAGTTCATGTTGTGGCATTTGAGGACACTGTGAACTAGCTCCAGTCTACCTCTCCAAATCCTGCCATTAGTTCTGCTTATGGTCTGGTGTTCAGAGATGATGTGAAAAATATGTAACAGCCAGTAAAATGCAGATGCTAACAATCAAAACTAACATGACCACAGTGCTGGAGCAGGGTCCTGCAGGAGTCGGCTCTGTTGGGGGCATCTCCTTGGACAGTGGGAGAAGCTCAGGATGTCCCAGTGGCAGCTGGGATGGCCATGTGGGCATTCAGGAGCTGGGACTGGTGACTTTTGATGTCAAGTAGTTCAGAAGCATCTCATTCTCTGAGCAACTTTTATAGCCTTCCCGTATGTAACAGCTGAGTATCAGCCCAGCCTATCTATACTCTGCTGTCCCCCTTTTGTTCTCTGCTCCCTGCATGGACTTTTACTTTTCTACTTTCCTACCTTTGTACATAGTTTATACCCCCACCCCAAATAAAATTTATCTCTGCACTTCTAAATCCTACAAATCTTTCAAGTTCCAATTCAGAAGTCACCTTTCCTGTGAGGCTTTTCGTAATCCCTTTTGCCAAAAGCAGTGTTTCTTTCCTTTGAGCTGCCTCAGCCCTTTATCTGCTTTCTTATGCAATCACCACCAACAGAGACTGGTGAGATGCTCCCCTAGCCCTTTTCTTGTTCTTCCTGGACAAAGGGCTGAACCACATTTCCCAGCCTCCATGGAGGGGCAGCCACGTGACTGGGTCCTAGACAATAGAATGTGGGCAGATGTGATGTATGTGAGTCCTCAGTCTGTCTCGTAAAACATCTTCTGTGCAATCTTCCACTCTGTTCCCCAGAATGCCAGCTGGATGCTGAGGGTCCAGTGATGCACCAAGACGCTTTAGGAAATGGTGGAGACATGAGATGACAGAACCTGGGTCTCTATACCATCATATAGAGTTGGCTGCTCAACTGTTTGAACTGTTGAAAGAGTGGGAAATACATTACTATCCTGTACCATGTACCACCCTATTACCTTCAAATTTATGTTATTGTTCATAAGCTCTTTTGTTTCCTTGATTGTAGATTTCTTCAAATTCAACTTTTCTTTTTTATTTATTTATTTTTTGAGATGCAGTTTCATGCTGTTGCCCAGGCTGGAATGCAATGGCACAGTCTCGGCTCACTGCAACCTCTGCTTCCTGGGTTCAAGTGATTCTCCTGCCTCAGCCTCCCAAGTAGCTGGGATTACAGGCACCCGCCACCAGGCCCAACTAATTTTTTTTTGTATTTTCAGTAGAGACGGGGTTTCACCATGTTGGTCAGGCTGGTCTCAAACTCCTGATCTCAGGTGATCCACCCACCTCGGCCTCCTGAAGTGCTGGGGTTACAGGCATGAGCCACCGTGCCTGGGCCAAACTGAACTTTTCTTAAGTGAAATATTTCAAGTATATATGAGAAGTATGAAGAATAATATAGCAAACATAATGTACTTGTCAGCCATACTGAGCAAATGTTATAATTTGCTGATACTTGCTTTAGACTCGTTTTCAGTAATAAAGCTTCACAGATAGAATTGGAATCCTCATTCTTCCATTTTGCAAAGCTCATTACTTCACAAGTATTCAAGAAATGCTTTGTGAATGGACACGTGAAGTCTGATACCAGTGAACTGTTTTCTCACTGGTGGTAGTTGATTTAAATTTGATTTCCTTTATGATCAAATCCATGCATTTCTGCGATCATTTGCTAACATCTGTATAATAGTTTGACTCCATGAAATGCAATGAGGCTAATTCAGATTTGAATAGAAACTAAATCTGTTGCCTCTACTTGTATCCAAACCACCTGTGTTACCTGGCTACAGCCTGATTTTATGATGGGATGGCATTAGTATTCTTTTTTTCTAAAAATTTTATTTAAGTTCCAGGACCCAAGTGCAGGATGTGCAGATTTGTTACATAGGTAAACCTGTGCCATGGTGGTTTGTGCACCTATCAACCCATCACCTAGGCATTAAGCCCCGTGTGCATTAGCTATTTATCCTGATGCTCCCCCTTCCTCTGCCCCCCTGAAAACCCCCAGTGCGTGTTGTTCCCCACCCCCGGGGTCCATGTGTTCTCATTGTTCAGTAACCACTTATAAGTGAGAACATGCGGTGTTTGGTTTTCTGTTCCTGTGTTAGTTTGCTGAGGATAATGACTTCCAGCTCCATCCGTGTCCCTGCAAAGAACATGATCTCACTCCTTTTTATGGCTGCATAGTATTCCATGGTATATATGTACTCACATTTTCTTTATCTGGTCTATCATTGACAGGTATTTGGGTTTATTCCATGTCTTTGCTATTGTGAATAGTGCTCCAATGAACATAACATGTATGTATCTTTATATTAGACTGATTTATATTCCTTTGGGTATACCCACAGTGGAATTAGTATTCTTTAAAATGCATAAGCACTAAACTTTCTCTGGAAACAAAATGCATTTCATCATGTACTAATATGGCTCTGATAAGTTTATTTGAATGTAAGTCTTTATAAACTCTGAGATTATATTTATTTTGATTTATTTTATATTTCAGTTATTTTAATAGATATTATATAAAACAGAATACTATTATAGTAATAGATAATTTGCTGCTGCCTATTATTAAGTGTTCTATTTCTATTTTATTTCTATATATCTTTCTATATTTCTATTTCTTCATTTGTCTTTAGACACACCAATACAATATCTCTAAAGCAAAGCCCTTGTTGAGGCACAAATATGTGATAAATAAGCTTCACTTTTACTGTAGTCTTTGGACAGAAGGATGTGCCGCCTGAATAAATTTTTGCAACTTGAAGCATATTAGAATCACCTGGGGAGCTTTAAGAATTTCAATTCCCAGGCGTGACACAGGGGCTCATGCTTATAATCCCAGTCCTTGGGAGGCTGAGGTGGGAGGATTGCTTGAAATCAGGAGTTCGAGACCAGGTTGAGCAACATCGCTAGATCCCATCTCTACAAAAAATACAAAAATTAGCTGGGTGTGGTGGTACGCATGTGTAGTCCCAGCTACTCGGGAGGCTTAGATGGGAGGATCCCTTGAGTCCGGTTCAAGGTTGCAGTGAGCTATGATTGCACCACTGCACTCCAGACTGGGCAACAGAGCAAGAGCGTGACTCTAAAAATAAATAAATAAAAAAATAAAAATATAAAAAATTCAGGTTCCCATACTGTACCCCATGCTGATTGAATCAGCATCTCTGGGGAAGGACTAGGGCATCAGTATATTTAAAAACTTTACAGGTAGTATCAAAGTGAAAGTTTAAGAAAGAGTAATTGAGAGTTTTTAGTTTTCAGCTATTCTTTGCATTATTTCCAAAAGGTTCATGGATTATGAGAATCAAGCTGCTTTCTTTATATCAGACAATTCTTGCACCGATAAATTTAAAATGAGCTAAAACATTATCCTGTTTTGACCAGACCTTCACCATGGCAACACATTTTATCATTTGTGTGTAAATGAAATTTTATAATCCTTGGCCCACACTCTGGTAAATTGCTTAGTAACCTTCTCACTGAATAATAAGATTGCAAATAAAATCTTTATTGTTACTATTATAAGCAATTACACATTCTAACACTGGCTATTTTCTTTCCAGTTGGTGTTAAGAAATTAAAGTCATTTAAAATCTAATAATAGGACTATTTGCTATTCATTTAATTTCCTTCTAGAAGAAAAAGTTCTCATTAATAGTTTAGTACCTGGAGATCATCTTGCCCATCTTATTTAAGTGACACTTTAGTGAATGTAAAAAAAAATTATTCTTCTAAGTACAGAGATAGAAATGGCTAAATCGGGAAAAGCGCAACCTTCTCTTTCCCATGTAAACAATTTCTTAAAGCAAATACCCCAGAAGAGTAAAAATCTACTTAAAAAGGCCTGAGTGGCCGGGAGCAGTGGCTCACGCCTGTAATCCCAGCACTTTGGGAGGCCGAGGCGGGCGGATCACGAGGTCAGGAGATGGAGACCATCCTGGCTAACACCGTGAAATCCCGTCTCTACTAAACATGCAAAAAATTAGCCGGGCATGGTGGTGGGCGCCTGAAGTCCCAGCTACTCGGGAGGCTGAGGCAGGACAATGGTGTGAACCCGGGAGGTGGAGCTTGCAGTGAGCCGAGATCGCTCCACGGCACTCCTGCCTAGTCGACAGAGTGAGACTCCGTCTCAAAAAAAAAAAAAAAAAAAAAAAAAAAAAAAAAAAAAAAGGCCTGAGTTTGGGAGATGATTTCTAAGACTGAGCAGGATGGATAGAAGTCAGATTGTTGCCTCTCCTGCCAAAAGACAATGCTACAGTGAAGCGTATGCTATTTCTGATTCTAAGTAGTTGGGATGGGTTTTTGCCAGTCCAGACATATCCCCATCAGGGCATCATGTTGCACGATTCCAAGGAATGCTGTCCACCTTGAGGTCTTCTAGTGAATGCCTGCTGTGTACTGCACAATGAAAGTGAGCTTGCACACAGGCCCCTGATCTGTCCTCCCTGAGCAGTCTCAAACATCTGTAAAGCAAATTCAGAAGTTCATTCAACGTGACTGGCTCACTTAGTCTCTTTGCCATTTGGAAGCTCATTGTGATTGGGTAAATTCTGATTGTTATAGAGAAACGTTATGGCTTTAGTTAGAATTAAGAAGGAAAGCTAGGCCGGGCGTAGTGGCTCACGCCTGTAATTCCAGCACTTTGGGAGGCCGAGGCCTCCCGAGGTTAGGAGATCGAGACCATCCTGGCTAACATGGTGAAACCCCGTCTCTACTAAAAATACAAAAAATTAGCCAGGCGTGGTGGTGGGTGCCTGTGGTCCCAGCTACTCAGGAGGCTAAGGCAGGAGAATGGCGTGAACCCGGGAGGCGGAGCTTGCAGTGAGACGAGATCGCGCCACTGCACTCCAGCCTGGGAGACAGCGAGACTCCGTCACAAAAAAAAAAAAAAAAAAAAAAAAAAAGAGAGGTAGGAATTTGAAATAAATTTTTCAACTTTCTTTCTTTTGCACAGCCTGTTTTGCCCTAAACAGTTGCTTTAGGTCCCTGTATTATATTCTAGAAGATAGCAAAAAGCAAGCCATGTTCTGGTCCTTCCCCCCTACTCTCATTTCTACCCCTTGTCACTCTGTCTCCTTCTGACTCTACTTGCCCTGACTACCTAGAGATGCCCTCGCTGTCATGTTGCTGGCGTCAGGTGCTTGCATTCATATTGGGCTCTCTGCTTTTCTGCATTAGGAAAATTGTGTATGGAAGGGGTGATTAAACCATGCCAATTCTCTCTGCATCTCCTCGTGAAAGAGTAATTTCAGTGGCCAATTAGTGAAAGCAATACTAAGAATTCCCTTCAAAATGTCTGATGTATCTTACCAAGAATCTCTCAACCATTTTACAGATAGGAAAACTAAGATATGGAAACATTTTAATAACAGAAATAAGACACCAGAATAGAGTTGCTGGGTTCCTTTACTAATGGTTATTGCAATTTGTCAATTTCCTCCCCAGAGTGGAACTTATGAAAGGGCCAGGATTTAGTTGTGATAATCTCTGTATACATGGTGCCCAGATTTTTTTTAAGTGAAAGCAAGTTTATTAGCAAAGTAAAGAAACAAAAGAATGGCTACTACCTAGACCAGCAGTCCCCAACCTTTTTGGCACCAATGACTAGTTTTGTGGAAGACAGCTTTTCTATGGACAGTGTAGGGGGACGATGGTCTCAGGATGATTCAAGCACTTTGTTTCAATTATTATTACATACTCATCATAATGTAGAACCTGTGGGAGCCCTGAGCTTGTTTTCCTGCAACTAGACAGTCCCATCTGGGGGTGATGGGAGACAGTGACAGATCATCAGGCATTAGATTCTCATAAAGAATGCACAACCTAGAGCCCTTGCATTTGCAGTTCACAGTAGGGTTTGAGCTCCTATGAGAATCTAATGCTGCCACTGGTCTGACAGGAGGCAAAACTCAGCTTCTTTCATAGAGAGTGTATTAGTAAGTGCTAAGGAAGAAAAATCTAGTAGGTAAAGGAAGGAGAGTGGCAGGAGAGCTTGCAATTTTGGATAAGATAGCCAGTGAATGTCTCACTGAGAAGATTATGGTTTAGTAAGTTCTACAAGACATAAAGGAGAAGCCACGTGGACCTCTTGATCAAGTGCAAGCGAGGGAAGACAGGAGTGCACCCAGCATTGACTGACACTACAACCAGTAGCTGTCATGGACTAATCCAGAGAGAAATCAGTAAGAGGGGGCTGGGCGCTGTGGATCATGCTTGTAATCCCAGCACTTCGGGAGGCCAAGATGGGTGGATCACCTGAGCTCAGGAGTTTGAGATTAACCTGGCCAACGTGGCGAAACCCCATATCTACTAAAAATACAAACATTAGCCAGGCATGGTGGCAGGTGCCTGTAATCCCAGTTACTTGGGAGGCTAAGGCAGGAGAATTGCTTGATCTGCAATCCGCGAGGCGGAGGTTGCAGTGAGCCTAGATCGCGCTATTGCACTCCAGCCTGGGCGACAAGAATGAAACTCTGTCTCAAAAAAAAAAAAAAAAAAAAATCAATCAGAGATAAGGTCAGGGATGTGGTGGGGGCAATGGGGAGGGGGGCTTTTATTTGTTATTTTAGAGATTTTGATTGCTACTCTGAGTGACTCCATATCAGTTCAAAGGGAGTCATTCTTTTGTTTTTATACAGATTTCTCTGTTGTATGATTGTACCATGGTTTAGTAAACCTGTCTCCTGTTTGGGAATTTGGTGGTTTCTAATTATAAATTAGAAACCTAGTAAATTACAAATACTGTAAGATGAGTAGTGTATAAGTTGTTTAGAATTTCTGGAGGTGTATTTTCAGGGTGAATTTCTAAAAGCTGGATTGCTGAGTCAAACGGTAAGTGCATAGGTAGTTTTTTATCTATTCCCAAATTCCCTTCTGTATTACGTGTATAACATTGTGCAGTTTTACCAGCAAGGCTTGAGAGTGCCCATTTCCCTATTTTCTCACCAACAAAGTGTGTCATCAAGCTTTTAAAATTTTATCAGTCTGACATATGTGAAATTGTAGCTTTGTGAGGTTTTAATTTTCATTATTAGTACAAATGAAGTTGAGCCTCTATTCACATGCCCGAGGACCATTTGTGAGTCTTTTTCTGTGATATGTTGGTTCTTGTCTTCTATTCATCTTTCTCTCAAGTTTTTTTATTATTCCTTTTATTTTTTAAAGATCTCTTTATATAGATTGCAAATATATATATATATTTTTTTGAAATGGAGTTTCACTCTTGTCACCCAGGCTGGAGTGCAGTGGTATGATCTCGGCTCACTGCAACCTCTGCCTCCCTGGTTCAAGTGGTTCTCCTGCCTCAGCCTCCCGAGTAACTGGAATTACAGGCACCCACTACCACGCCTGGAAAATTTTTTGTATTTTTAGTAGAGATGGGGTTTCACTATGTTGGCCAGGCTGGTCTCGAACCTCTGACCTCATGATCCACCCACCTTGGCCTCCCAAAGTGCTGGAATTACAGGCATGAGCCACTGCACCTGGCCAGTTGCAAATATTTTATCCTAGCTTGCCATTCTTTGTTGTTGTTGTTATGGGATTCTGCCATGTTAAAAATTGGACTTTGTTATTACATGGTCAAATTTATTAATTTTCTCTTAATTGCTTCCAGATTTTGAGTCATAGATACAACAGCTTTCCTTATATCCTACACCCAGGAACGTAATCATATTTTTCATGGTTCTTGCACCTTTTTCTTTCACTGTACTTTTTAATGACATGAATTATAGTCTCATTTAGCCTTTTATTAAAATGGCTCTCCTGTTGTTCCAACATCATTTAGTAAAAAGTCTGTCTTTTCAATGATTTGAAATGCTATCAGCATCATACTAAATGTTTACATGTAGTTGGGACTATTCCTGCATTTCTATTCTATTCTGTTGGATTGTTGTTTTCCGTGCCATTGCAGTTTCAATTACAGAAGTTTTACACTGTGTTCCACTGTCTTGTAGGGCCAATTCTCCTCTTTCCTCTTCTTTTTCAACTGGTTCCTGGTTTCCTTCTCTCTCTCTCTCTCTCTCTCTCTCTCTGTGTGTGTGTGTGTGTGTGTGTGTGTGTGTGTGTGTGTGTGTGTTTCCTACAGACTCTAAATAAAACTTGTCCATCTCTAGAAAAAGAAATTATTATTTTTATTGGGATCACTTTAAACTTACATATTAACTAGTGAAGAGCTGACATCTTTCAGATGTTGCTATCCTATCAGAGAACAAGGAATGCCCTTTTCTTTGTCTGAGTCAACTTTTATGTCTTTCAGGCGGGCTTTGAAAGTTTCCCTTGTACAGCTTTTGCAAATGTTTTTGTTCAGTTTATTCCTAAGAAATGTATTTTTATTTTATTGGTACCAAAAATGATGTTTTCTTTTCCTTCACACCTTCTAACTGGTCATTGATTGTACATATGAAAGCTACTGATTTTACAGTGTTTAGTCCATAGCCTGCTGTCTTATTGAGTTCTCTTGTTCACACTAGCTTTGCCACTGATTTTCTTGGCTTTCCCAGATGGACTATCATATCAACTGCCTTCCCCTCTTTGCACGCACTCCCAACCTGTCTCTTCATTCTGACATGAGCTCTACAGCTGTCTTACTGGTGTTGGATATTAATTTTCCTGCATACATGAGATTTTCAATGTTCTTTGTCTCCTAGTTTTGCTGCAGACTTTGGTGATAGGTGGTTTTATCTCTTTCATACTAATTCATCTGCATGGTTTTTGAATAGGGTATGAAGGAATTTAGATTTCACTTGTCCCCATTGTTCTATAGGTACCTTGAAATCCTGATTGTTGTGAACTATTTTCAATATTCAGAAAATTAAAGAGAATAATATAATGAATAACAATATACTTGATACCAAGCCCCATCTTTTTTCCCTTAATTTATTTTTTGCTATGTTTACCAGATTGCTTTTCTTTTAATAGAAAAATATTTCACAGATACACTTAAAGCTTCCTCTGTGGCCCTCAACAGTCACATGCCCCTCCTGACCTCAATATTTATAATGGTCACATATGCTTTCCTACTTTAACTAAATATTACATTTTTCTAAACAATGCATTATTGCTTTAAATGTTTGTAAGATTTTTTAGGAATAGTATTTTGCTGTACCTATCCTCTTGCAACATGCTTTTCTTGTGGTTTATTTATTTCAACTTCTAAAGCATATTCTGTTTGTCTCCAACTGAATTTACTTATTCATTCTTCCTTTCATGGACATTAGGTTATCTTAGATGTTTGTTTTATTATTTATTTATTTTAGAGAGAGGGTCTTGCTCTGTCATCCAGGCTGCAGTGCAGTGGCGCGATTATGGCTCACTGCAGACTTGACCTCCCAAACTCACGCTATCCTCTTGCCTCAGCCTCCTGAGTAGCTGGGACTACAGGTGTGTGCTACCACACCTGGCTAATTTTTGGGTTTTTTGTAGAGACAGAGTCTCACCATGTTGCCCAGGCTGGTCTCAAACTCCTGGGTTCGGGCAATCGGCCGGCCTCGGCCTCCCAAAGTGCTAGGATTACAGATGTGAGCCACCATGCCCAGCCTGTTTTATTTTTGATTAGAAATGCTGCAGTGAGGATTCTCAGACATGTCTCCTTGTTGCCTGGATGAGAGTTCCTAGAAGATATATGTCTGGGGTTAGAAATACTGGGTCATGTTGCTGAATTGTTCCTCGTTTCATTGCCAAAACCAGTGTTTGGGAGTTGATATGTAGTTACACAGGCACCAACACTTGGCACACCAGATCTTTACATTTTTTAGGACTCTGATAGGTTTTGAAATGTTCTTTTTTCTGAGGCTTCATCATTACAACACAGTGATTTGCAAATAATGAGTCCATTCTGTAATGAGAACGGCATTACTTATGAACAGCTTTATACATAATAAATGCTAAAGGATTTATCAACTTTCAATCTCTAATAAACCTTAATTAGTGTGTAAACAATAATGATAATTAGCATTTATTGAATATCTGCTAAAAACTTTATATAAGCAATCTTTGGTTTTATACATGTCCAATGAAGCAGGAATAAGTAAATTTATTTATTAGATGAGGAAACAGAGTTTTCAAGGATAATTCCAAGTCACAGAGCTTCTAGGTGAAGGCAAGGTTTGAAATCGATCTTGGCGTGGTACAGTCTGGTTGTTCTGTGGGTCTCCCACTGTCCCGTCCTGTATGTCCTAGGCAGAAGCTGTGCCCCTTGTTCTGTGACTCCACTACCCTTTCCACTGACGGGCTGTCACCTGCATTGTTGCAAGTGCCAAGTCATTATCCACTGATTTTTTTTTTTTTTTTTTTTTTTTTTTTTTTTTTTTTTTTTTTTTACAGAAGTCTATCCTTTCTTTTAATATTCTCTACAGATTTTTGGCTGCCTTTTCCAGTCAATAAATGGGATGGGTTGCACTGCAGCTATCTGACCTCTTTCTTCTCATACGTGGTCTCAGCATTTTCTTTTTTGGCTGTATTTATTTTATTTGCAATCCAGCACTCTCCTCCAAAATGTTTAACAAAGCATGGCAAATAGATAGCTAAAGGGAATTACTAACCCAGAAAGACTAAAACCAAACCAAACCATAAAACAACCTAAAAATGGACGCCTTTGCTGACAGTTCTTAGGCCATCCCTCTGCTGGCCACCTCTCTATTTTAGCTCCTGGTTGGGTGCCGTGTTGCTGTAGCAAGCCCATCCTCCACAATAGGATTGCCTTGAGCACGTCCTTCTCTTCAGGTTCTTTTTCCTTCTGCAGCCTAAAGAGAGGGAGACAACCTCTTCCCGTTTCATGGCTGCCTTCCAGACAGCCTGATAATCTGCAGAGTTGCACAATGAAAACAGAGCAGTTGAGCTCCGTGTTTTCCCAAAGTCTCCATTCTTTAGCAGGAACTGGGATTCTCTCCCTTCCTTGCCCTGCCCTGCAGAGATGCACAATGAAAACAGAGCAGTTGAACTCTACATTTTCCCAAAATCTCCATTCTTGAGCAGGAACTGGGATTTTCTCCCTTTCCTTTCCCTTTCCCCTTCCCTTTCCCCTTCCCTTTCCCCTTCCCCTTCCCCTTCCCCTCCCCTTTCCCCCCTCCCCTTCCTCTCCCCTTCCCTTCCTCTCCCCTTCCCTTCCCTTGCCCCTCCCCGCCCCTCCCCTGCCCCTTCCCTCCGCATCCCCTTTGTTTTTTCTTTCTCAAAAAACCCTCCAAATGAGGTTCCTAACTCTCCCCAAACAAAAGGGCAGAAAACTCCCAGTTTTAGACTTGCAGCCAAATCCTGATGCTAGCCACCAAGTTTTAGAAAAATTGAGATTGACTCTCTGTTAGGGTACCTTATCACAACTTGATGATCAAAATTATATAGGGTAAAATGGCACAGTACTAATGTATAGATTCAAATATTTGTTAAATGTATTAAATCGAATGACTTTTTCTTCAGCAATGATTTACTTGACCATTGAGGTCTCTTAGAAGATTTTCCAGAAAGGGGTGAAAGAGAAAGTCATAGACAGGGCACGATATCCAAAAATTAATGATGGCTAGTGGGAAGCTGGAGAGAGACTACTGGCAGGCCTATGTTTTCTGTCCTGCCCAGAATGGGGCAAGAGAGGGGCAAACTGCCCAGCAGTTTACTTGGCTTTACCAACTCCAGCTATTTTATTTTATCAATTTACCTGGGGCGAGAGTAGATGAGTATTTGACTCTAGGACATGAATTCACACTAATAACAGTTATGCAAAAAATATAAACCCAGGCTATTAATTTACCGCTTTAAAATGGTAAGTATATATGGGTCTAGAATATTTTTTTACAAATTGTAATCGCCCCATCTTTAAAAAACAGTTTTTATACTTATTATGGAGCAAAACTTTCCTAAAGTGATATGAGATATTTAAAGTTTCCTTTTCATCTTCCTTCATGTGAATATTTATGAACTGCACTCCAGAAATATGTGTTTCATTTCATGGTGTTGCCCTAGACTCTGCTGGAGTTGGTACATAATTAATACACTATATATATGTATATATGTGCACACAAAATTGATATGTATATTATTTCTACACAACAGATATTAAATATAGGCACTGTTTTCTTTCTAGAATTCAAAAATAAATGCATTTTAAAGTACACTTGGTCCCAGTGGTTTCAGGTGAGGAACAGTGCACTTGTGCTGCCAGAGGTCAGAGACCTTACACCCAGCCCTGGGTGAAACCCCTCGCTGGTGTCAAAGTGCCTGAGAAACAGGACCCCAAGGCCAGCAGGGGAGCATGGCACCCAATCAGAAGACGCTGGTTGAGCACCAGGCTCTTGAAGGACCTGTGAGAATCCTCTTTGCTTGTAACAGAAGAGCCCACTCTTTAACCAGACCACTCAATCTGTCAGTTTGTTTTTCCCATACAAAGACCTAGATAAACCCAAAATGGTCCTACCACGAAATTATTGTGTGTCCATATTCCCTAGCAATGACAAATGACTTCTATTATTGGGGGACTTCTTCAAAATTCTTAGACATCAAATCATAACTTAATTTACAAGAGTATCTCTCTCTCTGTGTGTCTCTTTCTCTTCCTCTTCTCTCTTTATATATACACATATATTTTTTGAGACAGGTTCTTGCTCTGTTGCCCAGGCTGAAGTGCAGTGGCATGAGCATAGCTCACTGCAGCCTCCACTTCCCAGGCTCAAGTGATCTTTCTACCTCAACCTCCCAAGTAGTTGGGACTATAAGCAAACACTACCAGACCAGGCTACTTTTCCTATTTTTTGTAGAGATGGGGCCTCACTATGTTGCCCAGGCTAGTCTCCAACTCCTGACCCCAAGTGATCCTCCTACTTTGGCCTCCCAAAGTGCTGGGCTTACAAGTATGAGCCACTGAAACTGGCCTAAGTTTTTTTTAATTGAAGTATAAACACATACTGAAAAGAATACAGATCATAAGAATACAGCTCGATGATTTTCATAAACTCAATACCTCTGATAATTGACATCCAGATCAAGAAACAGAACCTCACCCAGCACCCCAGGGGCTCCCCTCATGCTCTCTCCTGATCACTACTCATAATATATCTTATTGGTGTCTTCTTGATGAGATTCTGGGAGGCATCCTTGGGATTTTAAAGATCTGTGGGAGACACACTGTTCTCCCTAACCACATTTGCAAAATGTAATTTAATGGGGTCGACACACTGGAAATATTTACATAAATTGCTCATTCCTTTTTTTTTGTTTGAATTCCTATTTACTCCTATGACACTGACCTTCTCTGGCCTTGTCATCCAATTACTGATGTCTCTTACTTGTGGTCTGCAGTTATTATGCATTAACTATAACTGTTCATCAAAGAATCCAGGAAGGTCAAGAGCCTCTGGGTCAAGAGAATATGTGAGTTTGAGAGGGAAAAAAACCGTTGTCTTTTCTGGGAAAATCTAAAGTATGACAACAAGATATGATCAGGTCTAGTGAAAAACGGTTGTTTTGGCTGCCCAAACATACATTGCTGCAAAAGTAGCAAATCAGCCTAGCCTCATTTTGGTACCTGCCTTTTTTGCATTTGATGCTTCTCTCATCTTTGTTCTATGCACTTGGGGGATCTGCTTCGCACTCAGAGGAAGTGGTGGTGGAGCACAGGACCAAGCCTAAGTCAGTTGGGGTATTGCCCTAGTTCCTGGGCCAGAAGTGTACATATATAAAGGAGGTTGGTTGTCAGCTTGCTGTAGGAGGGTGATGGGGCAGAAATATGTAGCTAGCTCTACTTAGTCCCATACAGGCATACAAGTACAGGTCCTAGAACTTTCCTTTCCCCAACATCTCTACCTTCTCTGAGTATTCAAGGAATCACCCTGTATTTGGGTGGGGGAGGGGGGAAGGAATTAGAATTGTCCTGACACAGGCAGTGTACTGAAAGTAAAGTTTGAGTCCCTCACACTCTTGATAGGTCCTGGGTGGTCTGTTGTTGGCTGGATGCTTCCCCGCCTGGCATAAGAAGTTTAGCAATGCCTTGCTGCTCAGCACAGGTGGGTGGCACACTGCCCTGCCTAGACTGGCTCTGGCCTCTGCGACAGCTCCCCTGAGCCTCAGCACTGTAGACTGAGGGTGTCACCTGCCTGCATTTGGCTGTCCTTGACATTGGCTCCACACTTCTTCAAGTGGTGCTCTAGGTTAGAAGCCTCCAGTCTCCTCTCTCCTCTTCCTCCTCTGTCTTCTTGCCCTTCCAGCCGGGAAAACCTTCATCTTCTTCTGCAGAGCAAGGAGGCCTAACTCTTTGTGAACTTCTATTTTCCGTCTAATTTAGTGAATGAACGTTATGCCCTGCTCCTTTCAGGCTTTGCCTTTTGAGGGAAAAAAGCCTTCCTCTTTCCTCCTACAATGCCTGGCTCATGCAGAAAAAAAGCTTCAATTTTTACAACTATGGTTTACAGATTTCAAGAGTCTCTTTTGGAAGTCAAAATGTGGACACTTGACTCTGCCTTAGAGAGTAGGGGAGGTCACCCAGGTGCAAGTACAAACCAAATACAAAAAGAATTTTCATATAAATGTCAAGTACTGTTTCATGACATACATTATCTTTGTTCTGCAATCAGAGTGACACTCAGGATCCCAGCTAGTGTTGGGTTGTGAACCAGGGAGGATGTAGCCCAGGGTCTTGGCAGCCATCTTTTTTTTTTTTTCATGGTACAGGTGAGGTCTCACTGTGTTTCCCAGGCTGGTCTTGAATTCCTGGGCTCAAGAAATTCTCCCCCACTCCACCTCCCAAAGTGTGGGTATTACAGGCGTGAGCCACCATTCCTGGCCTTTAGCATCCATCTTGCTGTGTGGAGGTGAATTGGACAATGAAGACACATGGGCCAAATGTATTAGTCAGCAGGGCTGGCATAACAAAGTACAGCTTCAACAACAGACATTTATCTCCTCACAGTTCTGGAGACTGGAAGTCCAAGATCAAGGTGTTGGCAGGGTTGGTTTCTCCTGAGGCCGCTCTCCTTGGTTAGTGGATGACCATCTTCTTCCAGTGTCTTCACACGGTCTTCCCTCTGTGCCTGTGTCCTGATCCCTTCTTATAAGGATACCAGTCATATTGGATTAGGACTCACCCCTAAAGACTTTATTTTACCTTTCTTTTTTTTTTTTTTTTTGGAGACAGAGTTTTGCTCTTGGCATCCAGGCTGGAGTGCAATGGTGAGATCTTGGCTCATTGTAACCTCTGCCTCCTGGGTTCAAGCTATTCTTCTGCCTCAGCCTCCCAAGTAGCTGGGATTACAGGCACCTGCCACCACATCTGGTTAATTTTTGTATTTTTAGTAGAGAAGGGGTTTCACAATGTTGGCCAAGCTGGTCTTGAACTCCTGACCTCAGGTGATCCACCTACCTCGGCCTCCCAAAGTGCTGGGATTACAGGCGAGAGCCACATCACCTGACCTATTTTACCTTAATTACTTTTTTTAAAAAAGGCCCTATCCCCAAATACAGTCACATTCTGAGATATTGAATAGTAGGACTTCCACAAATAAATTTTGAGGGGACACAATTTAGCCGTAACACTTTTCCAGATTTCTTTATTTCTTTTAATGATTTGATTTTAATTTACTTGTTTCTAATTTGTGTTCAAATTAGCACCATAAGGAAAGCTCATCTGTGTGCTTCCTGGCTCCCTGAGGCAACTGCAGTGAAATTGGCTGTTGCTGAATTGGCAACTGTCAGGTATTACTGAAGAAGCCAAGATGGGGAGAGAGAAACCAGATCCTGATTACATCAGCTGGGTCCATAACCAGCTGCACCTACAGCCACTGCTTTATTTACTTGAGCCAATAAAATCCCTATGGCTCAAGGCAGCTGGGATTGGGGTTTCAGTCACCTGCAACTGAAAGAGTCCTAATGGGTACGCACAGAGTAGCATTCTTCCCTCCCACCCCACTTGAGGGTGCTAGAATTATTATTATTATTATTTTGAGACAAGGTCTCGTTCTATCACCCAGGCTGGAGTGGCACAATCATGACTCACTGCAACCTCACCCTCCTGGGCTCAATTGACATTCCCACTTCAGCCTCCCAAGTAGCTGGGGCCACAGGTGCGCACTACCATGCCTGGATAATTTTTGTGTTCTTTGTAGATATGGGGTTTCGCTATGTTGCCCAGGCCGGTCTTGAACTCCTGGGCTCAAGTGATCTGCCTATCTTGGTCTCCCAAAGTGCTGGGATTACAGGTGTAAGCCACCCCTCCCAGCAGTTCTAGAATTATTTTTATTAATTTTTGCTAAGCTGAAAATAATTGCCCTTAAACATCTAAATAATTTAAATTATCGATACAAATATATAGCTGTTAACACTTTTTATTGGTAAATACTTTCCCCCTAATGAATTGGACCTAGTTTGAGTGCATGTCTTAGTCCATTCAGGCTGCTATAAGTAAATACAATAGGGTAGCTTATGAACAACAAAAATTCATTTTTCACAGTTCTGGAGCTTGGACAGTCCAAGATCAAGGTGCTGATGAATTTGGTGTCTGGTGAGGGCACACTTCTTGGCTCACAGTTTGTGTCTTCTCTGTGTCTTCACATGGTGAAAGGGGTGAGAGGTTTCTCTTACATCTCTTCTTATGGGGCGCTAGTCCCATTCATGTGGGCTCCACCCTCTTGACCTAATCACCTCCCAGAGGCCCCATCTCCCTCACATTTTGAACTAGGGTTTCAACACATGAATTTTGGGAAGACGTAAAACATTCAGATCTCAACAGTGCAGTTTGATGAGTTTTGATAGAGGACCACATTCATGAAACCACCATGTTCCTAAGCAGTCCTGAATCTCAAAGGTCATTCTTATTTCTTCATATTCTTTGTTACTTTTCATTTTCTGAAGCCAAAACTAAGAGAGAACTTACGTTTTCTCTTTAGCATCGGTTTTTACTCTTATTTTTGGAGGTTCAGCACTAACACAATGGAAAAACGTGCCCAAGGGGCAGCTTAAACCAAAGGTAAAGATAGGGAGTGAGAACAGATAACTTTCTTACTTTTATATCTTAATTAGGTATCATTTACCAAGTGCATGCTCCATGTTTGGCACTGTTCCAAGTCATGATTTATCTTGTTTACTCTTGAAAATAAGCACTTGGGGTAGGCACTCTTATTTCCCAATTTTACATATTAGGAAACTCATAAATAGAGCAGTCAGCTTGATCAAAGTTAAGGAGCTCATAGGTGGGCTAAATTCATGTTATGGCTCAATCAGCTTCCCCCCAAATTCGTATGTTGAAGTCCCAAATTCCAGTACCTCAGAATGTAACTGCGTTTGGAGATAAGGTCTTTAGAGGCAATTAAATTAAAATAAGGTGTTAGGGTGGGGCCCTATTCCAATAGGACTTCTGTCCTTATAAAAAGAGGGAGAGAACCAGGGGTGTGTATATGAACGGAGAAAAGTTCTTGTGAGGACACCGTGAGAAGATGGCCAGCTGTAAGCCAAGGAGAGAGGTGTCAGGAGAATCCAATCCTGCCAACACCTTGATCTTGGACTTCCAGCCTCCAGAACTGGGAGAAGATTAATGTCTGTTGTGTAGCCAGTCAGTTCATGGTATTTTGTTATGGCAGCCCAAGCAAACTAATACACATGGCCAAAGGGACTGTGCAGGTGTGATTCTGTTACAGATGGTGAGGTGGGGAGTGCCTTAGGCTGTCCTTGCATTGCTGTAAAGAAATACTGGAGACTGGGTAATATGTAAAGAAAAGAGGCTTAGGGCTGGGCCTGGTGGCCCACACCTGTAATCCCAGCACTTTAGGAGGCCAAGGCGGGCGAATCACCTGAGGTCAGGAGTTCAAGACCAGTCTGGCCAACATGGTGAAACCCTATCTCTACCAAAAATACAAAAATTAGCTGGGTGTGGTGGCACACACCTGTAATCCCAATTACTTGGGAGGCTGAGGCAGAAGAATTGCTTGGACCTGGGAGACAGAGGTTGCAGTGAGCCAAGATCATGCCACTGCATTCCAGCCTGGGCAACAGATCCTCTGTCTTAGAAAAAAAAAAAAAAGAGAGAGAGAGAGAAGAAGAAAAAGAAAAGAGGTTTAGCACTCCAGTTTGGGTGACAGTGTGAGACCTTGCCTCAAAAATAAATAAATAAATAAATAAATAAATAAGAAAGAAAACAAACAAAAGAGGTTTAATTGGCTCACAGTTCTGCAGGCTGTACAGGAAGCATGGCACTGACATCATTTGGCTCTGGGCGGTTTCTGGGGAGGCCCAGGGAGCTTTCACACATGGCGGAAGGCTAAGTGGGAGCTTGTGCCTCAATGGTGAAAGCAGGAACAACAGAGAGAGTAGCGAAGGGAGAAGGTGCCACACACTTTTAAATGGCCATGTCTCTCAAGAAGTCACTATCACAGAGACAGTACCAAGCTATGAGGGATCCACCCCTATGATCCAAACACCTCCCTGCCTGCCCTCCCCTGCCCCACCTGGCCCCACCTGGCCCTACCTTCAGCACTGGGGATTACAATTCAGCATGAGATTTGGGTGGGGACAGCTATTCAGCCTATATCAGGGAGATTCTCCTGCATTATCCAGATGGCCCCCATGTAATCCCAAGCGTCCTTAATTTTAATTTTAATTTTTAATTTTTATTATTTTTGAGATAGAGTCTTGCTCTGTCACTCAGGCTGGAGCGTAGAGGCGTGATCTTGGCTCACTGCAACCTCTGCCTCCCGGGTTCAAGCAATTCTCATGCCTCAGCTTCCCAAGTAGCTGAGATTACAGGCATGTACCACCACGCCTGGTTAATCTTTGTATTTTTAGTAGAGATAGGGTTTTGTCATATTGGCCAGGCTGGTCTTGAACTCCTGACCTCAAGTGATCCACCCGCCTCGGTCTCCCGAAGTGTTGAAATTAGAGGCATGAGCCTCCACGCCCGGAACAGGGTCCTCGTAAGTGAAAGAGGGAGGCAGGAGGGTCAGAGTCAGAGAAGGAGACGTGACACAGCATGAGAAAGACTCGCCTGGCCTTTGCTGGCTTTGAAGATGAAAGAGAGCCAGGAGCTAAGGAATGCAGCAGCCTCTAGAAGCTAGAGAAAGCCAAGACAGGGACTCTTCCCTGGATTCCACAGCAGGAATGCAGTTCTGCTGACACCTTGGTTTTAGCCCAGTGACACTCAATATCAAACTTCTGACCGCTGCAACTGTAAGATCATACATTTGTGTCATTTTAGCCACCAAGTTTGCAGGAATTTGTTATAGCAGCAAAAGGAGACTAATTCACATGGATTTTTTTTCACATATAAAGAGACATTACAGTTCTAAATTTGAGAATCACTACTGTAGGAGATTGACAACTATTATAAATTTTGTTGTAGAGGAGGAATTTAAGAATTAAGTGTTAGAAAGGGTAAGTTGAATTGGAGTGTAAATTGGAAAAGGTGAAGATTATAGACAGAGAGATCGTGTGGTGGCTGACATCTGTAATCCCGGCACTTTGGGAGGCCAAGGTTGATGGATCATGAGGTCAGGAGATTGAGACCATCCTGGCCAACATGGTGAAACCCTGTCTCTACTAAAAATACAAAAATTAGCTGGACGTGGTGGCGCGCACCTATAGTCCAGATACTTGGAGGCTGAAGCGGGAGAATCACTTGAACCCGGGAGGCGGAGGTTGTAGTGAGCCAAGATTATGCCGACAGAGCGAGTCTCCGCCTCAAAAAGGAAAAGAAAAGAAAAGAAAAAAAAGCTATTGTAATAGTCCAAACAAGAGAAGAAGAGTATCTGTTAAGTTTCAGGGTAAGGGATGTATTTGGTAGTTTTAGGAGGAAGAATCAACAATGCTCGTTAAAAAAGAAGATAGCGTCTTGGATGACATTCAAGTTTGTCGTTAGGGGAACTGGGTATGCTGTGGTACTAGTTTTGTTTGGTGTCTAAATTGAAAACTGGTGTTAAGGTAAGGGAAGTTTGAGCTAGAAATATACTTGACATCATTGGTGTGGATAAATATTGAAGCCACACTTATGTATCAGATCACTCAAAAACGAAAGGCAAAAGGAAGAAACAAATGGACTGAGACTCAGGTTATCCACCTCACAATAACTCATTTACCTTCCAAATCGTTTCCTGCAAATAGGAAATCTTCACTTAAATTAACCATTTATAGGGAAAGAACCATTTAATAGGAACAGTTGCCAATAGATCTTCAAAACTATGGGTGATCCAGGGTCCATGTGATCAAATTTTGAAACTATTGCTACTGCTGGTATATTGAGGGGGAAAAGGAGACCATGTCTTAGTACATGAGCATGCAGACACTTTACAGTTCTTAGTGGGGGCCATGTAGGACAGCCTGTGTGTTACTGTGTGAGATTGCTGTCCCTATCTAATGGATCAGCAAAATGGCTATTATTTATTTAAACTCTTTTGAGAGGCAAGAGTCAATAATAATTGGAAAGCAGTACAAGTGTGAAGAACCAGCACTCGAGGGGAAAAGAATCCTCAAACGTGCCTGATCTTGTGGGTGAGTCATGGCTTCCAAAATAGGTTACATGCGTTTGAAAGCAGAAATTGTGGCTTAAAAGCCTATGGATTTTCAAGCTACTCTCCTATGAACTATTTTGTGACATGGGCTCAGGTGTTTTATTCACTCATTAATGAGGAAATTTCCCAATTCCTGGTAGAATTTAATCAGTAAGAATTTTTGCAAGTCATTCTCCTACACTGTTACTAAAACCTTTTATACCTGCTACCCTTGTGGGATAAAATGAGTGAAAGTGCCACACACACACACACACGCGCGTGCACACACACACACACACACACACATATAACAACAGAGTCAGAAACACCTGATTATTCTTAGTCCAAGGACTTGTTTTATTTTGGAATACGAGAGCTTACAGTTGTGATTTTCTTCTTCTTACAGTGAAACCGCCTTTGCAAAATTATAACTGAGGGAATAATGACAGTGAAAGATATCAGAGCTAACCGACTCCATCTTGCTCTTAACTTTTAAGCTCTCCTTGTTCATTTCTGGGCATAGGCTGAACTTACTTTGGGAAGGAATTCAGTTCATGGTTTGGCTCTGAAGCAAAATTGATAACAGCTCTTTCTGGAAAAGACCCCCTTCTTGTCTGGGGACCAGTCTGCCTTTGCAGGACAAACCAATTTACTACAAGATTAGAAATTGTGGTTTAGGTGTCCTGCAGCCTTTGGCTCCAAGAGTCTAAACCTTCCCAAATTGCTCCTGGGGATAGCATCACTATTGTAAAACCTAAGATCAGTGCTTGGGATATTTTGCAGACACTGCACTGGATGGATCACCACCACCCAGACAGGTAATCTGGCTCAACCAGTTCTGCCATCCCACCCAGGAACAGAAGACAGCAAGAAAACCTCACTTCAACCCCCTATGATTCCATCTCCAACCCAACTAATCAGCACTCCCCACTTTCCAAGCCCCTACCCATCAAATTATCCTTAAAAACTCTGATCCCCCTCCAGGCGGGGGGACAGAGCGAGACTCCGTCTCAAAAACACAAAAACAAAAACGCAACAAAGAAAAAAACCCCTCCAATCCCCGATTTCAGTAATAATAAAACTCCAGTCTCCCTCACCGCCGGCTCTGCATGAATTATTCTTTCTCCACTACAATTCCCCCTTCTTCTGTCTTGATAAATCAGCTCTGTCTAGGTAGCAGGCAAGGTGAACCCATTGGGCGATTACAGTAGTTAGCAATTATGTTTCCCACTTTGAAGGATGAAATGAAATCTCTTTTCCAATGTGTATTTTGTAGCACACTAATTCTGTGGGATTCAGGGCTTACCTAAAAAAACTCTTCAGTCAAATAAGTTTGGGGAATACTGGTTTAAACAAAATTAAACTGTTCCTCAGAGTCTATGAAATGAGTTGTACCTTACATATCTCCAGGAAAAAATGGAGCTACATTTTCCCAACATATTTGACCTCAGCACCATAGTTTTTCTCCACTCTATCTTGTGGGGCTAGTGTTCCATAGAAGGCTTTCTGTTTGTTTTAAACATTGATATTGAGCATCTCATGTTCATGTTTAGCTAATGATACCTGGGTATTTTATCTCCTAAACAAACTTGAGAATTACTGCTCTATGTCACCAGAAAAGCCTGGGAGATTACTAAACAGTAGGCATAGTACGGCAAAGACTGCTGATTGTTCCCCAGTATCCATTCTCATCTTTTTCTTTTGATAATACCACTCCCAAATTTTAACAATGCAAAGAAAAGCCCAGAAAATTCTTCCTTTCAAGCCTCCTTTGCAGGAGGTAAAAACACTGGATTCTGGAGGAACCAATATGAGAAACCTCCATGTTACAACATATTTTAAGCTTCACCTCTCCTATTTCTGTTGGCTGGAATGCAGTTGTGATGGTAGGAGCCAAAGCAGCCACACTGGGATAGGAGATGAAACCTGAAGATGAGAATGGCAGAGAAATATGATAGAAGTAGTCTGGGACCCTCAAGATTGTAGAGCCACCGCATCTACCCTGAAGTGCCTACATGGTGTTTTAGATAGAAGAGAAATGAACCTTAATCTGGTCTAAGCCATTTTTAAATTGTGGAGACTTTGTTATAACCACTGAATTTATATCTTAACTAATCACTGGGCATATGAATCAGGAGGAGTGAGAAACATGTGAGGACATGACAACCCTGGATGCTGAATGCACTCAGAACAGCTGTGGTTTGCTGGTTAAGATGCTGATGGGGTGTTTTTATTTTGTGTTTATTATTACGCTGCTTTCTTATTGCTATCTTCCTTGTAAACAATGAACACATTAGCTGTGATTTACCTTCCTGAAGCTATTATTATGCTTATTGAAATAATTTATTTACATTATTTGATAATTTTTTTTCTTTAGAGTTCAAAGTGGAAATTTTGACATATTGTCTTTTGCAGCAAATGAATTGTTTTTCTCAGACCAATTTTCAAAAGAAATACAGAATGTCCAGGAGGCATGACAAACCTGAATTGTCATTTCTGTCTCCATGCCACCTGTGGTAGAAGGAGGTTCAATTCAGCAAGCATTTATTGAAAACCTACTGTATACCCAGCTTTGTGCCAGATTCTGTGGCGATAACAGAAGACAAAGTCCCTGCTATTAAACAGACTATAGACTGGAGTTCCTGCCCTGCCTTTATGGGATTTTTTGTTTGTTGGTTTTGCACAGATGTGCTACATAGGTCTCCCCTTTCCATGTGCAATTTTACCAATGTGGGACTTCATCAAAAAGTGCTGAACACCTACTGTTATGGAGTGTTGCTACAGATATGACTTTATAGCTCCAAGAAACACGATCCTTTAAGACTAATTAAAAGAGCACATGTAGCAATGAGCAAACAGTATAACAGTGTGAAATTAAATGCTGCTGATTTAATAGTTGCAGGCATCCAGGTAGTCAGTTTTCGCCCAGTGCATGACAGATTTCTAATAATCTCCATGGGAAAAATTTTTGTAGCTCTCTGCCAAAAAATTAATTTCCTTGTAGAGAAAAGAGGAAGAGTTAGGTGCAAGAGAAGATGAAGTGTATACAGTTGTGATGTGAAATGGAAAGGGCTTCCCTTCACACCCCCAGCTTCTGTTTTGGTGCATCTCATTTGTCATTTTCATTGTTTCCTAGGTTTGCAAAATCACTTGTGTCAAAGAACCTGCTTACAGTGTCAGAAAAGAAAACATGGTAACCAGCTTTGATAAAGATAAATAAGCCCTTTGTCTACATAACTTGCTTGTGTCTGCTGATGGTGCCTTCGTGATTTACTGAAATGTCTGCTCCAGCAGAAGACCCACACTTTCTAGATGAAGGAAGTCCATGTGATATATCACCTGGAGACAGAAACAATCACAGATTCTTCTCCATAGTCACTTACACCTCCTAGTCTTCTTTAGTCCCCAGGCATCCCATGCTTTTAAGGCAATTTTTCTTTGTCATTATTCACAGCATCACTACAGATGTGTGGAGTTCCAGTATTTGGATAGCAGTATTTGCTACAGATGTGTGGAGTTCCAATATCTGGATTAGGAGGGAAAATGATGGCAGAATTTTTTGAGGCCAAAGTTAAGCCTTAATAATTGTCTTGATTGGGCATGGTGGCTCACGCCTGTAATCCCAGCACTCGGGGAGGCTGAGGTGGGAGGATCGTTTGAGTCCAGGAGTTTGAGACTAGGCTGGATAACATAGTGAGACCCCCATCTCTACAAATAAATAAATAAATAAAGGCAAAATTAGCCAGGTGTGGTGGCATGAGCCTGTAGTACTAGCTACTCAGGCAGCTGAGGTGGGAGGATTGCTTGAGCCCAGGAGGTCAAGGTTGCAGTGAGCCATGATCTTGCCACTGTGCTCCAGCCTGAGCAAGAGGGCGAGACCCTGTCTCAAAAACAAAACAAAACAAAACAAAAAAACAAACCCCAAACTGTCTTTTGTGCACCCTCAGTAGAAAGAGTACTGGCAACCAAGTAGGGAAAGATAAGTGGAGCATGACTAGAGGCAGAAGGTTTATGAGGGGAAGTGTGGAAAGAAAAGACTCTGAGCAACTCCACTATGTACTTCCCTTTTCTTCTCTCGTTTCATCCTCACTACAAGGTAGGCACAATTATTTTGTGGAAAAGAAAATTGAGATTTAGGGAGATTAAATAGTTTACCCAACTGGACAGCTGGATTCAGTCTTTCATCTGTCTACAATTGTGGACAAAGAACAAATCAGAAGTGACCTGTGTGATCTAAAACATCTAGGGCATTTTCCTAAATGTCCTGTACTGTTTACAGCCTCTTGGGACCTTCTCAAACAATGGACTGTAAAGTGGGAACCCATGTCATAATTGAAATAAAATTTTTCGGTGACCTAATGGATGGCAGATCACATCAGACTGTTTTTGGTTTAGGGGAAAATGTGATATTTCCTGCACACTGATGTTATGGACTGCAATTCATATGTGCCATACACGTAAAGTGACCCAGCGAGTTGTATTCATTGTGAATATTAACACTATGTGGATGCCACCCTCAGAGAATAGCTTGTCTTTATTTTTTCAGCTCTAAGATCATGCATTAGAGCATCCAAACCCACGGCAGAACCTCTGACTTCCCTGCATTCTTTTTAGCTGACTCATGGTACAGTTCTCCATCATCTCAGCCATTTTCAAGGCAGGAACTGGTTCAGAGAATAAAATCTTTTAACGCAGACGTTCAAGACACCCTTAAGAGTAAGATCAGGAAGCTGACATAATGGAGATGTGCATATCTGAATTGTTGCCTCGACCTTCACCGTGAAAGGTGAGTGCCACACACAGCAGTAAGGGCTTTATGTCTGCAATAAGCTTTAACACGGCAGGGCTTGTGTCCTGCAGACAAAAATTCTCAAAGGAAAAAAATTCCTCTGAGAAAAAAATATTCCTGTAATCACAGATGGTGTGGTATATTTGCTCAACCTCAGGGTGGGAACATTCTGTTTCTCTCTGGGAGGGAATGCAGATATCTAATAATAATGAGGATGAATGAAGATTCCTGAGATTCCTTGTTTCAGGGAATAAATCCTTTGCTCCTCTTGTTCTATTTTCAGGAAATTGTCTGGGAGCAGGCTGCTTCCTGCTACAATTACCAGTAGTGGGCAAACAGAGAGAAGGAAAGGCGAAGGCTGAGGGGAGAAGGAAACTGCTAAGCTGCCCCCCTTGCCACAAGCTTCAGAGCCGTACAAGTATTCCAAATATGGGAAGCGAAGAGTTTCTCTTCCTTACTCTTGGTAGTGACTTAAAATCCTCTTTTCTACTTTTTTTTTTTTTTGGTGGGGGTGAATGTTTGGCCTGAGAAGCATTGCAGCAGGCTGGAAAAAATTTTGTTCTTTTGATTCTCAAATGGAGTGTTTTGAAGTTAGCACTGCAAATGTGTTCAAATAATAGACACATTAGGACCTCGATGATGGAAGAGCTGAAAACAATCTGGTGGCACCATTCTGTATGGGACTGAGGTTAGATGGTAGAGCACGCTGCTGGCTGTAGGACTAGATTGGACTACATCTGGGCAGACCTTAGGGGTTGAGGAGTGAAAGTATGGCAGCCGTGAAGGGAGACAAGGAATTTGGGTGAATTCTTGAGCAATTCAAATCCCTGTAGCTTCAAAGAGCATCAACAGCTTCTCACTAACTAGCTTTGCTGGCAATTTGTTACTTCTGAGACTCAAAACCATCCACATCAACAGCTTGTTGCCTATGTAAACATCACTGTATTATTTGGCCATCTTCGCTAACATGACTTTATTCTCATGCTGACTTCACTGATGTGCCTTACTATTTCAGTGAAGTAGATCAGAATATAACATCCCAAACTATGACACTTTGGCATAAAGATTATTTTGAGCTGAAGTCAATTAAGTAGTAAGCACACAAGGAGCTCGCTCTCTGTCCTCCCCTATCTTTCTAGAAGTAGGGGATAAATTTCCCTTTGTGAAATTCTTCCCCCTCCACTCTCACATGCAAGAGGAAGAAAAACAACCATTATCCCTGGAGACAGAAATTTGGCACCAACAAGGGTCTGTACATGCAAGCCTTATTAAAATTGCCCTTATTTTTCATTAGACTGCTCCTCCTTCCTACCATTTACTATTCCTAGAAGCCCAAACCTCTTTTCCTTCATTTTATCATTTCACCACAATTTATTACCCTTTGTTAAAATGGTATATAACCCTCCAGCTATAACCACTTTTTTGGGCCTCCACTTCTTTTCTGTGAAGGTCTTTGTGCATATAAAGATTAAAATATTAACAACAACAACAAAAAAGTATGCCTTTTCTCCTGTTAACTTGTCTTTTCTTTTATCAGTTTAATTAGCAGGCCTCAGAAATGGAATATAAGAGGATACAGGGAAAAGATTTTTCTCCCCTCTACTGGAAACTCTTGCCCAATAAGAAGAAAATTGCTAATAACTTTATTATTCACTTCAGGAACTTCCTGAAAAGCTCATTTAAATGAACATCAGACTGTTCCATCTTTTAATAGATAGCATCAGATATCTGCTTACTGTACAAGTCTCTTAAAAAGCTTCACCTGAAAACCCTCTTCTTATGATGTCCACTAATCCTAATGATTATATAGTAACTACTGTCCTAAAAATACCCTGCATTAAAATACCCACCTTGGCCAGGCACAGTGGCTCATGCCTGTACTTCCAGCACTTTGAGAGGCCGAGGTGAGTGGATTACTTGAGGTCAGTAGTTCTAGAGCAACCAGAACAACAAGGTGAAACCCTATCACTACAAAAAATAGAAAAATTAGCCGGGCGTGGTGGTGCTTGCCCATAATCCCAGCTACCTGGGAGGCTAAGGCAGGAGAATTGCTTGACCCTGGGAGGTGGAGGTTGCAGTGAGCAGTGATCGTGTGACTGCATCCAGCCTGGGTGGCAGAGTGAGTGAGACTGCATCTCAAACAAACAAACAAACAAAGACTCATCTTAAACCAAACTGCCAAATGTCATATATATTCTGACTTTGCCCCATCCCTCTGAGATGCTATGTAGGCTCTATCAAACTAGTGCTCTCCCTCACCAGTGAACTTGCCTTTGTCTCATCAACAAGTTGTCTAGGCGGTGATTTCACAAAGCCAGCAATCTCCTTAATCTCTTAAAAGCATCTGCTTACTCTTTTTTTTTTTTTTTTTTTTTTGAGACGGAGTCTTGCTCTGTCACCCAGGCTGGAGTGCAGTGGTGTGATCTCAGCTCACTGCAACCTCCGCCTCCCGGGTTCACATGATTCTCCTGCTTTAGCCTTCTGAGTAGCTGGGATTACAGGCGGATACTACCAAACCCAGCTAATTTTTGTATTTTTAGTAGAGATGGGGTTTCACCGTGTTGGTCAGGCTGGTCTCGAACTCCTGACCTTGTGATCTGCCTGCCTCAGCCTTCCAAAGTGCTGGGATTACAGTCGTGAGCCACTGTGCCCAGCCTGATTATTTCTTTTTATCTCAAAACTCTCTTAGCCCTTGGGATCATACACCCTTCTGGTCTCTTTCTACCCAGAAAGCATCTCATTTTCAAGACTCTCAGTGAACATCTCCACAGAGATGACAATAAAATTATGTCTTCCTCAGGATTTGTTTCTACTTTTCCCTACAATGAAAGATTTCTTTTTTTTTTTTTGAAGTTGGAATTTTTTTTATTTAACTAAATATATAAAAAATAGTATTTCCACATGTAATCAATATTAAATTATTTATGAAGTATTTTGATTATGTCATTGCCATTATTTTTAAAGATTCTTTAAACAAATTTTTATTTTTAATTTTGTGGATACATAGTAGGTGTATATATTTACTGGGTAAGTGAAATGCTTTGATGCCGGCATGCAATGTGTAATAATTACATATGGAGAATGAGAATTACACCCCCTCAAGCATTTATCCTTTGTGTTGCAAAAAATCCAATTATATTCTTTTGGTTATTTTAAAATGTGCAATTAAGTTATTACTATAGTCAACCTGTCGTGCTATCACATAGTAAGTCTTATTCATTCTATTTTTTTTCTGTACCCATTAACATTAACCATCCCCACCTCACCCTCACCTGCTACTACTCTTCCCAGCCTCTGGTAACCTTCCTTCTACTCTTTATGTTCATGAATTCAATTGTTTTGATTTTTGTATCCCACAAATAAGTGAGAACATGTGATGCTTGTCTTTCTTTGCCTTGCTTATTTCACTTAGCTTAATGATCCCTAGCTCCATCTATGTTGTTGCAAATGACAGGATCTCATTCTTTTTTATGGCTGAATAATACTCCATTGTGTATTTGTACCACATTTTCTATATGCATTCATCTATTGGTAAACACTTAGGTTGCTTCCAAATCTTGGCTATAGTGAACAGTGCTGCAGCAAACACAGGAGTGCAGCTATCTCTTTGTCCTACTGATTTCCTTTCTTTCAGGTCTCTACCCAGTGGGAGCATTGCTGGATCGCCCCATATGGTAGCTCTATTTTTAGTTTTTTGAAGAAGCTCCAAAGTGTTCTCCATAGTGGTCGTACGAATTTACATTCTCACCAAGTGTATGAAGGTTCTGAAAGGCTTCCTCTTGAATATTTCCTTGTCGTTACAACCTCAACAGGTTCCTGACTTTTCTTTCTTCCTTCTTTTCTTCCTTTCCTTTCCTTTCCTTCTTCCTCATTTCTGCCGATAACAATATGAGACAGTCAAATTTGAAATATTTTTATTATTTTTGGTTCATTTCTTCCCTTTGTTGCCTACAAGTAATCAGTCACTAAATCCTGTTAATTTACCCAGAAATCTTTTAATTGATCCCTGCTTTTGTATTCCCACCACTGTCAGCTACGTCTGGGCTTTTATCTTGTGATCCATAAACTTTATTGTGCGTATAGACTCCTTTGAGGTTTTATTAAAATTTATGAATCCTTTTTTCCCCAGAAAAATGTAATTGTGCATAGACACAATTACATTTTGAGTGTATCAGGAGATTTGCAGAAGCCCTGAAGTCAAAACTCTTATAGAATTGATTCTGGCTGTCTGTAATATCAGCCTTCTCATTCCATCCATGTGGCACCCAGGCTAATCTTTTTTAATGTCATTCCCTATAAAAGACAGCTAATGACTTCTTATAAACTTCAGAATAAAATCTGAGGCTCAACTGGGCATTCCAAAAGCCTTTCCCAGTCCTATAAAAGGAACTCAAACTGCCTTTTCAGTTTTACCTCCTCAAACACAGAAGAAAAATAAACCTAATAATAATAATAATAAATAACACATTCAATTGAGTACTTATCGTGTACAAGGATGCTCTGCTGAGTGCAGAGGTTGCAGGGACTCCCTTTAAGCTCCTCCAACCCCTTGCGTTGCACAGCTGATCTCTTTATTGTCTGTGTGACATTGGTGGAGGGTCAGGAGGGAGGAAGGAAGTGTGTGGGCTTTGGACCTAAGCAGACTGGGGAATGAAAAATCAATATTCTCCCAATCTGACTTCTGAACCTTACTTCTCCTGGAAAATGGGAATAACAGTAACTACTCACAGAGTTGTGATGAAAATTACCTGAAACAATACAAATATCTAGAAGAAAGTCTGACACCTAGGAGTCGCTCTACCTGTCATAGCTGTTTCCAAGCTCAATAAATAATTTGAGTGTCTTCTAATTTAATAAACAATTGCTGAGGTTTTTCACCAGGCGAACCCTTCAGTAGAAGACACTTCTCTCATAATTGGCCTGACCAAGCAGTAAATCACCGAATGCCTTCAAAAGGCCAACTTACATCTATGTGTTTGCGGGTGGACCCTGTATTGTGCCTTCTGCTAGGGTAAGGGGTAAGCAGTGACCCCACCAACAAGCTTCCGTCCTTTTCAGCATGTGAGCTCTTCCAATGTTGAGCACAGAATAACCTTAGGTAATTCTACAGATGGTCTCAGGACAGAGCCTATGAGCTCAGAGAGCATTGGCTGAAAAAATCCTAACAAGTAACCAGGAGTAACCTCATTACTTAGTGCAAATTTCTAAATGATAAAAACATGTTGATTTTTTTAAAATTCACATTGACAGATTTAATTAAGGGGCTGGAATTTTATTTTCCCCATCAGCAGAGGATGAGTAAGGAACAATGAGAAACTGAGGTATTTTAAGTTACCTTTTTTAACCTATAATTTATAACTCATTAAAGAGAAATATGCCTTTAATGAACTCAAAAACTACGTTAGGCACTGTACTTGAGGGAGAGGTCTGGAAGGACTCTTTGAAAGGGGAGTTTTAAGGAAAAAAAGAGGTGAGGGGAGGTTTAGCTGAACTGAAAATGTATTATAATCTTACTGGGGAGACAGAATTTACTTCCGAAGTTATTAGATCATAATTATATTTTAAACCAAAGATTCTTAGAGGACTTTGCAATACAATTTACTTCCTATTATTTTCTTTTATGGAATTTAGAACATTATTTTGAGATGGGGTTCATAGGCTTCTTTAAACGACAGAAAAAAGAGGAAAAAAAAACAAAGGTTAAGAATTTCATCATAGCTTGAAGCCTCCACTTTAGTATGGGTTCAAAGGTTGGTCTCCTGGGGAAGGCTTTTCAGCTATTCTTAGGCACATGGAGGAAGGGCGTGGGCTGGGAGGGTCTCACTATTTATTTTGAAGCCAGGATCCACTCGTATTGAAATCTGTTTCCTCGGGTCTACCAGGCTGACACCCTGACATAGTGGAGGTTCTTACCAGCAGCCGTAACATCTGCAGAGGAACGATGTCCCCTCATACTGCATCCAGAATCTGAGCACTGCAGAATCAATCGTACCCCTTTTGGCCTGGATCAAAACCTGTAGTGTAGGACTGTCCTGTTGGAGCAGCAGCTTGAGCTGGGGCATCCCTGGAAATGGAGATAGAATAGAGCACCCCCTTCCTCAGTTATTCAGGGGCAGCTGCTGAGATGGGGGCCGGTTTCTGTCCCCCATGCCCCCACCCCACAGCAGGAGGAAGCAAGGGCAAAGAAAGAAGTGGGGAAATGACTCTGCCAGCAACAGCCAAGGATTACTGAATTTGAAGGCCTGCCTTTGCCTCTGCTCATTCCCTCCTCCATGCTCAGAAAAGAGAGAAGAAAAGACCAAAAAAAAAAAAAAATGCTCTGTCTCCTCTGATCACTGCGGAATTGGCAGGAACTTACCCTGTTGTCAGCAGGAGAGAGCCTTTCCTAATCCATCACAACCTTCAGATAACCTGATTCATGCCCTGCAACAGTGTCATCCTGTCTGGTGGCAAGTAGATTTCAATTTCATCCACCCACACCGCATTTTAAAATAAAATGCTAGTGACAGTGCAGGCAGACTGCCTCTCCCATGTCCCCCCAGACAGAGCCACTACAAATGCTAGGGCCAGTGCATTCATGTTGCCCTTGCTGGGTCGTTTTGTGTCCTTGAGTTAAGGTTTGCTGTCTTCCCTGTGGGCTTGGCTGTCTGTTTTGATCAGGATAAAGTCAAGTGGTGTTATTGAATATGCTATCTGAGGGCTGGGGGAGGCGCTTTAGCTGACCTCCTCTGGCTACGGACCAATGACCACACTTACCTCCTGAGATGTCTCTGAATATTCGAAACAAAGTGTCTGTCCCCACTTGCTGTGACTGTTCTGGGTGTCACAGTGTTTTCAAGGACTGGTGAAGCCCCAGTCACCTCCTAACTTATGTCTACAGTGTTTACCATCCTAACGTCAGAGCTGGGGTCAACTCTAATCAGGTTCAGAGGCAGATACTGGTCAAGCCCTGGTGACCACTGCCTTCTCCTAGCTTAGCCGAGTGAGTATGACTAGGCACGCGCAATTCTTATACATGCACCTTGGGGAGCTGAGTTGTAATATTTGAGCATTTATGTGCCAGGTCCTTTTTAACTTCTGATATTAAATACTACCTGTTGAGTCTGACCATGGTACAACAGTTAAAATCCCATAAGGACATTCTACCCTATCTGTAGTTCAAATCCCAGCTCTTTCCCTATTCACCGTATTAACTGGTTGAGTCACCTGATGGCTGTGTTTTCATTTCCTCCTATGTAAAAACAAAGACAAATGCTTTCTTATCAGGGTACTGGGAGGCAAAGGGAGAAGGCATACCTGAAAACACTCACAGTGTTCAGTATACAGAGGGCTCTTAGATGTCAGCCCCTTTCCTACCCACTAGCCTACCACCATGCTATAAATCCATGACAATTTTAGGAGAACAGGGTAGAAAAGAAGGTCATGCCACATTCCAGATTCAGAAGACACTATAAAAAAACACAAACAAAACAACCTTAGCTCCAAAGACAATAGACAATACACTGGAAGATTTTTATTTTTGGTATTTGTCACTTTTATTGCCACAATTTATACATAGCATAAATATATTTTTAAAATATATGCTATACTAATCATTATATTGATCCAATGAAGTTGTGCGCAATCAGCTGTATTATGATGGTCTAAACTGACTCTAAGTTCAAATAGACCACTATCTTAGTAAGCTTTCAACTTGTGTGTTTAAGATATTATGGTATTCATCAAAAAGATATATGTTTCCTTTCTTGCATAGTTTTCTCAAGGTGTAATAGGGAGTAAAGCAATATACAGCAACCTACCTAAGTCCACCAATATTTTCTTTTCAACACAGTTTGGAAGGAAATAAGACATTATCTTGATTTGCTCAACCTCTACATTAGGTATGTGAACCTAGAATGGTTAAGCTTCTCAACGTCAGGCTAAGGGCAAAGACAAAACCCAAATCTAGTTTTCCTGATGACAAGAACGCAATAAGCTCTTCTCAACAGACTTAGAAGGTCACACTCAAACTAACTCTTCTACCACTTGGGCATGTGAACTTTGTGTAGAAAGATATTCGTATGTCTTTGAGCAATTTTGACCCAGGAAAGAATCCTACCAGGTTGTGCAAGGCCTGCGCTTGGTGCTTTGCAGTGATGCAATTTGACCATTAGGTGGCAGGAGCCTCCAAAGAGAAAATTTAAGTTGGAAAAAAAAGGCATTGACTACATCTGTGCAAATATTGTATGTATGTGCAAGCATATTAAGTCCCCTCAATCTTTTTTTTTTTAGTATATGTGCTGCCAAAGTGAGCACAGAGTCCCCTCACTCTTTTGACTCTTATTCTAAGGGCACTGTAACTAGCCACTTATAGAATGAATCCTATGAGGACAAATTCTCCAATAAAGCAAAAGTTTATGGAACCCTCACCTTTTTTCCCTTTCTGCCTAGTGCTTTGCTTCCCCCATAAAGGAATAAGTGGGAGGGAAATATATATTGAGCATCCTGCAATGGGCTGGAACATTCAGCTCTTCTATCCGATTTAGCTCAACAAGCCAAATTACGATCCAACAGGAGCAGGAACATATTAATATCTTTGTTTCCTTTTTTGTACCTTTCGCTCGGGGTGTAAGATGCTGTAAAGTAATATATAGCTGCCTCCATGGGGCTATCACAGAGACCTGCTATTTTAAACCACCTAATTGGGTTTGTCATCTTTGTTAGTAAGATCTGGAAGGTGGGAAGTTTAAGAGGAGAGGGAAGACATTTAATTGGTGCTGTGTTCTATATATCTTTATGTAACTGCAGGCTCTTGAAAAAGGGGGAAAATCTTATATAAAGAACTTGAGGAAGTCTAATCAAGGGAGGATGCAGGCAAACGCTCCAATTGCACACAAACTCTGCTAGGAGTGTCACTGACGCGGCCATGACCGTGAACGAAAACTTGTTTCTAACAGGCTCATGTGGTCTCATGTTCTTGATGAGTCACAGTCCTTAAATGAGTGAAGTTTTTGCTATAACAAGGTTAAATAAACCCTCGCAAACAGCACAATTAGAGAAGAAAAATTTTCCCAAAGTGTGAAAAATGCGAAAAGTGAAAAAAAAAAAAAAAAAAGACAACCCATCTGCATTCAGGGCTTAAGCTTGAAAATTCTGTAAAAGCCCAATGTTGTGTGTAACTGAAAGCATCTCTGACCTAAGCTTTAGAAATTACTTGTTCCCCATTAAGTGCTTTGTCTCTAATGAATTATTGAACGTCTGTTGGGAGACTTGTTTTAAAAAAGCAGTTTGTGCTGTTTGTCTCTTGTGTATTAATCTGTAGATACCAGGAGCTCATGGTATCATCACCGAAGCCAAGTAGCTCACGGGTGGCCCTGGTGGTTGGTCTCTGTAGGGGTGGCACCTCAGGGCACTGGTTTCAGCCCAGGCACTGGACAGCCTCCGCCCAGCCTGGGGCTGCTGCCGCCCAGAGCTCACTGCAGTAGAGACTGCAGCAGTGGACTGGCACGCCCTGTTAAAGTCGCAGTGCTGAATTCCCTCCAGCCAAACTCCATCTTTGGCTGTGCCTGGGCAGGCTCTGGCACCATGGGAAAAAGGGCTGGTTTTCAGTAAGGGGTACCCTCAGATCTCAGGAGGATCCCAACCTCCAGGGCTGTAAAGTGTATAGGGCAGAAAGACGGTATTTTTAGGTTACATTTCTTCTTGGAATTCTTAGATTTGTGACTGTTGAAAACTCAGTCATATTTCCAGGGGGAAATGCCTTTCAGCTTCCCACCTGCGTATTCGAGCTCATTTTAAACTTTCTGAGAATCTCTGCCAAGGACTGTATTCCCTGCGCCAGTGACCACTGGGTCCCAGTGAAGTTATCTGTAAAAGGGGTAGTGAGATCCTGCGTTTTTGCACAACCTGCATCCTAAGAGAGTCTTGGGCAGGCCTCTTTATCCTCACAGGCCTCTTCCTCTCAGGCTGCCCTAAGCTCAACCTACCTGCTGTCTGCATTCAGAGCATCTGGTAAACCTGTTCACAGTAAAGCATCAGGAACTTAAGGAGTTATTCTTCCTGGGGGTACTTCTATTGTAAAAGAAACAAAAGCCTGGAAACTGTTTTTCTATCTCTCAGTAGTTAAATAAAGACAGTCTATTTATGCAGTGGAATTTGATAGAAGCAGGTCTACATTTACTGATGTGGACTCTTTACAAGAAGCAAGGAGCCAAGCAGGACAGCAGCTGGTGTTACATGCGTAGTCTAAGCATATATGCTTTTGTGGACACTGGGTAGGTGGGAAAGGCAGGTGTTGAACCTTACAGAGATTCAACAAGACAGAGGGAAGGGCATACATATTCAAGGTGAAAAGTGGAAAGAGAGCCCGGCATATTGGGAAACAGCAGAAACTTTAGTGCAGAAGGAGGTTAGGGAGGGCACAGGTGGTGGCATGGAGGCGAGGCTTTGCAGGGTCTGGGTTTGAGGCTTTGCAGGGTCTGGGTTTGAGGGCATTGAGCTCCTCCTGGTGGAGGAGCTGCCTGCTGCTCCCTCTGAGAAGAACAGAGAGCTTAGCTCCTGGAAGAGGGGCTAGGAAGTCACAGACCCAAAGTGGGTCAGGTTCCAGGCACTCTGATTAAGGACATGTGTTTTCTTAAAGCCCAAATACAATTAGGATGGTCAATAAACCTCTGTCCAGAGCCCTGTGGTCAGAACTAAAGGAAACATTAAACTGAGTAAGATGCTGTTACTGCCTTCCAGCCAGACAGATCCACAATAATGGCCAGCATTTATGTAGTGCTGACTGTGCGGCTAGACCTGTTTTAAGGATGAAATTAACTTGTATATTAGTATATTAACTCATTAAATCCTCATAATAACCACATATAAGAAGGATTAGTATTATTCCCATCTTGCAGACAAGGTGAATGAAGCACAGAGAGGTTAAGTAATTTGCTCAAGGTCACACAGCTAGCAAGTGCCAAATTGGGATTCAAACTCGGGGAACCTGGCAGCAAACTAGAATCTACTTAACACTATGGAATCCTGTCTCCATATGAATAAATAGACTTTGAGGTAGAAGAGAGTAAATGCCAGGAGAAATTAAAGTCCTATGAGATGCCAAGGAGGAGAGAAATTACATCCAACTGAAGAAGATTTTTTTAAAGTTAGCATTTGAGATGTTACCCGAAGAGTAGAAGGCCTTTCTGCAGGCAAGTTCAAGAGTGGATATTCCAGATGGAGGTAAATAATGTATGCAAATGAATCCTCCTGCTGTCCTCAGATATTACCATCTAAGTCTGATTTGTTTGCTATGAGAGTACTGATTTTTTTCTATTCCCTTTTTAATTATTACTTTTAATTTTTTATTCATGTACTTACCAGGAACTGGATCCTATTCCCTTTTTATCTTCATTCATTCATTCATTCATTCATTCATTCATTCATTATCTTCATTCATTCATACAATATATTCGAGCATTTACCATGTGCCAAGTATTCCCCTGGGCTGGACATTCACAATGCAAGGACAGCCTTTACCTATATTTTCCTCTGAAAACAAAAATAAATACTTCAGTGTTTCCTCCCCAGTTAGTGAGCATAAATGTAGACTTTCTGCAGCACCCCTTGCCCCTGACTTTAGTAAGGAGGGCTTCAAAATTGAGAAGAAGAAAGAAAAAAGATGAATTTAGGAGAGAAAAAGGGAAGGACAAAAAGCATTCTTGACTTGGCTATGTTAGTTTTCAATTCCTTTACAGTGCCAAGAAGCTGGAAGATTAGAGATTATAGATCACCTCAGGGGACCCTTGTCACTGAGTGCCTGGGAGAGGAATGCTGATTTTTTTTTTTTTTTAAGTACAGTTACCGAGAATAAGAGTGTAGCTCTGCATGTATTCACTGTGTGGCCTGGGCATGCACGAAGCCCCTGGATGCCTCAGTTAACTCATCTGTAAAATGGAGTTAAGGATAACACATATGCTGGCAGCACTGTTTGGGGAACCAAATGAGATAATAAGCATAAAGTGCTTGCACAGTGCCCAACATGGGGTGATTTGATAGAAGAGAGGCCAGAGAGGCTCACACAAGGGAGAGGTGAAGGATGCTGAGTTCAACTTTCACTTCACCTACTGCATAGTTTTGCCAGTTGGGCTCAATATATAACCACAGTGTGCCCCAATAAAAAGACGCTATGAGACAGGGCAGGTGCACTGGGCTTCTGATCCCCTGCCCTGCTGTATGAGTTTAGCCAGTCCCCTAATTTCTCTGAGCCCAGTTCCCTCTCATGCAAAAACAAGGGTAGTAATACTCCTCTGGCCAAATTATTGTGAAGACTTAAATGAAACAACATGCACACATGTGCTAGAAGTTGCCAGGCACCCAAGAAGAATTCAATGCATACCAGTCCTCTTCCTTTCTGACCCCAGACCAGGGCCATAAAGAGGGTGGAAGCGGTCACTTGCCTAGAATCTTCTTCCCAGGAGTGGGGCGGGGTTACTGCAGCAGCCCTGGGAAGTTCCAGCAGCAATCTCAGCCCTGGCACATTAGGACGGGCAGCAGCTGTTTCAAATATTCCTCGGATGGAGAATCGTTTTGGGGAGGAAGGGAGGCAGTCGTGGAAACCCAGAAAAGCACTTTTTGAGGAGTGTGGGGGCTGAGGAAGGGCGTAGTCACTGCAGTTGTCTGCGTCAGGAGCATCGGCAGAGAGGAGAGGCAGAGCTGGCTGGGCATCAGCTTGCAGCAAGTGCAGAAGGCTGGCCTGTGACAGATCTGGAGAGGAGATAGCAGGCCCCTGCTCTCAGAGGAAGAAAGGCCTTAGGAAAGAATGAGAAAGAGCCACCTAGGAAGGGGAAGATGCATCCAGAAGGCAGAGGGATGGCACATACGCCCCTTGAAGAAAGAGAAAAGCGTGCCTGGGTATGAATATAACATTCTGCAGAGTGGTGAAAACCTTTTAGGTGCAGGCAGGCGTGGTGTCAGGTTCCAATTCAGCTTCTTACCAGCCCCATGACCTTGGACAGTTCCCTTTACTGCTCTGAGCTTGCATAAAATGAGGATCACACCCAGTCTAGCAGTTGATAGTTTTTTGTTTTTTGTTTTTTTTTTAGAGGATGAAATGAAATAACCTGCACTCAAGTTTCTGTCACAGTTACAGGTGCTACAGTGCCTGGCGTGTAGTAGCCACTCAATAAATGAGAGTTACCAGTAGAAGTGTTGTTATTTCTACTATTAGGCATTCAGTACTAGTGCACCTCCATTTACTCTAATTACCTGCTTTTCTCAGGCTATGAACTCTTAGAGGTTAGGGAGTATATGTGATAGAAGCACAAAAAGGTATTGTGATTGCTGAATAAAGGAAGAGATTGGTTCTCAAAAAGCATAGTAGGCTGGGTGTGCTTGTTCATGCCTGTAATCCAAATACTTTGAGAGGCTGAGGCAGGACGGTTGCTTGAAGCCAGGAGTTCAAGACCAGCATGGGCAATATAAAAAATTTTAAAAATTAACTGGGTGTGGTGGTGTACACTTGTGATCCCAGCTACTTGAGAGGCTGAGGTGGGATAATTGCTGAGCCCAGGAGGTTGAGGCCGCAGCACACCATGATTTTGCCACTGCATTCCAGCCTGGGTGACAGAATGAGACTCTGTCTCAAAAAAAAAAAAAAAAGTCTAGTAGGTGATGGGGGCATATGTATATTTTAGAAAGTGTGTTTTAATTAGCCTGTGCTAGACAGTGGCATAGCTCTTGCCTTCAGGTAGCTCAGAGCTTTTTTGGGGGTGATACAGTTTTCACCCCTAACAAATGAACAAAGAGGTACACATGCCATATTATATTTTCATTAATAAATTGAATATATTTAATTGATTAATGTGTGTGTACAAAATATACAGTACCAAATATATGTACCAAGTGTATCAATATACACTACAGAATATATGTGTGTTCTGTGTGCACGTGGGGCTCTTGGAGGATAAGAGATTATAGAGACATTTGGATAAAATTAGCTGCAAAGCTTATGAACAAGATAGGAGAATGAGGAAGGCTTGGAGAGGAAAGGATTTTCAACAACAAATGAGGGTAAAGGGCAAGAAGATGGGAAGGATCAGGGTAGGGAAAACCAGGGGTGGCGAGAAGACTAGCCAGGTTGGAGGTGAAATTCCGTGCAGTCTCGAGGTCACAGAGGACCCTGAATGGCAGAGTGAGGATTCTTATGCTTTTCTTACATATGTCCTTAAGCCAAGGGTGGCATGATGACAGTGATGCTTTTAGCTGATTAATCTGGTATTGTAGTGCAGGAGCTATTAAAAAGGAAAAGAAGTCCTATCTGTTAGAAAGTTATTGCCACAGACACGTGAGTCCTAAATGCAATTGTGCTTACGTTCAATGTCAGTCAACTTTCTGACCCTTTGCTGTGTTCCCAGAACTATAGTGGGTGCTTTTATGCCTCATGTAGGATTTTTTTCCAGGTGTCAAAAACCTGCAAGGAAGAATGTTTACCCCTCTTTTATACATAAGGAAGTTCTGGCTCAGAGAGACTGTGTAATTTGTGAAACTTCTAACAGCTTGCAAATGACAGATGGTAGATTGGAAGTTGGGTCCTTTCATTTCTGACCCAGTGTTTTCTATTTTATACAATAGTTGACTTTCTTATTCGAGGACTCTGTGGCAGGTGATGGGTGGTGGAACTCATAAAAAAGAAAAAAATTTATCATTTTGAGGATCAAGAGAGGGTATCAGGAACTTGATGTCCAGATTGAACTGGAAGAGGCAAAGATTTCCATTGAATCTAGGGGAGAAAGAGGGCTTAAAAGATATTTTTAGTTTATTTATTTATCTATTTATATTATATTATGTTATATTATACTTTTTTAGAGACAAGGTCTCACTCTGTCACCCAGGCTGGGGTGCAATGGTTCTATCAGAGCTCACTGAATCCTCTAACCCCTGAGCTCAAGTGATCCTCCTGCATTGGCCTCCCAAATCACTGGGACTACAGGTGTAAGCCGCTGTGCCCAGCCTTAAAAGGTATTTTTAATCAAATACAAATGATTTGGGAAGCTGGATGGGAAAAAAGACTTTTTGCTTTGGTGTACCCATGAAAAGATGACCTGAAGATAAAATTTGAGAAAGAATTAGTGACTCTGAGGTAACCCACTGGAATTGCATGGTGGTAGTTTTTGCTTGTTTGTTTTTGTTTATTTTATTTTTTTTTGAGATAGGATCTTGCTCTGTTGCCCATGCTGGAGTGCAGTGGCACAACCATAGCTCACCAAAGCCTCAAACTTCTGGGCTCAAGCAATCTTCTTGCCTCAGCCTCCCGAGTACCTGGGACTACAGGTGTATGCCACCATGCCTGGCTAAATTTTGTATTTTCTGTAGAGAGGGGTCTTGTTTCGTTGCATAGGCTGGTCTTGAACTAAGCGAACTTCTTGCTGTGGCCTCCCAAAGGGCTGGGATTACGGGCATGAACCACTGTGCCCAGCCAGAATTGCATGATTAAAGAAGAAGAAGAAAAGAGCAGATAAGGAGTAAATCTAAAATGTGTTTGAATAATAGTATTATAAGACATGAAGTTTAAACATTTTAATGAAACATAAGGTGCACTGATATACCACTATAGAAAAACATTTTTAGTAAAATGATTCCTTGGGAGGAAATGAGATGCTATATAAGAAGCTGTGGTATATTAACTAGTTTCTTCCTCGGAAAAAAATTTGAACATAAATACTTATTTACCACTCAAAACCTTTAGTTTTGGATCCAGAATAGGGTATAAATTTTTTACTGTATAATATAAATAAATTATAGAATAACCTTCAAATCCTGTTTCTTTAGAATTTAAATGGGCTAGAATTTAAATAAATTCTTATTTTAGGCCCAAAACACTCAAAGTAGAAAGATTGATGCTGGGAGAGCAATTGAAATGTTGTCCTGTCTCTTGAAGTATAGGATTTTGTGTCAAAT
The DNA here is from genome assembly GCF_000001405.40 of Homo sapiens. Lineage (NCBI taxonomy): Eukaryota > Metazoa > Chordata > Mammalia > Primates > Hominidae > Homo > Homo sapiens. The sequence continues at coordinate 25,057,964 of NC_000008.11, read as the reverse complement.
GAGGCTGATGAATGTGGTCAGTTGAATCTGAACACTGAGGTTATAATTTACAGTGTTCCCTAAAGTCAATAAAAACTAGAATTTCCAGAGATTTTTGGACTCATATAAGGGTACTCTGCTTTACAATTGCAAGAAAAACAAAAATAGACAACTAGAACCTAATTAAACTAAAAAGCTTCTGCACAGCAAAAGAAGCTATCAACAGAGTAAACAGACAACCTACAGAATGGAAGAAAATATTTGCAAACTATGCATCTGGAAAAGCTCTAATATCCAGAACCTATAAGGAACTTACACAAATTAACAAGGAAAAAATAAACGGCTCCATTTAAAAATGGGCCAAGGACACGAACAGACACTTCTCAATAGAAGACAAATAAACAGTCACCAAACATATTTTTTAAATGCTCAACATCACTAATCATCAGAGAAACGCAAATCAAATCCACAATGAGATACCATCTTGCACCAGTCAGAATGGCTATTACTAAAAAGTCAAAAAATAACAGATGTTGGCAAGGTTGTGGAGAAAAGGGAATGCTTATACACTGCTGGTAGGAATATAAAATAGTTCAGCCACTGTGGAAAGCAGTCTGGAGATTTCTCAAAGAACTTAAAACAGAACTACCATTTGACCCAACAATCCCATTACTGGAAAGGAAAATAAATTGTTCTACAAAAAACAAACAAACAAACAAACAAATTATGCACTTTTATGTTCATCCCAGTCCGTCACAATAGCAAAGATGTGGAATCAACCCAGCTGATCATTAATGGTGGACCAGATAGAAAAATGTAGTACATATACACCATGGAATATTATGTAGCCATAAAAAGAACAAAATCATGCCACACGGATGGAGCTAGAGGCCATAATCCTAAGCATACTAACACAGGCATAGAAAACCAAACATCACATATTCTTGCTTATAAGTGGAGCTAAACATTGAGTACACATGGACACAAAGAGGAGAACTATAGGCACTGGGGCCTCCACCCTCAAGTACGGTGGGAGGAGACTGAGGGTTGAAAAACTACCTGTTGTGTACTTTTCTCCCTACCTGGGTGACGAAATCATTTGTACACCAACTCCTAGCAACATGCAACTTACCCATGTAACAAACCTGCACATGTACCCCCAAACCTAAAAAAAAAAGTTAAAAAAAATCATCTGTTTTATCCTCCAAACTTAATTGATAGGAAAACTAAATATTTATTGATTCTCTGGGAAGTATATTATGTTCAGGTGGAATGTATGGGGTTTGCACCAATCTTCAAGATTGATAATTAGGGAGAAAGCCTCGAGAGTAAACAAGTCTCAGGTGACAGAGGGAGGGGCTCTGAGGTCCAGGCCCACCTCTACTCCCTATAAAGTTCAGCATTTGCAACTTGGAGGATCAGGATTTGATTATCATTAAGGAGATTGGAAGTTACCAAGGTACATATGCAATATCAATTAGTATGATCAGTATGTTTTAAAAAGTCAACACTGTACAACCCCTGTCCTCCCATTCCCACCTACCAAACAGGACAGTGTTGAGCCACATCTGGAGATCTCAGGTGCTTCTCTTTGCCAAAAAGCTACCTGCCCACTGTCCCAGCCTGGGAAGGAAGGTTCAGAGCCTATCTCTGCAGCTTCTGTTTTTCCTGCAGCCCAGATTTGACACAATTCTTGACCTGACTAAACTAAGCCACTTGGCTTTCCTGGGTTTCCATGAAATTTCTCTATCATGTGAATTATGAGCTTTCCCCTATCATTTGACCTATGAGATAATGTAAGTGGCTTGAAACTGAAGAGGCTAACAATAATAGATAGAAAGCTGAGGGAGTCCTTACTCTGTGCTGTTCTTTCCCTTGCTAGGCCTCATAGGAGGCAAGTTAAGTTCATCTTCTGGCATCAAGGGGCCAGGGAAGAATGAGAGATGGATTGACCTGAAAGGCCTGCTCCATTCAGCAGAAGGCATTTGAGGGCATCTATCAGACACAGAGTATGTGCCAGGCATTGACCATGTAACATCTTGTTTGGTTTGGTCCTTGCATATCCCTAGGTGATGAGGTCAAAAGGCACAGTGATCACCCATTTCTTATCTGCACCCTAAATGCCTGCCACTCAGAGAAGACTTATAATAAACACTTGTTGAATGAAAAGTGAATGTGAATACGGGAAGATGGATTTTATCCTAGTATTTTTAGGCAATAAAACCGAGTTTCAGAGAGGCTTAAGTAACTTGCTAATAGCTTGTTAACAGTGGCTCGGCTGGGTGCAGCGGCTCACACCTGTAATACCAGCACTTTGGGAGGCTGTGGCGGGCGGATCACCTGAGGTCGGGAGTTCGAGACCAGCCTGACCAACATGGTGAAACCCCATTTCTACTAAAAATACAAAATTAGCCGGGTGTGGTTGTGCATGCCTGTATTCCTAGCTACTCAGGAGGCTGAGGCAGGAGAATCGCTTGAACCTAGGAGGCGGAGGTTGCAGTGAGCCAAGATCGTGCCATTGGACTCCAGCCTGGGCAACAAAGAGCGAAACTCTGTCTCAAAACAAAACAAAACAAAACAAAAACAAAAACAGAAAAACAGTGGCTTATCTGGGTTTCACTCCAGTCATTTGACTCCCAGGCTGGTGCCTTTCTGCTACATTGTGATGCATTTTCATGTTACCAGTGAACCCTTGTAGGCCGATTTTCTCATTGAGTTAGCTTCTAAGAGTGAGGCTAACCCTTCAGAGCACCAGAGAGCATTCGTCCAGAGGAAAGATACAAGGTAAATGCAGTGATGATAAAGTGGACCTCCAGAAACCTGGATGGATTTAGGGAAAAATAATCACCACCATTGACTAAGCCTACTATGTTTCAACCACTTTGAGGACCATTTCACATGGACATTCTTTTTTTTTTTTTGAGACAGAGTCCCACTCTGTCACCCAGGCTGGAGTGCAGTGGCGTGATCTCAGCTTACTGCAAGCTCCACCTCCCAGGTTCACGCCATTCTCCTGCCTCAGCCTGCCAAGTAGCTGGATCTACAGTTGCCCACCACCACGCCCGGCTAATTTTTTGTATTTTTAGTAGAGACACGGTTTCACTGTATTAGCCAGGATGGTCTCGATCTCCTGACCTCGTGATCTGCCCACCTCGGCCTCCCAAAGTGCTGGGATTACAGTTGTGAGCCACCACACCCAGCCTACATGGATGTTCTTACTGAATCCCAACAACTACCCTATGAGATAGGCATTACTGTTCCCATTTTACAATGGAGAAAACAATGAGGCACTTTATAGTTGGGTAACTTGCCCAAGGTTTCACAGCTGGTCAGTGACAGAGTTGAGATTAGAACTCTGGTCTGTCTGGCTCTAAAGACCTGTGCTATTCTCAATACAACAAGGTATGAAGGCACTCAGATAGCCTACCTAAGCTTTGGTTTTGATGGAAAGACATTCAACTCAATCCAGCAAATACTTACTGAACATCCAGTGACACTAGATTAGACAGTAAAAAATATGAAGGCAAACTGCTTTCAGGGAGATTATAATGTGGAGATATGACAGGGTATGGCCTAGGATAGGTGTTCAATAAATATGAGTTTGGTGAAGGAACAAATGATGAATGAATGATATAGCTGACTATAACTTAGAAGAAATTCTATTAGAAAATTGTAGCTCAAAATTCATGAGAGGACATGCATTGTAGCTCTAAGATCATGTACCTCAAAGGGATATTAAATATCATGTTGTCTAATCCTTTGTTAGAGGAGGAAACTGAGGCTCACAAACAGGAAGTATTTTGCCCAAGGTTTTATAGTCAGCTAACAGCAGAGTGTGGACTAACACAGTCTTCTGACTAATTTAATCCTCTACGATTTGAGTTCTTCCACTTCCCACCTTTCACCATGCCCAAATTGCACTTCTATCTTCCCTCTGCATGTAACCATGAAAAAGCTATTGTCATGTCCTTCCTTAGACAGAATCTTTTTATCTTCTTGGACCTCAGGGGAATGCATGCATTAGCCGACAGGAATTGACTACCTATCAATCATGAAGAGAAGGTTCTTTGGAAAGAAATGAGTCATTCCTGGGGATTGAACTTTTAATACATGAAAGTTCATTGATTTGCTATTATGATTCTCCTGATATCTCTGAACATGTGCACACATGTGCAAGCACACACATACACAATACCCAACAGTGCATCTGTACTGAAAACCAGGGGCATTGGAGAGACCGGATTCTACTACAGCAGCATGGAAAAGACTGTTCAGGCCAACAGCTGACTCATTCAAGGAATCCTTAGAATTCTCTACTGTTCTTTCCATTCCTTCCTCTCTTATCACTCTTTCCCCACAGATGGTAACCTCTCCTCATGTGTCACTTTCTACTTACCCTAATTAAGATTCTACTATTGAAGGTGGCCAGGAATGGTTTCAATAACATCACAATCTCCAGTAATTTTTAATTTCCACTGCCTGACAGTGCAGTGGTGCTCAACATCATAGTATTATTTTTCCTAAGTATCCACATTAAATCTTTTCTTCAAGAAAATGATGAGTGTTTTTAGTGATTCTCACCCGCTTCCCTGTTTATCATATGATCTATAAAAATGCTTCCTATGATGAAAAGCCTCAGCACCAGGTAGTCAAACCATTTATTAAAATAGGTTAAACATTGCAGATAAGAGAGCTGTCATAACCCGTGCAAAAAAACCAAAGCCGTCAGATGCAAGGTTGTAAAAGAAGTGTATTTTGATTTCAATTCTTTAGCACTGAGCATTTTTTAAAAAGACCAGTTTCTAGGTTATACTTGCATGCCACTTAGCAAATATTTACTAATAGCTGGTTTTGTGGTTTTACATCTTATTGTTTACTGAGAGAAGACTCTTGAACAAATAATTTCAATATCATGGGTTAGGTCCTTGGACACAGACATAACACAACATGTTTCTCAAGTTAGCCAGGCAGAATGGGGAAGGCAGGGGCTTTCTGGCACTGTGATTCCTTCATGGAAATTGTCCACCTCCAGGAAACAGAGAGAGCACACTTCAGCTTATAGATGTTTGAGCAGGGTTCTCCTTCCTAGCCTTTAGGAATGAGCAGGGGTAGCCCCCTCTCACTGCATCAGTGGACACAAGACCAACCCTTGGGTCTGCTGTCTCACTTTCAGATTCCCCATTCAAAAAATGGGGACCAAAGTCATTGTTCTATCCAATTCATCTGAATAAAAGGAAATACTGCAGTAGCATCCAGGAAAAAGACAACCACAAAAAATACCTCTATCAGGTGAGGCCCTCTAGACATGGTGCTTCCTCCTAGCCACTTACACCATCTCATATGGATAACTCTGGTCCATTTGAAAACCCCTAGCAAAGAAGACTTAGCAACTCCTTTCACAAGGGGCAGGATGCAGCCCAGTGCAGAGGGGTGAGTGCTGGCAGTGGCGTCAGGGCCACTGATGAAGCCACATGACTCAACCAGAGAGGGCACTCAATTCTGCCTGCAGACAAAGTTTCCAGGAGGAGAACTTACAACAAGCTGGGGAATGCTGTGCTTCAGAGTAATGGAGGCAATTGATTTGTTCAAGTCCATTAGCCTAATTCTGCCCGGAGATATTGATCACGTGAGAATGGCACCCCATTACTGGAGGTGTTTCATTACTTTCCCTTAGGATGGTCAGAAATATGAAAGAAAAATATAAGCTCCACTGAAAAGAAACTCATTTCTGGGCCAGAGGCATCAGGCATGGGAGGTGACCCATGTTGAACGTTGAACTGGCCAGCAAGACAGGCATTTGCTTCATCCTATCAGGGACTGTAATTTACCATGCTCAGAACAAAGAGGCTTTTGACTGCCTGGGTAAGAAGAGAACTTGATGGGCTTTTACAGAAAGCTTCCTAACTTCATGGCCTGTAAATGCTTTCAGGCCATTGCATGTTTTCTCTAGAGAGCCCTACAAATCCATCATCCGTCTCCTTTCCTTTCGTCTTTACAAAGAAATAATCTAATAACGGATCTCCCGTTAGGCCCACATACTGTTAATCACATGTGGGGAGGTGACCAATTGGCCTGGATTAACATAATTAATCTTTAAATCATACATATTCAATAGGCTCTAAAAAGCATCTGGGTACCTCTTTAAAAATTGTTAGATGATCAAATTAATACCAGCATAATAAATTAGAACTGCATCTGCTCACTTTGAGAGGGGGCTATTCTCCTTAAAAGCAATGTTTGTAAAAGACAGTAAATCCCACTGGACCTAAGGAAAAAACATATTCTTTGGTGGAATTAATTGTCAAGAATAGCATATTTGCTGGATATTAGAGTCCCCTGTTGGGGTTTCCAGATTCAGCTGAGCACAGAGAGAAGCCATCTGCATTTGTAACTAGTAAACCTTCCAGAGAGCTTATCTGCAGCATCATGGGGACAGATGAATAAACTATAAACTATAGGCATCTATAGTTGAATGTTCAGTTTCAGCTGATTAATCTATAATAATCAAATTACCTAGAGTTACTTAGCTTTATGCTATTTAGACCCAGGCTTATTAACATCAAAGGCTCTTTCACAAATTCTGCTTTATAAGTACTGAAAATAAAGGAGTGTGTGTGGTGGGTGGTAATGGATCATAAAGCTTAAGCTTGCAGGAACCCAAAGCAAAAGGCCAGATGTCGGGCTAGAAGTACAATCCCATATCTTATGAATTTGTAGCCTTTTATCTATCCTCATAGCCGCAGGGTTTGAAGTAAAGGGCAAGCAGGAATATGCCTATGAACATTCACCTTTGTTTTCACTAATTATTGTCTGCTAAGAACAAGACATTGGGTGATGTCTGCAATTAGCTAAAAGCTCCCATGGTCTGTCACCTTCTTCAAGCCAAAGTCAATTCCTCTTAACAAATTGAAATTTCAAAGTGGCCACTGCAGCATGTGAGACCCAGTCTGCAGGAGATCTGATACTGAATGCTAATGGCATGCAGCAAAACACTGCAGCAGGGCGGAGGTTGTCAGGCAGAAGCAGGGAGAGATTATGCTATAACAGGGGCTTTTGTTCAGAATGCAATTCAGAGGAGCCCTACCTCGGAAGTTAATTCATACATACATCAAAGTAATTCATTTCTATTATTAAGCAGCACTCACCCCAGGTTGCTATTTACAGAGGATTCTTAAGTCTAAGAGAAACTGTTAAATAAAGCTTCATCCCAGTCCTCATCTATACATCATGCCTGTGCATTTTAACTATGTCATGTATGGATATTGAATTATAAGCCCCTTCTATGTCATGTATGGATATTGAATTATAAGCCCCTTTTTACCTGGACAATGTGACTTTTACATAGGCCGGCCTTGATCTTTAAGATCAACCTAAACATCTCTTTAGATAAAGATCTTAAACTCAGAGAGCTGGCAGGGACCTTAGAGAGGTCATCCACCCACTTGAATAATAGAAACAAGAGAACAGAGGCCAAAATGTATAAATGATTGACCTAAAACTACATGGCTGATTGTCCCAAATGTCCCCATCTCACAGCTCTCAGTGTAGGATTCCATCGGCTTCAGCTAGAATGAAAGGATGCGTCCCTTGGTCTCTCTGGCTTTGAGACTGACACCGCTGAGTAGAGTACAATACATGCACAGACACACATGGAAAGAAAAGGATGACATCAAATGAGGTGTTCTTTCTAGCTGGAAGTGATTTTTAACCTTTATTGTGCTACTCTTTATTTTCCAAGTTTTTGATAACGAACATATCGTTTTGAGAATTCAAAAGAAAATAATAAATCACGTTGAAATAAAGGCCTGTCTCAGGCATCCCTCCCACTGGGGAACCCTCTGGCCTCTCTGCTGGCTGTACATCCCTGCACAAAGCTTCCCTGGCAGTTTGAGGGTACCATGGTCACTTGCCACAGTGTTTTATAATCCCCTATAAGTGTCTGTTTCATTAGGTCATGGGCTCACTCTGGTGGGGGCCGTAGCTCCCTAGCTTCTTTGTATACACACAGAAATGTCTATTTTATAGGGGGCTTAGGAAGGATGTTTGTTGAATGAGTCAGGGACAGAATTCATGAGTAAATGTCACCAGACAATGAATATCTTCATGGTGGCTTTGTGTTCAAGTTGGTTTCAATAGCATGAAAAGCTCCCCGCTTTGGAAGCTATTATCACTGTCCTCTCTTTCCTGGAAGGGAAATACATCCCCAGACTCCTATTAAGGGGGACGCTCTGCCTTGCCCTGACTTTAGCTAGAAGACATTTCTCAGGATATACTGTTCAATCCCTGAGAGGACCCTACATGAATTTAGCTTTGGGATCTTAGAAAACTTTATTATTATTATAGCCCCAGAGTAAGATTTTCATTTGCAAATAAGCCAGACCCCAGCCATCCATAACAAATACTTCATTTCTCCTGAAGCCTGCTGAACATTTGTAATCTCATTGCTTTTTTTTTTTTTTTTTTGAGACGGAGTCTCACTCTGTCACCCAGACTGGAGTGCAATGGTACAATCTCGGCTCACTGCAACTTCCGCCTCCCATGTTCAAGCGATTCTCCTGCCTCAGCCTCATGAGTAGTTGGGACTACGGGAGCACACCACCACGCCTGGCTAATATTTGTATTCTTTTTTTTTTTTTTTTTTTTTTTTTTTAGTAGAGATGTGGTTTCACCATGTTGGCCAGACTGGTCTTGAACTCCTGACTTCAGGTGATCCACCTACTTCAGCCTCCCAAAGTGCTGGGATTACAGGCATGAGCCACCACACCTGGCCCCATTGCATTCTTTTACCCTTATTTGGCCCCGTGGATGAAAAGAGACTAGATCCTGTAGACTAGATCCTTGAGATTTGCATAAGTGGCAATGCCAGACATAAAATGCAGGCAGCACCACCACTCGCGGGCAACATCTTGTTCTGATGCCACTCAAAACATCACTTTGTTTCTCGCAGCCATGGAAGAGCTACGCTGCCTCACATAAACTGCTGCCTAATTAGAGCACCTATTACTGGACTGTGGTCTGGTCATTAAAAAAATAATAATAAAATAACAAAATCAGTAAGGGTAGGCCAGTTTGTGATTTTAAATTAAGTACTATAGTAAAGAATATATACCTTTCTTTCTCGCCCCTGCTAGGCAGATACTTTTTATTCTCTGCACAGCTTTGCAAAGAAAATTGCTGATTCATTCTATTCTTCTTCTCACTGTCTCCAGGATGAGAAATTATAAATAATTGACATTAAGATATCAAGACAAGCAGTGGTTTTGAATTTGTTGCATTCCTGGCCTGAATTGCTTTTGTGACTCTGAATTAAACTGAAAAGGCCACCGATGACTGCTGTAAGCTTTTAGTGTGGTCAGAACTAGCCAATTTGCTGCAAAGTCCTAGTGCTGAAGGTTAAATAAATATTTCATAGTACCTGTAGCTGGGTATGTGGAGCACAGACATTTTCAAGGACTGAGACTAAAATTTAAATAGAGATTCTGTACTTTCTTTGAATAAAAAGCTTAGGTAAGCCTCAGGAACCAAAGATGTGGTTGGATTGCTGGTTCCTCTGGTATTTAGGAAAGGTACAAGTTTTAGATTAAAGCAGATTTTAGTCACTGATTAGAGGAATTCTTAAGGCAGCTGTCCTGTGACGTCAGTGTCATCTGAGACTTAAGAAGCTCTTAGGAATTGCCGAATCACTAGAAGGTAGATTGATACATGCCTGGTGAACCCCAGACTGCCAGATCCAGCATGAGAACAAAAGAGGGGAAAATAAAAGAAGACTTGGTGGGAAAGAAAATAGTGGGAAGGAAATGGAGACCCATCTTCATGTTCCCTCTCTATTTCTGTCCCTCCCGTTCCTCTGTGTTGGTTCCTCTTTCTCTCTCCGGCATCTCTCTTTCTAATCCACCCACATGTCACTCCCTATATACTCCTAATTTCACTTCTAGACTCTTTCCTCTTCATTTGCTCTTCCCTATCATTAGGCTGTTTTGCATTTGTAATATAAGATTTTGGCTTAACTAAACGTAAAAGCCGAGAGGATAAAGAGAAAAATGCAAAGTGTTATGGCTTTAGTGAATCTTCTATTCAAAGAGATAATCATTTAATGGAAGATAGAAGATGGGAAACACCAATGCTTCCACATCCCCCTTACAATCCCTCGGAAAAAGTTGCTCGTTGAAGGCACCCTTTCCTGAAAAGCCTCAGAGTCTTTCTTGACCCTGCACACTTTGTAGCCACAACCAACTTCTCAGAGTTGGCACATGCAATAAAGCCACTTTGTTAACCTTAATTAAATAATTTCGCTGAAGCTGCATGGGTTGATTTCAAGTGTCCGCTTTCAGACCACTCAGGGCATCACTAGTACCTTTCATCAAGGTAGCAGCAGTACATAAAGCAAACAATTGATTGCACCAGACAAGCATGGACCCATATTGTGATTTGCTAATTGTTGTGATTTGCTAATGTCCTGCTATTGGATTTGTTTCATAGAGATAATTATACTTATTTGTTGGAGCCCTCAAACTACTTTGTAAACAAATAAACAACACTTGTTCAGTGTTTATAATTCTGCTTTTTGCCTTCAACTGTTCTCCTCTAGAGTCTGAATCTCACAAGTTAGACTCTTGGCACCACCAGCTTAGATTATTACCAAGTCTATAGTCCCAAATGGAAATGTCTCCTCCCAAAGGGGACAACCAGTTGCATGTGACGTTCTTCACAATGTCTAAAATAAGGTGGTGTCTTGGTCTATTTGGGCTGCTATAAAAAAAAGTCTTAGACAGGGTCATTTGCAAATAACAAAAGTTTATTTCTTGGCCAGGTGTGGTGGCTTGCACCTGTAATTCTTGCACTTTGGGAGGCCAAGGCAGGAGGATCACTTGAGTCCAGGAGTTCGAGACCAGCCTGGGCAACAAGCAAAACCCATCTCTACAAAAAATACAAAAGTTAGCCAGGCATCATGGCCCATGCCTGTAGTTCCAGCTACTCAGGAGGCTGAGGTGGGAGGATTGCTTGAGCTCAGGAAGTCGAGGCTGCGGTGAGCCATGATGGCATCACTGCACTCCAGCCTTTCTGACAGTGTGAGACCTTGTCTCAAAAAAAAAAATTTTTTGTTTGCAGTTCTAAAGGCTGAGCAGTCTAAGATCAAAGTGCCAGCCGATTTGGCGTCTGATGAAGGCCTGTTCCTCACAGACAGCACCTTCTTGTTGTGTCTTCACATGGTTCAAGAGGTGAACACACTCCCTCAAGCCTCCATTTTTTTTTTTTTTTTTTTTTTTTTGAGACGGAGTCTCGCTCTGTTGCCCAGGCTGTAGTGGAGTGCAGTGGCGCGATCTCAGCTCACTGTAAGCTCTGCCTCCTGGGTTCAGGCCATTCTCCTGCCTCAGCCTCCTGAGTAGCTGGGACTACAGGTGCCTGCCACCATGCCCAGCTAATTTTTTTGTATTTTTTAGTAGAGACGGGGTTTCACCATATTAGCCAGGATGGTCTCGATCTCCTGACCTCGTGATCCACCCACCTCAGCCTCCCAAAGTGATGGGATTACAGGCATGAGCCACCGCGCCTGGCCCTCAAGCCTCTTTTTTAAGGGCACTAATCCCATTCATGAGGGCTCCACCCTCGTGACCTCATCAGTGCATAAGGCCCCACCTCTTAATACTATTACATTGGGGATTAGGTTTCAACATACGAATTTTGGGGCCACACAAACATTCAGACCATAGCATTGGGTCTCTGAGCTCCCATTCTCAAATCTACACTTGATTGACATGGTTTATGCTGAAGGGTATGCCTATCTCTCTTCCTGTCTCATTCTTCACTTTTAACCCTTGACATCTGGGTCCCAGTTCTGACACCGTATTATAGCAGCTCTTCTGGAGGACACCAGTGGTGCTTTATAAATCAATCTATTCTTAACTCTTAATTATCTTGAATTTTGGCTGAATCTGACACTATTGATTCTTCCTCCTTTCCCACAGCCCTTACACACCTCTCGCTACTCCCTGTCTCTGTGAAACTCTATCCTCCTTTGGCTCTCATTACATTTCACTCTTTCAGTTTTCCCACTATTATTCTGACTGTTCCCTCAGTCCCCTGAACTGATTCTTTGCTCTTCCTTCTTGGTCTGAGGATGCTTGTTTCATTCTCATGACTTCAGTTGTCATTGCTACTCTATTGACCCTAAAATGTATAAGTTGTGTTTCAAATGTGTAGATACATTCTATTCCATCACAGAGCAACATATTGAATACCCACCTTTAGACACTCCTGTATCTCCAAGTCAGTTTTCCTATCCAAACCTTCATTTTTATCTTTAAGAGTCTGTGGGTTGTTTCACTTGCAATGTTCAAGGCACCCCAATCCAATATGACTGTACTCATTACCTTCTTCTCCCAAAAAGATCCAGTCTCTTCCTTTCCACTGTTAGTGGCATCATCATTTTGCAAGTTACTCAGATTTAATGATGTAAAACATCCTATGACATAAGCCTACATTTCCTTCACAATTTCTTGTATCCACAGCTTCCCCAACCCATTTCCATTTGTTGATTTTCAGGCCTTCTGACCACTTGCCCAAATTGCTGTAACTTTCATGCTGCCCTAGCAGATTGTTGCCTCTTTTTCTCTCATCTACCTAAACACATTGCTATGATTTCAACATGTCCCCCAGAATCCATGTGTTGGAAACTTAATCCCCAGTGCAACAGTAGTGGGAGGTGAGACCTAATGGGGATGCTTAGGTCATAAGGTGCTGCCCTTATGAGTGGATTAGTGCCATTATGAAAGAGGCTTATAGAAGTGGGTTTGCTCTGCTGAGTGCCTCCTCTTCCACCTTCTCCCACATAATGATGCAGCAGAAAGGCTCTCCCCAGGTGCTGGTACCTTAATCTTGGACTTCCCAGCCTCCAAAACTGTGAGACAACAAATTTCTCTTCATTATAAAGTACCGTTTCTCAGGTATTCTGTTATAGACTGAGACACACATGTTACACCATGTCTATTCCCCAGCAAAGGACATTTAGGAGATCTGTATGTATTATTGCTTTATTATTTCATGCCAAAGTGTCACACTCTGCTGTTTAAGACCATTTCCAACATTATTGGACAATGTTGACAATGTTGTCAATGTTGTCAACCTTTCCAACCTTATTTACCACTCTCCCTCAACTTGCATCATCTGACTTAGTCAAGTGGCCTCACTGCTCCACTCACTCTCCATGCTCAGTTCTACCTCCATGTTGTGTAATGACATCACTTGCACCTAGAGTGTCCCTTCACTGTTGTCCACCTAGTCAAATTCTAATCATCATCTAAGGTTTTGTTCACATGTCGCTTCTCCTGTGAAAACTTTACTGATTATTCCCACTCTATTTATTGTTGGTACTGTGCAATTAATCACTAATTATTCTCTCGCTTATGTTTGGTAGTTTTATCTCTCATTTTAATTATAAATTCCTTGTGGGAGGGGTCCTTTCATCTAGTTCTCGCACTCCCCATGGAGCTCAGCATAGTTTTAGAAAATAATATGTGTTCAATAAATCTTTCATTGATTTACTACTCCTTAATTTAACAAACACTCATTTGACTGAATAAATTGTTGGGTGAATAAATCGAAGTTTGGCTGATTGATTGGTTCTGTTTATTGAATCCATTCAATATTGTGCTCAGTTTTCTGCACTCTAATTTGGGCAGTGAGGGATGCTTAATATTTTATTTCCTTCCACCTCTAAACAATTCCTAGAATGGACTCCCATAAATAAATTTTTGGGATCAAAATATGTCTTCAGTCACTTCCAGGTGCAATTTTAGGGAGCAGAATTTTAGTATCTGTGTGTTAAGGACAGAGCAAGCCAAATGATTTTTGCATTGAAACATCGAAGAGACAGTATAAATCTTAATGAAAAGGTAACTTAAACTCTGGCTCTCTTCCTTGAAGTGACATATTAAACACCAGATCATTTTTTCTCTCTTTTTTTAAATTTTTATTTATTTATTTTTTTGAGATGGAGTCTCATTCTGTTGCCCAGGCTGGAGTGCAGTGGCGTGATCTTGGCTCACTGAAAGCTCCGCCTCCTGGGTTCACGCCATTCTCCTGCCTCAGCCTCCTGAGTAGCTGGGACTACAGGCATCTGCCACCACACCTGGCTAATTGTTTGTATTTTTAGTAGAGACGGGGTTTCACCACATGAGCCAGGATGGTCTTGATTTCCTGACCTTGTGATCTGCCCACCTCGGCCTCCCAAAGTGCTGGGATTACAGGCGTCAGCCACCGTATCTGGCCTTTTCTCTTTATTTTTTAAGAGAAGAATACTATTTCTGAAACCAGAACAAGTGGTACTGCCAATCTGGGTTCTACTTAGTACCCAATGGATTTTAGAGAGTAAGTGAAAAATGCAGTAACACTGGTGTTACTACTTTGCCTTCAAGAGCTTTGTGTCTTCCAAAATCACGCTGTCCTTTATCCAACAAAGTCTATGTGTTGCTAAATGTTCTCACCTTATTGTTTAATCACTCACATTGCAATATCAACTTTCTTATGGGCTGAATTATTTCCCTCTAAATCCACATGCTGAAGTATTATCCCCAGTATACCTCAGAATGTGACTATATTTGGAGATAGGGACTTTACAATGGTGATTAAGTTAAAATTAGGTCTTTAGAGTGGGCCCCAATTAATTCTGACTATTCTTATAAGAAGAGGAAATTTGGACACCCAGAGAGACACTAGGGATGTGTGTGTACAGAGAAAAGACCCTGTTAAGACACAGAGTGAAGGTAACCATCTGCAGGCCAAGGGGAAAATCCTCAGAAGAAACTGACCCTGCCCATACCTTCATCTTGGACTTCTAGCCTCTGAAACTGTGAGAAAATAAGCTTTTGTTGTTTAAGCCATCCCATCTATTGCGTTTATATGGCAGCCTGAGCAGAGGAATGTAAGCATGTATACCGCTGTCTCCATACTGTGCTGAGAGCTCCATGAGAGCAGTGATCAGATTTCATGCAGATTTGCAAATGCTTCACACAAAATTGATAATGACTGAACTTACACAGTGTCATGGAAATGAACTTGTAGCTTGTTTGACTAATTAAAAAGCTCATTCTTGGTGTTGCCTGAATGCTGTGTGCTCAGGACTATTCTATATATTCTGGCTAGTCCCAGAGTGAGTAAAACACAGACCCTACCTCTAAGGAAAGCATTTTTTACTGACCATTATGAAAAGTGTGCAATGTCCTAAAGATATCCTCTATGTATGTTATATAAAGATATTTTTAATATACATATGTATGTATATATATCATAATGTTAGGTCAATGTGTAGTTTATAAGATGGAAAGTGGTCATCACATTGTAGATGTAACTATTATGCTAGTACTGCCTCACACAACTTCACACACACACATATATATATATATATATATATATTTTTTTTTTTTTTTTTTTTTTTTTTGAGACAGGGTCTGGCTCTGTCACCCAGGCTGGAGTGCAGTGATGTGATCTTGGCTCATTGCAACCTCTGCCTCCTGGTCTCAAGCCAACCTCCCACCTTAGCCTTCTGAGTAGTGGGACTACAGGTGCATGCCACTAATGTCTGGTGAATTTTTGTATTTTTTGTAGAGATGGAGTCTCACCATGTTGCCCAAGCTGGTCTCAAACTCCTGAGCTCAAGTGATCTGCTAATCTCAGCTTCCCAAAGTGTCAGGATTACAGGTGTGAGCCACCGTTCCTGGCCAGGAAGCTAATTTTTATTCTCTACAAATTATACTATTGTTCCAGTGTCCTGCTTGGCCTTTTTTCCTTTTCCTTCTTTCTTTTCCTTCCTCCTCCTCCTCTTCCTTCTTCTTCTTTGCATTGCAAAAACCTCTATGAATCTACACTTCATCTGCCAATGTTCTCTTCGGTAAATTATTTCCAACAGAAACAGAAATGTCCAGGTTATCTCATAAAGAAAGCAGAACTCTGGAGGCCAAATAAGTGAAAACAAACATTCTTTGCATCTGCCCAGCCCAGGACTAGGAGCTATGAGACATGCTTTAATTGTTTAGACTATAGTGCATATGTGTTGCATGCTTTCTAAATATTTAAAACCCAGTGATGGAGATATTTCTGAATAATGTATTTCATATAGGTAATATCTGAGTCAATGATGTAGGGTAATGGTTCTGGGATCCCCAGTTCTAGAAAATGCCCATGAGTGGGATGCAATCAGTAGTTTCATGTAGTATGTCAGATAGCACTTCTCTAATACAAACAGGAGCAGTGATTCCTAGCTTCACAACTTGAGAAGACAGACATGACAAGTCTTCAATCATCTTATTGAAAACAAAAAAAGTCACGGGAGTTTGGCATAGATAGTGGGAGCACTTATAGTGTGATTAGATCTACACCATTTATGTGTCATGACCCATGTAAGTCGGGCACCATTCCATTTGGCTAAAACACGTGTTCAAAACCTGAGAGTCATGAAACTACTTCAGTGCTGCTAGGAAAATGCTGAGGCAACTGGTGACTGCTCTGTGAGGTCCAGAGATCTTCAGGGTAGGAAACTGGCCCTTTGGTAGGGTACTGTGAAGTGAAAACCTACCAGATCATGATTTTGAATGCTGCAAAACCTACCAGATCATGGTTTTGAATGCTGCAAAACAGAACTAAATTTTAACCTCCCTTTCTTCTAATGTAAACCTTAACTGATATTGCCCTTAGAAAAACTGTACACATGCTAATAGCAAATAATAAGAATAAAAATCCTCTTTTACAGGGACTTTTGGGCTTGTTAGGAACCAGGGGTACCATTAAGAGACAATTCCGGTATCTCATGGATGTGAGGAAGCAGAGCTAATAATAACATAACATAAAGTAACATGCAGACATATGAGTTGAAAGTAAAAAGATTAAAAAAGATATACCATGAAATCACCCAAAGAAAACAGAAGAAAATAATAAAGAAAAGTGAAGAAATCAGTGAAATATAAAAATGGGAAACAATTTTTAAAAATCAACAAAAGCAGAAGTTGATTATTTGGAAATTGTAATAAAATTGCTTAATAATTTTTTTTTCTTTTTTTTTTTTTTTGAGACGGAGTCTCGCTCTGTCCCCCAGGCTGGAGTGCAGTGGTGCTATCTCAGCTCACTGCAAGCTCCGCCTCCCGGGTTCACGCCATTCTCCTGCCTCAGCCTCCCGAGTAGCTGGGACTACAGATGCCCGCCACCGCGCCCGGCTAATTTTTTGTATTTTTAGTAGAGACGGGGTTTCACCGTGTTAGCCAGGATGGTCTCAATCTCCTGACCTCGTGATCTGCCCTCCTCGGCCTCCCAAAGTGCTGGGATTACAGGCGTGAGCCACCGTGCCCAGCCTATAAAGTTTTGTTAATAAATCTAACAAAAGCCCCTAATCTAGAAAAAAGAGAAAACACAAACTAGTAATAACTGGAATGAAAAATGGAACATGATTACATCTTATAGACATTAAGTAATAAAAAATATATAACTAATGTCAATAAATTTAACAACTTAGAATAAATGTAGAAATTCTTTGAATACACAACTTTCTGAAACTTATTTAAGAATAGAAAATCTGAATAGTCTTGTATCTATTAAAATTTAAAAAAAAGATTAAAATTTCACAGAGAAACTCTGGGACCAAATGTCTTTACTGATGAATTACAAAAGCAAAACAAAGAAACAAACAAACAAAAAAAAAAAAACAAAACAAACATTTGATGATGGAAAACTACCAATTTTACATAAATTATTCCAAAAAACAAGAAGAGAGAACATTTCCCAATGCATTTTATGAGGACAGCATAACCGTGATACCAAAACCTGATAAAGACATTATAAAAAAGAAAATTATAGTCCAGTATTCCTCATGAATATATATATGAAAAGTTCTCAACTATTATTAGCCAGTCAATTCCAGCAATAATATAAAAAAGATAATACATAGTGGTCAAATAGGGTTTATCTTAGGAATAGAAATTGGCTTAACATTTGTAAATCAATCAATGTACTTTACCATATAAACAGAATAGAGGGGAAAGTATGATTATTTCAATATATGCAGAAATATCATTTGATACAATTCAACAACTGACCTTGGTTAAAATTCTTATGAAACAGGGAATGGAAGGAAGTTTCTTCAATTTGATAAAGAATATCTGTTAAGGTTGAGTGCAGTGGCTTATGCCTGTAATTCCAGCACTCTGGGAGGCCCAGGCAGGTGGATCACCTGAGGTCAGGAGTTGGAGACCAGTCTGGCCAACACGGTGAAACGCTGCTTCTACGAAAACACAAAACTTAGCCGGGCATGGTGGCACGTGCCTGTAGTCCCAGCTACTCAAAAGGCTAAGGCACAAGAATCGCTTGAACCCAGCAGGCAGAGGTTGCAGTGAGCCAAGACTGCACCATTACATTTCAGCATGGAAGATAGAGTGAGAGTCTACCTCAATCAAAAAAACAAAAAAAAAAAGAAAAAGAATCTATGAATATCTGTTAAAATCCTAATATACTTAATGGTGCAATATTAACTGCTTTCCCTCGAAGATCTGTAAAAAGAAGTGATGTCTGCTCTTACTGCTTCTATTCAACATAGTACTGGAAGACTAAGTGGTGGAAGTGGAAAAGTACCCCATGAGAAATAAAAGAGGCAAAAGCTGAAAAAGAAGAAGCAAAGATACCTCAATTGGGAGCTGACATGTTTCTGTTAGGAAATTCCAAGACATCTATAAGCCACTTGAACCAATAAGTAAATTTAGCAAAATTGAGGAATATACATCAATATTTTAAAATCCATTATTTTTCTATATACTAACAATAAACACTGAAAAATGCGACTTAAAAACAATACCATTTTCAATGGCATCAAAGAAATTCCCCTAATATCCGGGAATAAATCTAACAAAAGATGTCTAAGACCTCTATACTGAAAAGTATGAAACATTGCGAAGAGATATTTGTAATAAATGGAGAGATGTATCATAATCACTGACTGGAAATTTTAAATTGTTAAGATGTCAATTCTTATCAAATTGATTTATAGATGCAATGCTATTCCAATTAAAATCCCAACAGACTTTTAACATTTGTAAATCAATCAATGTACTTTACCATATAAACAGAATAGAGGGGAAAACATGATTATTTCAATATATGCAGAAATATCATTTGATACAATTCAACAACTGACCTTGGTTAAAATTCTTATGAAACAGGGAGTGGAAGGAAGTTTCTTCGATTTGATAAAGAATATCTGTTAAAGTTGGGTGCAGTGGCTTATGCCTGTAATCCCAGGACTTTGGGAGGCCCAGGCAGGCTGATACCTGAGGTCAGGAGAAGTTTTGTAGAAGTTAATGAGCTGATTCAAAAATGCAAAGGATATAGAATAGCCAGGACAGCCTTGAAGAAGAAGAACACAGCTGGAGGGCTTATTTGTCAGACTGCAAAGGTTACTACCATCAGTTGACTTTTGTCAAACACATAAACAATTTAATAGGGAAACAAACTTAATTTCAATAAATGACACTGTAGCTGGGTAACCATATGAAATACCTTGACCAGTACCACACCACACACATAAAAGTTAATTTAACATGGAACCTAGGCCTAAAAGTAAAAGTTAAAATTATAAAATTTTCGGAAGAGAACTCAGAGGAATATCTTCATGATCTTTGGAGAGCAAAGATTATTTAAGCACAAAAAGTACTAATGACAAAGGAAAAACAATGATGAATTGGACTTTGCCAAATTAAGAAAATGTCTGTTGATTGAAAGACAATGTCAAGACAGGAAAAAGGCAAGCCACAAACTGGGAGAAAATATTGGAATCCATATATATGTAATGGATTCCAATATATAAAATATAGCTAAGTTTGTATTTTTAGAAGAGACAGGATTTTCCATGTTGGTCAGGCTGGTCTTGAACTCCTGACCTCAAGTGATCTGCCCGCCTTGGCCTCCCAAAGTGCTGGGGTTACAGGCGTGAGCCACTGCGCCCAACTGGAATCCATATATTTGACAAAGAACTTGTATTGAGAATAAATAAAGAATGCCTATAATTCAGCAGACAAATCAACCTAAATATGGGCAAAAGATTTGAAGAACCTCAACAAATAAAGATGTCTGTAGGCTTAATATGAATAGATTCTTCTCATGAAACATCATTAAACATCAGGTAAATATAAATGAAAACCATAATGAGGTACCATTAACATTTTCAGGATGGGTAAAATTAAATAGGGTGTAAATATAAAGGTTGATGAGGATGATGAGCAACTGCAATACTTATATTTCCTGGTAGAAGTACGTATTGGTATAACCGCTGTTGAAAACTGAGTTTCTAATAGAGTTAGATACCTGTCTATACATGTGTACCTATAACCCTGCAATTCCATGCCAAAGTATTTATTCAAGGAAAATGATACGTATGTCCACAAAGTGACTTGCACAAAATATTCAAACAGAAAACTGGCAACACCCAGATGTTCGTCAATAGGAAAACAAACACATTGTGGCATGCTTCTATGTGGAATACTACTCAGTAATAAAAAAAGAATAAAGTATTGATACATACAACAACATGAATGAATCTCAAAAACATAACATCGAGTGCGAGAAGTCAGACACAAAAGAGTACATACATTGTATGATTCTATTCCAATATATTAATCCATTTATATGGAATCAAGAATAGTCAAATCTATGATGATTGGAGTCAGGATAGTGGTTGTGGGGTGGGAGGAGGATAGGCTGAGAAGGGGCAGGTGTTGGAAATGTTGGTCAGAATAATGGTTTATACATTTGTAAAAATGCATCGAGTTATTCATTTAAGATTTGTGAATTTTACTGCTTATAAACTATTTCTCAAGAAGGTGCAAGAAACAAAGAGCATATAATGAGTGCAACAAAAACTGCTACAATCAGTGTTGCAGGAACTCAGCAGAGAAAAGTGACTCAACAGGAAGGCTGGATGAGTAAGATTCAAAGAGTAGGCAGAAAAGGACCTGAACCCCGCAGAATGACTAATATTTATAGGGGAATGGAATGGTTGTGGTGGGCGGTTTCACCTAGACCAACCAATGCAAAAAGCTTGTAGTAATTCTAAATCTCAGGAGCTCACATTGGCACTATGACTCTTTATGACTTTGAGAGTCACTAGAGGTATACTTCAATCAAAGATCTCTTTTTTCTAACTAACTTAAAAATGAAAAATTGATAACGCATAGTAAACATTTTAGGCCAACCAAATAAGTTTGGTGTTTGCAACAGCCATATTCAACGTTTCATGATGGTCTGGGCTTATTTTGAAATTGTCTTTTTGCTCGGTTGTACAATAACCAAAGTCATGGGTGGGACAAACTGGAAACTTCCCAAAAGCCTTTTGAAAATAGATGAAATATAAACTATAGAGTGATAAAAACTTAAAGATTCATCTTGGCAGTGGCTCACACCTGTAATCCCAACACTTTGGGAGGCCAAGGTGGGTGGATCACCTGAACTCAGGAGTTCAAGACCAGCCTGGCCAACATGGCAAAATCCTGTCTCTACTAAAAAATACAAAAAAAAAAAAAAAAATTAGCCGGGTGTGTTGGGGGGTGCCTGTAATCCCAGCTACTTGGGAGGCTGAGACAAAAGAATTGCTTGAACCTGAGAGGTGGAAGTTGCAGTGAGCCGAGGTTGTGCCACTGCACTCCAGACTGGGCAAAAGAGCAAGACTCCATCTCAACAACAACAACAACAACAACAGCAACAAACAAACAAACATCTTGGATTTTAGCATTCTTTTTTTTTTTTTTTTGAGACAAAGTCTCACTCTGTCTCCCAGGCTGGAGTGCAGTGGCAGGATCTCGGCTCACTGTAACCTCTGTCTCCCAGGCTCAAGCAATTCTCCTGCCTCAGCCTCCCAGGTAGCTGGGATTACAGGAACATGCCACCATGCCTGGCTAATTTTTGTATTTTTAGTAGAGACAGGGTTTTGCCATGTTGGCCAGGCTGGTCTCAAATTCCTGACCTCAAGAGATCTGCCTGCCTTGGCCTCCCAAAGTGCAAGGATTCCAGATGTTAAACAGTCTCATTTTAAAAACTGAGAATTGATTACATCGTCTCTAAGGCTTCTTCCACTTTCAACAAAGCTGCAATCAAAGGTTTGATTTGCTAATTAATCTAATCATTCTGACTTGAAATGTCCTCTATAATCTGGTCCCAAGTCCCCTTACCATTTAAATCCTGTTTGCTTCCCAAATAACCACATCCTCATTCAAAGCCTACAGCTTTTCTGAGTCCTCCTTTTACACCATCTCCTCTTATTAGAAAGTTGTTTTCATGGGTATATGATGGCAGAAACAAAACAAAACAAAAGTAAGTTGTTTCCAGCTGGGTGTGGTGGCTTTCACCTGTATCTCAGCACTTTGGGGGGCCAAGGCAGGAAGATCACTTCAGGCCAGGAGTCTAAGACCAGCCTGGGTAGCATAGCAAGACTTTGTCTCTATAAAAAAACTAAAAAAAGTAACCAACATGGAGAAACCCTATCTCTACTAAAAATACAAAATTAGCCGGGCATGGTGGTGCATGCCTGTAATCCCAGCTACTTGGGAGGCTGAGGCAGGAGAATCGCTTGAACCCAGGAGGCGGACGTTGTGATGAGCCAAGATGGCACCACTGCACTCCAGCCTGGGCAACAAGAGGGAGACTCCATCTTAAAAAAAAAAAAATTAAAAAATTAGCTGTGTGTAGTGGCACATGCCTGTAGTCTTAGCTACCCCAGAGGCTGTGGCAGGAGGACTGCTTGAGCCCAAGAGTTCCAGGCTACAGTACAGTGAGTTGTAATTATGCTACTGCACTCCAGCCTGAGAGAGTGAGACCCT
This sequence comes from Homo sapiens, assembly GCF_000001405.40. Taxonomy (NCBI): domain Eukaryota; kingdom Metazoa; phylum Chordata; class Mammalia; order Primates; family Hominidae; genus Homo; species Homo sapiens. The sequence continues at coordinate 25,035,141 of NC_000008.11, read as the reverse complement.
ACCTCCAAAAAAAAAAAAAAAAAAGTTGTTTCCGTCTAGAATGCTTTAGCTACCTTCTCTGTACATTGACCCCTTCCCAGCCCTTTGGACCGATTTACTCAATGAAGACTCCCTTTACCACAATGATCAGCCCTCCCCTGCATTCCTGCAGTGTTTGGGATTAAAATCATTTATTTGGCAAGTATCATCTAGGGCCTTGTGTTATTGGTTATCCTTCAATATATCTGTTTTCTCTCCCAGCTAGAATGTAAGGAGAAATAATGCAGAACTTACAACATACACTTTCTCTGCAAAATTTCCTGTAGCATCTAGTTATGTTATTTCCAATCGAGACTCAACAAATACCTGGTGATTAATTGATTGGTTTATCCAGGTTACGAAGTATTCTTCAGATACTACTCACATTTCAGAATAGTATCATTTTGAAAATGAGGCATCAAATATGCACACATGCAATTCCCCAAAGGAGGGCCCATTTGCTGGCAGGAATGTTTCCACGTGAAATCAGGAAAGCGGCAGAAGCAACAATCTCAGACCTAGGGATCTCAGATTTACAGTGATGTTGATGGATTGGAACATGTTATTAGCAAAGGCAGACTGGCTAAATCACAGACTAAGAAGCATAATAAGCTTTGGCATCTAGTATGCTTTGCTAAATTAAAGTTTAAAAAGGAAGACATGAATAAATGAAACAGTTACTTGACAGCAGGCCTATTAAATGAAAATGAATCCATGCAAGTTCCAGAACACACATTAAGCCACTTTAGATACCACTTAATCATGAAACTAAAAATATCCTCCAAGCACTCAGCTCATTTATGAGTTTGCTGAAAATGAATTAGACAGTATGAGAGGAATTAGTACCTGGTTACAAAGGAAATTTGAAGCCCTTTAAAAATTCTATTATTAGTAATCTGGTAGCAGCATTAATCATAGTTGTGTAGGTGGAGGCTGTGGACTCTTGGGCACTCTGATGATGTCTATTCTCTGCTTATAACATTATAATGACTTTCCATGGCCCTTGATATAATATTCAAAATCCTTTACATTTCACAAAGCAGTGCATCACATGCTCCTAACTTTGCAGCTTCTTCTAACAGTTTCCCTCTTTTCTCTGTGCTCCAGCCCACTGGCTTGTTGGTTTCCACATACTGTACGTGATTCCCTGCCTCAAGGCCTTAGCATATGTTCTTTTGCTTTCTGCCTGGAGCACTCTCCTATTTTTTGCACAGATACTCCCTATTCAATCGTATTACTTTCTTGGGAAGCTATGGGGAGTTCTTTTATTACAAATTCTTACAGCACTCTGTGCCTCTGTTTAACGATAAAAATCAAAATCAGAATAAGTGCACATAAATTTTATTTTTTGGTTTAATGTCTGTCTTCCACATTAGATTTTGTTCACGGGAATATCTTTTCCTCTGACCTTATGTTTCCCTGTGCAGGTACTTCCACCAGGGTAATCCTCCTACCTCTCTTTACACCCCTTCTCAGGTAGTAATTTTTCAGCTTTGAGTTTGGGAGAAAGAACTGGGCATGCATGGCTTAACCCCTTGAGAATTTCTCTTTTCTGTTGCTGGTTTGTTGGCAAGAACCACATCCTGGATTGCTTTGCCCTGGGCGGGAGGTGTATCCCTAAATGACAGAAGGTCGACATTTGTCCAGCAAGATGTGTGACCTGGTGGTGGAATATCCAATAGGTCTGTCAATAATATTGTGGACATTTTGATGTTTGCTTCTTTGGTTGCTGTTTTATTTCTCATTTAGCACAAAGCTTGAAAGGGGAAAAAAAGATGTTAAAAATTTTATTAGATTATACATTTGTCTTATTTATCCAATGTAACCCCAGCACCCAACCCAGTTCCTACAAATTAATGACTGTTTCATAAATATTTATCACATGTATGAATTATTTAACCTCTCTAAGCCGGTTTCCTCAAATGTAAAATGGTGATAAAACCTACCAATCTGGCAGTGTTTTATAGGTGTCCAAGATACTATATTGAAGCACCCAGTATAGTACCTGGCATGTGGTTAAATGGATAAATATTCTGTAGCTATTATTATCTGTCTGCACCAACTGAGAATGATTTCTGTTTAGAGCTATTCCCTTCCACCAGGAGTCAAGATAATAACCATATGTCATTTGTGTCTCAAGGAAACACAAATCTTTCTTAAACATAACATAAAGTTTTTGTTTTTGTTTTTGTTTTTTGAGACGGAATCTCACTGTGTCGCCCAGGCTGGAGTGTAATGGTGCCATCTCGGCTCACTGCAACCTCTGCCTCCTGGGTTCAAGCGATTCTCCTGCCTCAGCCTCCTGAGTAGCTGGGATTACAAGCACGTGCCACCATGCCCATCTAATTTTTGTATTTTTCATAGAGATGGGGTTTCACCATGTTGGTCAGGCTGGTCTCAAACTCCTGACCTTATGATCTGCCTGCTTTGGCCTCCAAAGTGTTGGGATTACAGGTGTGAGCCACCATGCCTGGCCTAAAAATAACATAAAGTTTTACAACGCAACACTACATAGACCAGAAAGATTATCTACAATATTGAATAAGATATAATCTATTCAATGTATGCATATAGATTTAAAGGAAATTACCAAAAATATATAAGACATTATATTCTTGTTCTCTTGTCCCTTATTGATCTTTCCATACTGAATTATTGAGAAAGCACTTTCAAAACCATAGTTAGAGTACAATATCTTCTGGACTTGGTTTAAATATACTCTGTGTAATTCTGTGTGAACTGCATCATCCTTGGCATCTTGCACTGGTCTCTATCACATTGGCCATTCTTGGTAACAAGATTGTTGCACTGGCTGTGTTTAGCTCTCTCACTCTCAGCCTATAACTTCCCAGCACCCAGTCCCTGCATTCAGACATTCTGCTTCAGCTGTGCATTTCAGTGACAAATGCTGTCAGGAATGGCAGTGCCTCAGGATGTAGATTATAAAAGAGGAAAAGATGCATTATTATGGAGGGCTGGTGGGGTGAGGGAAAGCCTTTTTATAACTGGCTATCTGTTGGCAGTCTCATTTGAACAAATGTGGAGTGTCTCCACTTCTTATGTGACAGACTGACAAATTTATCTCTTTAAAAGTTGAAGGGAAGTCGGCTTGCAGTTGGAATGAAGAAGGATACAAAAAATCTTTGCTCCTAAGGTAACAAAAAAGGAAGGAAGGAAGGAAAAAGAAGGAAGGAAGGAAGGAAAGAAGGAAAGAAGGAAAGAAGGGAAAGAAAGAAAGGAAGAAAGAAGAGAAAGAAAGTAAGAAAGAAAAAGAGAAAGAGAGGCAAAAGAAAAATCATAGTTTTCTGTGGATCTAGCTAAGAGCAGTAGATGCAAAGAAGCCATGATGAGCTGATGTCCAAAGAAAATGGGCTCCTCATCAATGAGTGGAGAGGAGCCTAAGCGTCCATCCTTGGGGGTGGATGCCTAGTCTGGTGGAGATGAGAAGAAACAAGTCGGCTGTAGATGGGGAGTCTGCACGGATGAGAAAGACACCCAGGCCTTGAATGGTAGTGAGGGCTGGCTGACTGGGTTGGACTTTGGAAGAACCCCAAATGCAAAGTCAAACGACTTGATCCAACCATCCTTTTTACTCCCCACCGCCCCCTACAACACACACTCTTCCATCCTGATTTTTTCAGAGAAGGCAACAGTCTGGGAGGGATGAAAAGCGGAAAGACTATATGTCCAGAATTTTGTCTAGATTCTAGGGCACTACTGGAGCTGAATTATAAACCAAAATTATCTGAAGTAGAAACCCAACCTACTCCCAGTTGAAATACTGATAGGATCCAAAAATATCAGCCCCTGGGCAGTGGGTGCAGCACTGGGGATTGGGCTAATCAGAGATTAACTCAATCTAGTTAAAACCAGGGTCCAGCTCCAGCTCCAGCTGGCTCTAGGAGGAATCTGAATAATCAGCACTGTCTCCTCAACCCTCATCAGCAGCTAGAGAAAAGGGCTTTCACTTGCTTGGAAATAAACAAAATATAATACTCCAGTCTCCATTCTTTTTTAAACAGGAGTATAATAAAAGGTGTTAAGTTGGGCACAGTGGTGCAAGCCTGTAATCCCAGCTACTTGGGAGGTTGAGGCAGGAGTAAAACTGCCTTTTGCAAAGATTATGACAGTGAGAGAAGTCTAGCATGGCTTGCCCCATTTTCTTTCTAGCCTCACAGGCTGGCTGTCTTCATTCATTCCTGGGCACAGGGCAAATTAACCATGGGAGAAATTTAGTTTGTGGTTTAACTTTGAAGCAAGGATGAAAATAGTTTCTCCCTGAAACTGACTCCTTCTTTGTTGGGGAACTGAAACCACTATAGTAAGACTAATGAAAGCCACAAGATTAGGATTATGGGAGGGGCTCAAATTCTGCTGAAATGTAGGTGTAGCTTGCCTTTTCATAATCATTTACTGCACTGGAGGTCACAAGATTTGTGACTTCTCCAATTGCTCCTATATAGATAACATCACTATTGTAGGACCTAATATTGCTCTTTTGAGATGTTTTTCAGACTTTTGCATTCATGCAACCAACTGACTCCACCCAGACCCAGGACTCATGACTCAATAGGTCCCATGGCCCCCACCCAGAGGCTGACTCAGTGTACAAGGACTGTTTTCCACACCCCTATGGTTTCAGCACCACCAATCAATAGCACCCATTCCCTAGCCCCCTGCCCACCAAACTATCCTTGAAAAACTCTAACCTTTGAGGCTTTGGGAAGACAAACTTGAGTGAAAACTCCCGTCCTCTAGCTTGGCTATGTTGTGGTAACTAAACTCTTCCCCTATTGCAATACTATTGTCTCAGTGAATTCGGTTTATCTGTGCAGTGGGCAAGAAGAACATATCAGGCAATTACAGGAGGATTGCTTGAGCCCAGGAATTTGAAGTTCAAATCTGGCCAGGGCAACATAATGAGACCCTGTCTCTAAATATGTGTGTGTGTGTGTGTGTGTGTGTGTGTGTGTATACATACATATATATGTGTGTGTGTATACATACATATATATGTGTGTGTGTATACATACATATATATGTGTGTGTATACATACATATTTGTGTGTGTGTGTATATATATATACACACACACACAATGCTAGGCTAATGGTTTCGGCATGGACTCTGTCCATGGTTCTGGATCATGGGATTAATTAACAAATAATTTGTTTTCACTAGAAGCTGAAGTATTTAGCTAAAATCATATAATGCCAGGTTAACATTCCTTTTCTGAATAGAGTAACCAGACTAAGCAGTTTGGAGCAAAACTGTTTCCATAGTACATCTGGGATTCAGCCAAAAATTTGATAAAGGTTTTCACGAGGTCATATATATATATATATATATATATATATATATATATATATATATATATATACATACACATACATGTGAAGAAGCAGGAAAATATGACCTTCCATTATATGACCTTCCATTTGAGCAAAGCAGTCACTAGAAGCAAATCCAGTTATTAGAGTTAGAGGACAATGATTTTAAACAATAAAACAAGTATTAAAAAATGTTCAGGAATTTATAGGAAAAGATAGACATAATACGTAAAGACATGGGGCACTTCAGGAGGGAAATCAACACTTTAACAAAAGAACAAAATGGAAATTCTAGAATTAAAAAATACAATATCTGACATTTAAAAAATCATTGAATGGGCTCAATAACCAATTGTATGCCACCGTGGAACAAAGCACTGAACTTGAGGAAAGGTCAGTGGAAATTACTCAAACTGAAGGAGAAAAGAAAAACAGCTGGAAAAAAAATGAACAGAATGTCAGGACCTGTGAGATATTATCATGTGGTCTAACCTACATGTAGTTGAAATCCCAGGAAAGATAAGAAAGAACGAAACCGGAGAAATCTTTTGAAGAAATAAGAGCCACAATTTTTCCAAATGTGGTGAAGAATATCAACTCAAAGTCCCAAGGAGCTCAGAAAGCCCCAAGCAAGACCAACACAAAGATATCTACGCAAAGGCATGCTAAATCTGTGGTCCAGCCCAACTCAACTGAGCTCTAGCAGAAATCTGAATGACTTGTAACCCCCACTTCAACCTTACCATCAGGCAGAGAAAAGGACTTTCACTCTCTCAGAAATAAACAGCACATAAATACCGTATCCAGGTATTGTCCTACTTTTCAAACTGGTAAAAATCAAAGATCAAATCTTAAAACACCCAGAGGAGGTGAAGGACTAAGTGATGGTTATTCTGGTCCTAAATGTGACAAAAATAAAACTTTTTCCCAAAGTAGAAGTGATGGAAGTTTGAGCAAAAATAATTATACAATTTTGGAGTTCACAAGAAAAAGACAGGCTGATGTGTTTCCATCATTTTTAGAAAGTCGGATTGAAAACTGAATTTTTTGGCATAATTTTGTGGCATAAAACTCTGAAAGGGAATATAACACGTAAAGCTTTCACACATATAATTCTGAATGCGCACTTGTAAGAGATTCCAAAGAGGAAGGGTGTGTTTTGAAGTGATAATGGAAGCCCACAAAGGAAGAAGAATATCCAATTAAGTGAAATGAATCCAAGTCTTTATGCTCAGAAGTACTCTTTTCCAGAGTACTGAGATATCTTGAAGACGAAATTTACAAACTGCTGCCCTGAGGAATATATGTGAATATATATGCATTTGTTTCTTTTTTTTTTTTTTATTAGTCTTGGAATCAGAAGAGGTACCAGAATACTAGAGATGGGCACAATTTGTTCTGTTTTCAAAATAGTAAAGGTGTGTTCTTAAAATGCTAGGCTAATAGTTTTGGCATGGACTCTGTCCATGGTTCTGGATCATGAGATTAATTAACAAATAATTTGTTTTCACTAGAAGCTGAAGTGTTTAGCTAAAATCACACAATGCCAGGTTAACATTCCTTTTCTGAATAGAGTCACCAGGCTAAGCAGTTTGGAGCAAAACTGTTACCATAGTACACCTGGGTTTCAGCCAAGTATTTGATAACGGCTTTCATGAGGTCTTTGTGGAAAAGTTGGAGAAATGTATAAATGAATAGGTTGATTAATAACTGATTATAAGGCCATTTTCCCCATGTGCTGACACATGGACTGATGTTAATCAGCATGTAAAGATGTCTCTATTACTCCCTTCTTCATCTCTCAATGCCTCCTTAACCCACTGAGACCCAGATTCTGCCCACATCCCTCCAATGAAGCAAGACTTTCTAAGGTCCCCAGTGACTTGGTGGTCTCTAGACCTCATGGATATTTTATTTCACCTGCCTTCTCAGGACAGTGGGCACTCCTGTAGGCACTATACTTGGAAACTTCTGAACTTGATTTTGGAGTCAGCACTCTCACCTGATTTTCTTCTTTCTTTTCTTTCTTCTTTCCTCTTTCCAATGCTCCTCCTCCTCCTCCTCCTTCTTCCTCTTCTTTTTTTTGACACAGTCTCACTCTGTCACCCAGGCTGGAGTGCAGTGGCACAATCTCGGCTCACTGCAGCCTTCACTTCCTGTGTTCAAGCGATTCCCCTGTCTCAGCCTCCCAAGTAGCTGGAATTGCAGGCACATGCCACCAAGCCTGGCTAATTTTTGTAATTTTTTTTTTTTTTTTTTTTTTTTTTTAGTAGAGACGGGGTTTCACCATGTTGGCCAGGCTGGTCTCGGACTCCTGACCTCAAATGTTTCAAGTGCTGAGATTACAGGCGTGAACTACTGCACCTGGTTTCTTCTTTCATTTCTGCCACCTCAATAACACAGGGCTCTGATATCCCCAGAAATCCTTAATTACTGATGTTCTCCAAAGTTCTGATTTAGACTCACTGCTCTTTTTCTTCTAACCATTTTCCTTGGGTTTTCTGATTTGTTTGTTGAATTCAACTTTATGAGTTCACTGATAGTGTTCAGGTGTCTGGGCTGCAGCCCAGATTTGTCTGCTGGAAGCCCCATACATTCATTAAGCTGCCTGCGGGCATCCCCACTTACATGTACCACAGATGGCTCACACATATGTTCAAAGCTACATTTGTCACTGCTCCTGTCAAAATCAGTCTTTACTCCTTTTCTTGTGTTTTCTATATCAGCGAATAGCACCCTGTTCATGTAACATACTCAGGCCAGAAACCTAGGAGCCACACTTAACTCCTCCTTGCCGTCTGCCTTGAACTAAATTGTGTCCCCACCCATCACCAAATTCATATGTTGAGTCCCTAGCCTCTAATATGATTATATTTGGAGATAGGACTTTAAAGAGGTCGTTAAGGCTAAATGAGGTCATAAGGGTGGGGTTCTAATCTGATAGGATTTGTGGCTTTATAAGAAGAGAAAGAGGGAGAGACATCTCTATTTCTCTTCATGCCCATGCACTGTGGAAAGGCCGTGTGAGGACAGTGAGAAGGCAGCTGTCTGTAGGCCAGGAAGAGAGGCCTTCTCAGAACCTGACCATGCTGGAACCCTGATCTTGAACTTCCAGCTTCCAGAATTGTGAAAAAATACATTTCTGCTGTTCAAGTTACCCAGTCTATGGTATTTTGTTAGAGTAGCCGGAGTAGACCAAGATAGTAACAAAAAGTTCATAAAGACCTATCTATTCTACCTCTTAAATATATATATATAATACTTTTCTACCTTGTTATTCTCAATGCCACTGATCTACTTTAGAATCTCATCATTTCTTGCCTTCATGTTCTCCATTAGCTCTCCTTGTCTTTTTTGTTGTTGTTGTTGTTTTTCTTGAGACAGGGTCTTCTTCTGTTGCCCAGGCTGGAGAGCAGTGGTGCAATCTCGGCTCATTGCAGTTTTCAACTCCTGGGCTCAAGTAATCCTTCCATCTCAACCTCCTGAGTAGCTGGGACTGCAGGCATGCACCATCATTCCGGGCTAATTTTTGTATTTTTAGTAGAGATGGGTTTTCACCATGTTGGCCAGGCTGATCTTAAACTCCTAAACTCAGTGATCTGCCCACCTCGGCTTCCCAAAGTGCTGGGATTACAGGTGTGAGCCATCGTGCCTGGCCAGATCTTCTTGTCTTTGTACTTTTCATCCCCCAATTCATTCCTCCTTTTAGTGTCAGAACAATTCCTCTGAAAATATGAACGCAGACATTCTCTCGTCTGCTGAAAATGAACCATTTGATCCCATTTATTTTCAGGATAAAGTCCAACTTTCTTAGCAATACATATAAGGTCCTACCAATTCTGACTTGTATATTTTTTTTTCTTGAGACAGAGTCTCACTCTGTCACCCAGACTGGAGCGCACTGGTGCCATCTTGGCTCACTGCAACCTCTGCCTCCTGGGTTCAAGCGATTCTGTTGCCAAGCAGCTGGGACTACAGGCGTGCATCACCAAGCCTGGCTAATTTTTTGTATTTTTAGCGGAGATGGGGTTTTGCCATGTTGGCCAGGCTGGTCTTGAACTCCTGGCCTCAAGTTATCTGCCCACCTTGCCTCCCAAAGTTCTGGGATTACAGGCATGAGCCACCATGCCCAGACCCTATTCTGACTTCTATTTACTTTTCCATCCTTATCTCTCTTATTGCCCCCTCATACCTTACATTCCAACCATGCTGAAAAGTTTACATTTTCCCCATACTTTGATATACTTGATGCTTATTCTTCTTTGCTGAAATGGTAGGCTCAAATTGAGGACTTAATTACAAGAGTTAGACAAGCTTCCTCTAATGAAGAAGACAGACAAGCAAAAAATTACCATAATATAACCGTGTCCACAGTAGAGATTTGTTCAAAAGGCCATGGAGCACAAAGGAAGAAAGTAAGCAATAGAAAATGTTACAGCCAGTCCTTTACCTGAGGGTGTGCTGTGGTTTGAATGCTGTGTATCTTCCAAAACTCATGTTGAAACTTAATCTCCAGTGCACCAGTGTTCAGAGGTGGGCCATTAGGAGGTGATTAAGTCATGAGGGCCCTGCCCTCATGAATGGGATTAGTGCCCTGATAAAAGGGCTCAAGGGAACTAGCTGGGCCTTTTTGCCCTTTTGTCCCTTCCGCCATGTCAGGACAGAGCATCCACCTCCTCCAGTGGATGCAGCAATCAGGAGCCATCTTAAAAGCAGAGAGCAGCCCTCACCAGATGCTGAATCTGTTGATGCCTTGATCTTGGATTTCCCACCCTCCAGAACTATGAGGCATAAGTTTCTGTTCTTCATAAATTACCCAATCTCAGGTATTTCATTATAGCAGTACAAAATGACTAGGACAGAGTATAAAAGAGACATTTACATTTATAGAAGAATTGTCACATTTTTACACTAGAGATTTACTAGAATTTTCAAGGATGAGTAGAATAGTCTTTTTCTCGCTCTACCTTCCTTGCTTCTACTCAGTGCTGGTGTGCAGTAGCTGCCTCCTCTGTACTTAATGCTCGATCATCTTAAAGCATTTTACATAGCAAGGCCACGAGACAGCAGTAATACTGAGCAGCCTTCCTTTTGTTCAGTGAACCATTTTATGCTATGAAAAAATGTAGCTAAATTGTAGGTATGTCAGTATAAAACTAATGTCATTAGGGTCTAGTCAAAGCAGGGATAGTGGCTGGGCACAGTGGCTCACGTCTGTAATCCTAGCACTTTGGCAGGCAGAGGCAGGCAGATCACCTGAGCTTAGGAGTTCTAGACCAGCCTGGCCAACGTGGTGAAACCCCGTCTCTACCAAAATTACAAAAATTAGCTGGGCATGATGGCAAGCACCTGTAATCCCAGCTACTTGGGAGGTTGAGGCAGAAGAATCACTTGAACCCGGGAGGTGGAGATTGCAGTGAGGCGAGATCGCACCACTGTACTCCAGCCTGGGCGACAAGAGTGAAATTCTCAGCTCACTGCAAGCTCCGCCTCCCGGGTTCACGCCATTCTCCTGCCTCAGCCTCCCGAGTAGCTGGGACTATAGGAACCCACCACCACGCCCGGCTAATTTTTGTAGTATTAGTAGAGACGGGGTTCACCGTGTTAGCCAGGATGGTCTCTATCTCCTGACCTCATGATCCACCCGCCTCGGCCTCCCAAAGTGCTGGGATTACAGGCGTGAGCCACTGCGCCCGGCCCCCCTTCTCTTTCAAAACAACAACAACAACAGCATAGAGAAAAAGAAGTTACAAAGAAAGATGGGGAAGGGAACCAACGTTTATTATTCATGTGTGTCGGACATTTTTTACACAAATTATTTTATTTAATCTTTTCAGTACTTTTGTGTTGCAAGAAAATTGCAGACGTGGAAATTGGGACTCATAAGTGAATTGTCTGCTCACAAAGCACATAAAAAACAGAGCTTAGCTTGGCTGTGATTCCAAGTCTGTGTACTTCCAGAATGCTTCTCCAGCACTCTGTCCACTGCATCCTGACAGCAACACACTGCAAAGTGCTCTGCTGTACACGGCATCACCTGCTCACAGTTGCGGCAGCTTCCCTCCCCTCCATCCTTCTGTCCCATTCTGGGGCCGTGCTCCTGGGTGTGCAGAATGCATTCCTTCTGCTGGCATCCCAGTGTAACGAAGGAGCCATCACAGAGATCAGGATCAGGCCACCTGCTTCTGTTCAGGCTCTGCTCCTAGCCAGGCCAGGAGTAGGATCTGGAGCAATTAAGTCTTACCTCTCTTTGGGCCTCTTTTTTTTATCAGCAAAATTAGTAAATCGGGGCTTAGCTTCCAAGATTTCCACCAGCTCTAACATTCTGCTATGGGAAAATGCCTGGTTTATTTTGTTTTTTTTTGTGGAGTAAATTACCCTAACAATGAGGTCCGTTTACGTAATTAGGAGGTGGCCCAATCCTGCAGAGCTAATGATTTGTTTTATGATACGTGTACCTCACAACCGGCTACTAGCTGGGTGCTCACTGCTTCCCAGAATGCCACAGTGGTGCTCTGAGGAGAAAGGAGGCAGCAGAAATGCCTGAGTCACTCTGGCTCCTGGGTCAGGGCTCAGGATGCAACTAAGAGGCCCAGATGAGACCAGACAGCCTCCAGACCCTGACAGCACAGAGATGCCAACCCCCATGTGGTCCTCATTCCAAAATAAATCAGATCCTCTTTCTCCTACTCATAGAAAGTCAGGGAACAGATTTTTGGTGTGTGTGGAGGGGAGCAGTGGGGAAACTCACTAGCAGCATAAATGGGAAAGAAAGTTTGACACTTACAGAATCATTGGATATTGGGGTTGAAAGAGATTTTCTACTAGCTCTCTAATATAAAGGTGGAGGCTGGGGACCAGTGCATGGAGCTGCCCTATCCAGTTTCTGCAGCGCAGACTAGAACTCAGCCTGTCCCCTTTCAAAGCATCCACAAACAGCATCCACTAACTCTGGTGATATGGTTTGGCTGTGTCCCCACCCAAATCTCACCTTGAATTGTAGTAATCCCCACAGGTCAAGGGCAGGACCAGGTGGAGATAATCGAATCATAGGGGTGGTTTCCCTCATACTGTTCTCGTGGTAGTGAATAAGCCTTGCTAGATCTGATGGTTTTATAAATGAGAGTTCCCCTGGATAAGTTCTCTTGCCCTCCACCATGTGAGAAGTCCCTTTGCTCTTCCTTCATTTTCTGCCATGATTGTGAAGCCCCCCAGCCATGTGGAACTGTGAGTCCATTAAACCTCTTTCCTTAATAAATTACCCAGTGTTCAGTATGCCTTTATTAACAGCATGAGAATGGACTAATACATCTGGCTATTCCTTTACCACTCCCCTAGCTTTCCAGCCTCCACTGCTGCCCTCCCTCAATCTACAAAGGAAAAGTTGCTAATAGTGAGGAGGTGGGGGTGGAAAGAGAAAATTCAGAGATTATCAAGTCTTTGGGACCTTTTTTTTCATCTTAGAAACTAAAGTTTTAATGTTTCTTCTCTGTAAAGCAATATCTGATCTTTCTGATTGATGAAAAGAAAAACAGAACACAAACAGCCATGTTGCATTTCCAGAAAGAAAAACCTTTGGTCTCTTCTCTAAATTCTCCTTTAACCTATTCAAACCAAAATGGATGATGGAACTCTGAGGCTTCTCTGCCCAAGCACTGTTACCATCCCCCTTATTCCAGAAACAAAGGACTATTAGTGTATGAAGAGGGTCTGCTTTAATGTGATTGCTTTCTCAGAGTAGGGGCTATCAAACTATTACTGTATAATTATGTCCTTCTCAGAACATGATTAGGCTTTTATCTTGAATTTTTCACCCACATTCTGGTAAATGCATAACAGATTTTAAGAGTCTTTTAAAGAGAGAGCAGGGCCCTCCTCTCCATCATAAAACAGGAATATAAATGCACAGTCATTGCCCCAGGAGCAATGGAAGAATTTTATGTTCTGATTTTCTCACTCACTATGTGGTTTAGAATAAAAAGACAAGGTGGTGGGGAGTAACCCGTTGGTGTCTGTTACACAGTAGTTCAGTCCTCATAAGAAATATTAAATGAAAATTAACTGCAAGGAAGAGTCAGGTGTTACATGGGCTCCTTGCCTCTACTGCGTGAAGAGCTTTTTCATTTTTGTGTTGTCCCTGAAGAATTTTAATAGGAAAAGATTTTCTATGTTTGAAAGGTAACCAAGAAGTTGTTTACCTCTGCACATTTTCTGCTTTGAGTCTTCCTTACTGAGGAAGTATTTATTCACTCTTCCACTTCATGCCTTCAGTTCATGGGATTGGGTGTGCGTATTAGTCCTTTCTCATGCTGCTAATGAAGACATACCCGAGACTGAGTAATTTATGAAGAAAAAGAGGTTTAATGGACTTATAATTCCACATGGCTTGGGAGGCACCACAATCATGGTGGAAGGCGAAAGAGGAGCAAAGGCACGTCTTACATGGTGGCAGTCAAGAGACTGTGTGCAGGGGAACTGCCTTTTACATAACCATCAGCTCTTGTGAGACTTACTATGATGAAAATAGCATAGGAAAAACCTACCCACATGATTCAATTACCTCCTATCAGGTCCCTCCCATGACACGTGGGGATTATGGAAACTACATTTCAAGATGAGATTTGGGTGGAGACACAGCCAAACCATATCAGTGTGGGAACAGCAAAGTTGGTCTCTGTGCCTTAATACTGACCTTGGTTTCAATCTGGGGTCCAGAATTTCCTTTTTGTCATATTCTTGGTGGTATCATCCTAGCAGCTGTTCTTGGGATTTATCATGCTAGGGCATGGCTTAGGGTCCGGACTTTTGGAAAAATGTTAGCATTTCATTAGCTGGATGGTGAAAGAATTTAGGACAAATCACCCCAAAACATGCTGCTTTGGCATATTGAATATTATGAGAAACAGCAGATGCAGGAAGAGCCCTCTGACTTCCCCTTTTCTACCTAAAAGCAGGCCAGAAAATTTCCCTGGAGAAAAGTGCTCTCTCTTTTATTTTATGTTTTATTTCAAGATGGAGTCTTGCTCTGTCTCCCATGCTAGAGTGCAGCGGCATGATCATGGCTCACTGTGACCTCTGCCTCCCAGGTTCAAGCAATTCTCCTGCCCTAGCCTCCCAAGTAGCTGGGACTTCAGGTGCATGACACCATGTCTGACTAATTTTTGTATTTTTAGTAGAGGCGGTGGGGTTTCACTATATTGGTTGGGCTGGTCTCAAACTCCTGACCTCAGGTGATCCACCTGCCTCAGCCTCCCAAAGTGCTGGGATTACAGGCATGAGCTGCCACACCCAGCCAGAAAAGTGCTCTCTCTATAGCAGGAAGAAATGAACATCCTCATCATCAGAGACTAGGAATCAACACTGAAATGGATCTGTACAAATTTACTAAAATAACTCTTATCTTCCACTAGTTTATCCCATCCCTCATATATCTCCTAGTCACTTCCCCACAATTTACTGCCCCAGCCCAAACTCCCTTTGTCTTGTTATTGCTTCACACATTTATTTTTCATTTTCTAAAAGTTCATTAAATTAAATTTGACTGAGCATATCTCTGTACCTGAAATTCCTGTGTATGGAATCACAACCTAACTTAGTACATAAACAAACTGAAAACCTTACTTAGGAAAGTAACAAACAGCTGAGTCTCAGTCAATCCCAAGCAGGCAACTAATCAGACCATATCCAAATAAGGCAAAATGCCTTGCTGTAACCAAACTACTTCTGTACTTTATTTCCCGTTCTGTCTGTAAGTGCTCATTGATCACATTGCAGGGAAGAGGTCTCTGAACCTCTGCTGATCCTGAGTGCTGCCCAATTCATGAATCATTCTTTGCTCAGATAAGCTCTTATTATAAATTTAATTTATCAAAAGTTTTTCTGCTCTAGTCATCATTTCTTTGAGTCTTCATTTTTTTCATGAAGGTTCTCATGTACATGTAAAAACTACTAAAATTTGTATGCTTTTCTCCTACTCATTGGTCATATGTTAGTTTGATTCTTGGGCCTGACTGGAGATACCTAAGAGGGCGAGGAAGAATGTTGTCCTCCCTTACTATAGGGACTCTGGGAGATGATGAAGAGAAGGACATGGTTCTGCCCACTGCAGCTAAAATACACCAAAGACTCACATATAGGCACAGTTGGCCAGTGAACCTCCTCCTTCCCAGGCACAGCAGATGGGAATGTCCACCAAGCCATCAGCCTTGCCCTTTGGTCACTTGTTTTCCCCTGTTTATAATGATCTGATCTCTTCTGGATGAATAAAAGAACAGAATGAAGAAAGGGAGGGGTAGGGAGGAGAAGAGTGGTATAACCCTGTGGGAAACAGGAATAAGACACTCTTCTCTCTTTTTGCTGGCTGCTACCAGGTGAAATGCAAGGGGAAATTCAACTTCCTAACTTCTCTACCTGCCTGCCCAGACTGCTTTTCCGCACCCTTCCTATTTCCACACCTGTTCATCCGTTTCAGGTTCTCCCCCAATCTCTTTCTGGAACTAATTTTGACCTAATCTAAAACAGAAGGTATTTAAGCAGCTCTAGCTCCATGTTCTGGGATTCAGCGTTGGGTATGCCCTGACCTTGAACTATGCTAGAAGTAAATGACATTTCTACTGCCATGTTTATCCCTATGGTCCCATGTGAGCAGCCTGCTGAGCATCACATTCCTTTCATTGGACTAGTCTTTCCTTGCTTTTGCTGTTCCCCTTTCCAAGCCTGATAGCAAATGGCATACACCAAGCGCTTCTTACATTAGCCCAGTGGTTCTCAACAGGAAGTAGTATTTGGAAATGTATATTGGATAGAGAGAAAAAGGGAGGGAGCATTTTTGGTTGTCACAATGAGTGAAGGGCATTGCTAGCGTTTACTAGGTGGAGGTCAAGGATGCTAAACAATTTGTCCCCTCTAAAATGTCAGTAACACTGTGTGGTTGAGGAATGTGTCTCCTGCCCTAAGTGGATGCATGCCCTGCACTATTGAAGGTACATTGAAACCCTTAGTCCACTCAAGCCCTTCTTCTTAGTCTTCCCTCTCACTGTAGACCGTTTCCTCTTTTCCCACCTTGGTTTAGTGAGTTGGAACTGCAGTCAGCTCCTTCATCCATTCTGGAAGGATTAACCTTTCTAAGACTTGTCTTGGAGAAACCCAAGCTTTCCTGTCCTTGCCCATTGAACTATATTTCTCCAATCTGTCATATTAGCTCAGAGCATATATATTTCTTCATTGTTAATTTTGCTCTATCCTCGAATGAAATTCTGCTTATCCTCTTGTGTTCTAAGCTATTTTTATTGAGCCAAGACAGGTGTAGCCTTATAGATGTGTGTTAAATAAATTGTGGAAACTCATCTGCCTTATGTTATTAACTTGTTAGATGCTGGCCTCATGGGGCTTACATTCTAGTAAGAGGAGAAAGACAACACAAAAGTAAATATATAGTATATATATTAATTTGCTAAGGC
The DNA here is from genome assembly GCF_000001405.40 of Homo sapiens. NCBI lineage: Eukaryota > Metazoa > Chordata > Mammalia > Primates > Hominidae > Homo > Homo sapiens. The sequence continues at coordinate 25,018,334 of NC_000008.11, read as the reverse complement.
TGCTGTAAGGAAATACCACCAAGTGGGGTCTTAAACAACAAAAGTTTATTGTCTAACAGTTCTGGAGGCTAGAAGTCTGAGATTAAGGTGTGGGAGGAGCTAGTTCCTTCTCAGGGCTGTGAGGAAAGAATCTGTGTCATGCCTATAATCTAGCTTCTAGTGGTTGCTGGCAACCTTTGGCATCCCTTGACTTAGGTAGAAGCATAACCACAATCTTTGCTTTCATCTTCACATGGCATCCTGTGAACACCTGTGTGCATGTCTCTGTGTCCAAAACCCTACTTTTCATCAGATATGATTCCAATCATATTTGATTAGGAGTCCACCATACGCCAGAATGGCCTCATCTTCACTAATTACATCTGCAATGACTCTATTTCCAAGTAAGGTCATATACTGAGGGATTGGTCATTACTTCTTCAACATATAAAGACACACATGAAGGGAGAACACCATGTGATGATGAAGAAAGTGATCAGGGTGATGTTTCTATGAATCAAGGAATGCAAAGACTGAGCAAACCACCAGAAGCTAGGGGAGAGGCATGGGATAGACACAGCCCTTCCAGGAAGTAGCCCACCCTGCTGTTGACATTTGGACCTCAGACTCCTAGCCTCCAGGACTATGAGACTACAATTTTCTGTTGTTTAAAGCTCTCAGTTTGTGCTACTATATTATGGCAGTTCTAACTAACAAATATAACAACTGTCTATGGTTGTTTATTGACTTATTTATTTTGATGATTTATAACTTAAGGACTTTCCCAACCTCTCTAGGGCATATGTTTTTAGAATATATTTTCACAATTTAATAAGTGAAAATCCCATAAATGGTGATTTATAAGTGCTGTGGTTTGAATGTATCCTCCAAAACTGTTTGAAATTTAGTGCTCAGTGTGGCAACATTGAGAGGTGGGGCCTTTAAGAGGCGATTGGATCATGAGGGCTCATCCATATGAATGAATTAATCCATTCATGAGTTAATAGATGAAGAGGTTATCATGGGAGTGGGACTGGTGGCTTTATAAGAAGAGGAACAGAGATCTGAGATAGCATGCTCATACCCCTTGCCATGCGATGCTCTGCACCACCTCAGGACTCTTCAGAGTCCCCACCAGCAAGAAGGCCCTCACCAGATGTGTTTCCTAGACCCTGGACTTCTCAGCCTCCTGTAAGAAATACATTATTTTTCTTTATAAACTACCCATTTTCAAGTATTCTGTTATAAGCAACAGAAAATGGACTAAGACAATAAGAATACAGTGGAATGAATCTTAGAGATAAAGACATACCTTTATCTCTTGCAGATAAAGAAATTGAGGCTCAGAGAAGGCCAGGCATGGTGGCTCATGCCTGTAATCCTAGCACTTTGGGAGGCTGAGGCGGGCGGATAGCTTGAGCTCAGGAGTTCGAGACCAGCCTGGGCAACATGATGAAACTCTGTCTCTACTAAAAATACAAAAGTTAGCCAGGCATCGTGGTGTGTGCCTGTAATCCCAGCTACTTGGGAGACTGAGGCAGGAGAATCACTTGAACCTAGGAGACAGAGGTTGCAGTGAGCTGAAATCGTGCCACTGCACTCCAGCCTGGGTGATAGTGTGAGACTCTGTCTCAAAAAAAAAAAAAAAAAAAGAAGAAGAAGAAGAAATTGAGGCTCAGAGAAATGAAGTGACTTGCTCCAGACCACATAGGAAATTTCATTTGTTTGTTTTCTCATGTTACTTGCCTGTGGACTCTCTTCCAAGCCATGCCTTGATTTTTCTCTCTTTCGGCCTGTTTAGAGAGAAGTCTATCAATGGTACAGCTATATCTCCAGGAGGAAGTACATCCTGACCTTCATGTTAGGACAACCCCTCCTCCCTTCTTTACCAGTGTTTGCTAGAGCTTCCTGAGACCTACAGAAAGTGCAAATCTCATTGTTCTAGCACCTGCTCCAGAGGAACATGGGAGATTAGCATGCTTCCCCACACTTTACTGCTCTAGTGTTATAGGACAAAATTCTCTTAACTCATATGCCCTAGACCTTGAGATCTGAAGGACTTTTCCCAGGCATATGGCACTATTTTACTTTATATACAATATAGTAGTTAGTCTTTCGCGAAGCATGTAAAGATTCATTTTTCCAAATGTGTGATGATTTGACCCTTTTCTCTTATTGAGAATCTCTCAACAGAACTGCTAGAGGTTTAGTGGTCTCCAGCCTGCAGTGCAGATATCCCTGTGGCACTCTCCCTATAGAATGCATTGAGGGACTAAGATCAGCTGCTGGGTGGTTCTGGACTGAGCAAGTCTGCGAGTAGAGGTCCTGGAAGGATGGTAAATAAAACTCTGAACAAAAGAGCTATGTTCTCCCTCAGTTCTCAGGACACCTTGGTGACTTGTTCCACACTCCCTCATATGGTTACCTGATGCAGTTAGTCACATTGCCACCAGGTCATTTACACCAAAGGAAGAGGAGGTGGTTTCTTCACAGGAGCTTATAGTGCTTTTTTTTTTTTTTTTTTTTTTTCCAGAGTTTTACTCTGTCTGTCTCCCAGGCTAGAGTGCAGTGGCGTGATCTTGGCTCACTGCAACCTCTGCCTCCTGGGTTCAAGTGATTCTCATGTGTCTGCCTCCTGAGTAGCTGGGATTACAGGTACATGCCACCATGACCAGCTAGTTTTTTCTACTTTTAGCAGAGACAGGGTTTCACTGTGTTGGTCAGGCTGGTCTTGAACTCCTGGCCTTAAGTGATCCACCCACTTGGGCCTCCCAAAGTGTTGGGATTACAGGAGTGAGCCACCATACCAGGCCTGGAGCTATAATGCTTCCATTTCCCCCTTTGGAATATCCCCTGTGACATCAAGTACTTTATCCCTGTTGAGTGAACTATGAGTTGGATGTGAAGGTTCAAACTTTTTAAATGGGGCAAATTACACTAAATTTTTGGTCTTGGAACAAAAACTCATGAGTTTCAGTTTATTTCTGAGACTCAGGGAAAACACACATGTAGAAGCCAATATTTGGACTGATGTGGTGTGAGAATGGATGAGAGAGTCTTAATCCAAATTGTTGTCTGATTATTGAAACCTCACCACTGTTGTTTCAGCCTCATATTAAAAATGCACATGCCCTTACTTGGGGGAAATCTTCGTACCAGTTACATATGTCTTAGTGTAAATAAGGTCTCTGAGAAGAAGGTTCTTTTCTTTTCTTTTTTTTTTAATTTTATTATTATTATATTTTAAGTTTTAAGGTACATGTGCACAACGTGCAGGTTTGTTACATATGTATACATGTGCCATGTTGGTGTGCTGCGCTCACTAACTCGTCATTTAGCATTAGGTATATCTCCTAATGCTATCCCTCCCCCCTCCCCCAACCCCACAACAGTCCCCCGAGTGTGATGTTCCCCTTCCTGTGTCCATGTGTTCTCATTGTTCAGTTCCCACCTATGAGCGAGAACATGCGGTGTTTGGGTTTTTTCCTTGCAACAGTTTGCTGAGAATGATGGTTTCCAGTTTCATCCATGTCCCTACAAAGGACATGAACTCATCATTTTTTATGGCTGCATAGTATTTCATGGTGTATATGTACCACATTTTCTTAATCCAGTCTATCATTGATGGACGTTTGGGTTGGTTCCAAGTCTTTGCTATTGTGAATAGTACTGCTGTAAACATACGTGTGCATGTGTCTTTATAGCAGCATGATTTATAATCCTTTGGGTATATAACCAGTAATGGGATGGCTGCTGGGTCAAATGGTATTTCTAGTTCTAGATCCCTGAGGAATCGCCACACTGATTTCCACAATGGTTGAACTAGTTTACAGTCCCACTAACAGTGTAAAAGTGTTCCTATTTCTCCACATCCTCTCCAGCACCTGTTGTTTCCTGACTTTTTAATGATTGCCATTCTAACTGGTGTGAGATGGTATCTCATTGTGGGTTTGATTTGCATTTCTCTGATGGCCAGTGATGATGAGCATTTTTTCATATGTTTTTTGGCTGCATAAATGTCTTCTTTTGAGAAGTGTCTGTTCATATCCTTTGCCCACTTTTTGATGGGGTTGTTTGTTTTTTTCTTGTAAATTTGTTTGTGTTCATTGTAGATTCTGGATATTAGCCCTTTGTCAGATGAGTAGGTTGCAAAAATTTTCTCCCATTCTGTAGGTTGCCTGTTCACTCTGATGGTATTTTCTTTTGCTGTGCAGAAGCTCTTTAGTTTAATCAGATCCCATTTGTCAATTTTGGCTTTTGTTGCCATTGCTTTTGGTGTTTTAGACATGAAGTCCTTGCCCATGCCTATGTCCTGAATGGTATTGCCTAGGTTTTCTTCTAGGGTTTTTATGGTTTTAGGTATAACATTTAAGTCTTTAATCCATCTTGAATTAATTTTTGTATAAGGTGTAAGGAAGGGATCCAGTTTCAGCTTTCTCCATATGGCTAGCCAGTTTTCCCAGCACCATTTATTAAATAGGGAATCCTTTCCCCATTTCTTGTTTTTGTCAGGTTTGTCAAAGATCAGATAGTTGTAGATATGCGGCATTATTTCTGAGGGCTCTGTTCTGTTCCATTGGTCTATATCTCTGTTTTGGTACCAGTACCATGCTGTTTTTGTTACTGTAGCCTTGTAGTATAGTTTGAAGTCAGGTAGCGTGATGCCTCCAGCTTTGTTCTTCTGGTTTAGGATTGACTTGGTGATGTGGGCTCTTTTTTGGTTCCATATGAACTTTAAAGTAGTTTTTTCCAATTCTGTGAAGAAAGTTATTGGTAGTTTGATGGGGATGGCATTGAATCTATAAATTACCTTGGGCAGTATGGCCATTTTCACGATATTGATTCTTCCTACCCATGAGCATGGAATGTTCTTCCATTTGTTTGTACCCTCTTTTATTTCATTGAGCAGTTGTTTGTAGTTCTCCTTGAAGAGGTCCTTCACATCCCTTGTAAGTTGGATTCCTAGGTATTTTATTCTCTTTGAAGCAATTGTGAATGGGAGTTCACTCATGATTTGGCTGTGTTTGTCTGTTATTGGTGTATAAGAATGCTTGTGGTTTTTGTACATTGATTTTGTATCCTGAGACTTTGCTGAAGTTGCTTATCAGCTTAAGGAGATTTTGGGCTGAGACGCTGGGGTTTTCTAGATATACAATCATGTCATCTGTAAACAGGGACAATTTGACTTCCTCTTTTCCTAATTGAATACCCTTTATTTCCTTCTCCTCTCTGATTGCCCTGGCCAGAACTTCCAACACTACGTTGAATAGGAGTGGTGAGAGAGGGCATCCCTGTCTTGTGCCAGTTTTCAAAGGGAATGCTTCCAGTTTTTGCCCATTCAGTATGATATTGGCTGTGGGTTTGTCATAGATAGCTCTTATTATTTTGAGATATGTCCCATCAACACCTAATTTATTGAGAGTTTTTAGCATGAAAGTTGTTGAATTTTGTCAAAGGCCTTTTCTGCATCTATTGAGATAATCATGTGGTTTTTGTCTTTGGTTCTGTTTATATGCTGGATTACATTTATTGATTTGCATATGTTGAACCAGTCTTGCATCCCAGGGATGAAGCCCACTTGATCATGGTGGATAAGCTTTTTGATGTGCTGCTGGATTCAGTTTGCCAGTATTTTATTGAGGATTTTTGCATCAATGTTCATCAAGGATATTGGTCTAAAATTCTCTTTTATGGTTGTGTCTCTGCCCGGCTTTGGTATCAGGATGATTCTGGCCTCATAAAATGAGTTAGGGAGGGTTCCCTCTTTTTCTATTGATGGGAATAGTTTCAGAAGGAATGGTACCAGCTCCTCCTTGTACCTCTGGTAGAATTCGGCTGTGAATCCATCTGGTCCTGGACTTTTTTGGTTGGTAAGCTATTGATTATTGCCTCAATTTCAGAGCCTGTTATTTGTCTATTCAGAGATTGAACTTCTTCCTGGTTTAGTCTTGGGAGGGTGTATGTGTCGAGGAATTTATCCATTTCTTCTAGATTTTCTAGTTTATTTGCGCAGAGATGTTTATAGTATTCTCTGATGGTAGTTTGTATTTCTGTGGGATCGGTGGTGATATCCCCTTTATCACTTTTTATTGAGTCTATTTGATTATTCTCTATTTTCTTCTTTATTAGTCTTGCTAGCAGTCTATCAATTTTGTTGATCTTTTCAAAAAACCAGCTCCTGGATTCATTAGTTTTTTGAAGGGATTTTTGTGTCTCTATTTCCTTCAGTTCTGCTCTGATCTTAGTTATTTCTTGCCTGAGAAGAAGTTCTTTTCAACTGAAACACTGCTAAGTTGGGCTGCAGCTGAGCCCAGGCTCTCTAGTCTGTACCTACTCCTCTATTCATTGGTTATTTGGTGTTAAGAGGGGATACTAGGAAGGGGAGGCTGGAGGGTTGAGGATAAATACTTCTGATGCCACGAGTTTACCATAGCGTGATATAAACTGAGGGACGGGAAGGTAGTTGGACCATCTTTCATCTCCCAATTTCTTCTCAAACTTAGTGGGTTAAGGAGGGCAGGTGCCAGAAAAAGGTTCAAGGAACATGTTCAGTTAGGCCTTAAATATGCATTAAACATCTAAACTGTGCACAGAACTTTACTACACAATGTTGATATAACAATGTCCAAGTAAAGATAATTTAATTGTACATTTTTAACTAACTAAAAGAGTAAAATTAGATTGTAACACAAAGGATAAATGCCTGAGGGCATGGATACCCCATTTTCCTTTATGGGA